>NC_000005.10:114049200-114352231 GCF_000001405.40 Homo sapiens
GAGGTGAAATTAGAGAATTGGAAAAGGGTTGAATCATGAGGGGCTGTAGGCTATGTGGATTTTTTTTTTTTGGTAAAAGTGGAAGGAAGTGACAAGATAAAAATGGACTAAGATTGGATTATTACAGAGGCAAGAATGAGAGCAAGGAGACCAGTGAGAAGGTTATTGCAGCTGTCTAACAAAAAGTTGATCATGGCGTGGACCAAACTAATTATAGTGGGGTCAGGAGCAAACGGATTGAAGAGTTATCAAAGAGGTCAAACATGTAACGGTACCGTATGTTTGTGTGGAGTGAGGTGGGAATAGGCTGGTTGAAAAGTCAAGAATATAAGGTTACTTTTGGACCTGTTATGTCTAGAACATCAGAGGTGTGGTCCAGTTGATAGATACATGAGCTTGGATTTCAGAAAACCAGTATGGGCTGAGGCATAAATTCACAGTTATTAAAACCATGCAGTGAATATGAGAATTTAGAAGAGGCTATGCTACAATTAGAAACAGGGCTGGATATTCAGGGATGTTTATCTATATTGGCTGCTCCGTGGTTGAGTGCCAGGAAGAATAGGAGGCAATCAGCACTTTTCCTTTTCAGCCCCCAGGGGACCCAGGTTGACTAAGCTGCTTTCAGTGGTGTCTGTTGGGACTGTTCAAGACGCTGGGCTGCCATAAGTCTCTGAAAATTATAAATATGTATTATTATAGTCAGGTGCATGGGCTTAGCTTTACCACTTATTCATCATGAGAACTTGGGCAATTTCTCTGAGCCTCAGTTTACTTACATCTAAAATGAGTATAAGTATTATAATTAACACATTGAGTTACTGTGAGGATTCAAGTATTTAATACTTGAAAATGGCTTAAGACACTGTTTAAATAAATACACACTACTCTTCTTATCTTTAGGTTCAGCATGCACATAGAGGTAGAGGGCACAGAAAGACTAGGAGATAAGAAATATTGGAGGATGGAGTCTGTGTGCTGCTCTCTATAAACACAGGCAGGAAATAATAAGAGGTGGTGGGTACAATTCAAGTGTGCCCATTCTCCTTTTAAAGATATACAGCCACCTGCAATATGGTTCATTACCTCCAGGGCCAGACACTGTGCTGTGTGTGACACCCACAGTAACTTACCGAGTGAGTGAGTGAGTGAGAAACTCCCCTAAAAGTGATGCTTTCTTGGCATTTTCTTTAACATCTCTATAGATTACCATTCAGATTGGGAAATTGCAGTCCATGAATCAGTTCTTTTGAGTTGAAAGTAAAACAAATGTTTAACGAGACAGAATTTACTGTGCTGGATGTTGGCAGGACTTGAATCTCTAAGGCTGATGTTGTCCCACATACATACATAGGTAAAATACCTGCATTCTTCATTCATTTATTCATTCAGTCAATAAATATTTACCGAGAGCTTCCATTGTGCAGAGTATCACTCTAGATTCTTGAGATGTATCAATGATCCAAACAGGCAAAAATGCCAGTCCTCATGCAACCTATATTCCACATAATAAGGAAGGCATAGAGAAGGTGTGGATAATTCATGTAAAATAATTTGCATAGGTTTTCTGGAAACAAAATTCTCAATCTGACTGGTGAAATTTTTCATGAGTCTGTCTCTACTTTCTGACAAACTTTATTCCCATCCTGGTAAGCACCTCTTCTATGTATGTATGTCTAGTATGTCCTACATTCCCAGTTCATATATGCTTCAGAATTTTAAGTATGCTAGAAACCATCTGATCTAAACTTCTCATTTTATAGATATGAAAATTAAGACCTCCTCAAATTAAAGGAACGTGGTTTAAGGCTTCAGAGTGAGTGGCTGTGTTTGGCAAATATGTGATTACCTGTAACAGACTTCCCCTGAAAATTAGGTAAAAGGAAATACAAAAAATAATTCAGCCACTTTTTGTCTCACTGTAATGCAGGATGCTCTCACTCTTGAGTCTTCTAATATCTATTTATAACGTAATTCTATGTAGAAGACATAGTACTTAGAAATGAATTTTGTACAAGCAACATTAAACACAAACATAGCAGTGGCTTAAATTAGACAGAAATAGATTTCTCTGTCATGTGAAATAAATATGGAGACCGGCAGCTCAGGGGTGGTGTGGTAGCTCTGCAATCTTTAAGACACAGATCCTGGCAGTTCACCTCTCCACCACCCCTGGAGTGTGGCTATTGTCCTCATGTCCACCTTGGCTCCTCTAGCCACCATATCTGTATTCTAGATAGTAGGGTAATGGGAAGGGAGAATGGGGCAAAGGATATGTGCCACTGTACTGGTATGAGTCAGGGTAGATCTGAGAAGCAGATCCACAAGGAGGAAAAGAGTAAGGGTTTAGGGACTTGATCTTCCACAGTGGTTATATTATTTATATTCTGCTCTGTTGGTTCTTTGTATGGTGCTAGGCCTGAAGAGAGCAGGACAGGCTCTCTTCGTGGCCAGTGTTATAAGTCAATGTGGCTAGGCTGTAGTCCCCAGTCATTCAGTCAAACTCTAATTTAGACGTTTCTGTGAAAATATTTTGCAGGTATAATTAAAGTCTCTAATCAGTTTAAGGAAGGCTATCCTAGATGACCTGGGTGGGCCTGATTCAATCAGTTGAAAGACCTTAGACGTAGAACTGAGACTTTCTAGAAGCAGAAGGAATTCTACTTGACAGCAGCTTCAGCTCATGCCTGAGAGTCCCAGTCTAGCTTTCCTGACAGCCTGCCCTACAGATACCAGACTCGCCTCACCAACCCCGACAAGCACATAAGCAGATATACAGATATATATACCCAGTTAGCCCTCTATATCTGAATTTTGGGAAAAAATGAATGGTTGTATCTACTGAACATATACAGACTTTTATTTCTTGTCATTATTCCCTAAACAACACAGTATAACAACTATTTACATAGCATTTGCATCGTATTAGGTATTATAAGTAATCTAGGTATTATTTAAAGTATACAGAAGAATGTGCATAGGTTATATGCAAATGTTACTCCATTTTTTATAAGGGACTTGAGCATCGGTGGACTTTGGTATCCTGGGGGCATCCTGGAACCAATCCCTCATGGGTACTGAGAGATAACTGTATGTGTGTGCCCCCTCCTCGTTGTTTCTCTGGTGAAACCCTAAGTGATATAGACATGATAAGAGAGAGAATAATGAAACCCTGGAACCCATGAGGACAAAGACAAAGTAGAACCTGCATCAATCTCTACCTCCAAGCCTCCAACTTTGGTGATGCTGGTGACCTGTATGGGAAGTTACTGCTGTTGGTCACGGAGCTAACATGTACCTTGTCCAGGATTTGGAGAAGCTAAAGGAGGAGATTCAGCAGGAGTTGCTGCAAACCTGGCCTCTATCTCAAACTGACAAGGTGAGCCAGTAGATCTGTGATAAGGTCCATGAGCTGTAACAGCACCTGACTCTACACCAGCCCTCCTAGCATAAACATGGCTGCTGCTTTGCCTCTACCATCCAAGATTGTGTAAATTTCTTTTGTGGCCCATGCTAGCTCAGAACCATATGGGGAACATAATTCTGGTATGTATCATTCTAATTTAGTCAAGTTGACACAGTAAAAACCCACCACAGCCAGTATCTTTGGAGAGGTTTCTTGGAATCTTCCACATGACACTTTTATAGCCCATTAGCCTGAACTTAGTAACATAACCACACCTGGGAGCAAGGCTAAACATCAAGGGTTTTCTTCTAAAGAAGGTGAATATGGATCTTGGAGAAGATAACCAGGCCTCTCTGCCAGAGTATTACTATTTATAGAACCCAGTTCCTACCTTCTGGAGCTTAATTTTTTAGGAGGAGAAATAAGACACTGCACAAATCTGTACTGAGCTTTGAGTTTTCAGCTAACTAGAAATACTTGCCCTTCATAGTCCCTTGGAAAACTTCATGGAGTGTTTTTATGTTTAAAGAACTTTTCATATATGAAAGTGTTTTCCTCAGGACAGCAGTGAACCAGTGTAGGCGTGTGATTCTTCACCCTGGGTGTCAGAGTGTGTTTTATATGGATTAGCAGCAAGACTTTTTAAAGGCCTTCCAGGAGCTGTGTTTTTTCACTGCAAGAAGAAAATGCAGGGTCGATGGCCAGGGCCCTCCCTTATATACATGGAATGACTTGGGGAATCTCCTTTAATACAATGAAAAGGAAACTAATTTATAGCATGGATTTACACAGATAGAACAGATTTTATTACATATCCCTTTGTACAAATTCAACCAAATCAAATGCTCATATTTGTGCAGTAATAACATTTAATATTTACTGAGCTTTACCACAGGCCAGGCACTACTCAAAGTGATTTATGTAGATTACTGCCTTTAATTTCACAAGAAAGCCATGTGGTACTTACTATTACTGTCACAGGCCCTTAAGGGGGGTCATTTGACACCAGTGAGTCCTTTTCCGTCCCGGTGCTGTTCACACCAATAGAACAAGACCGGTTTGCGTGAAGTAGAGCAAAAACTTTATTTGTTGATCAAGGAATGGAGAAGGGCAGCTCAAGCTCAAAGCACCTTCCTAGGGGATGTGGTGAAGGGGGACTTCTAAGATCTCTTAGGGTATGAAGGTGGAGACTGCGGGCGAGCATTTCCGGAAAGATGCGGGGCCTTCGAGGGAGAAGTGGAGTGTGTGTAGTCTTCTTTCTTTTGCACTGGACCCTGTGTGTGCCTAGCAAAGTGCATCTCTTCCTCCACCTCCATCCCCTGCAGAGATTTTATAATGGTAGTGAAGGGAATATTCAGGTAGGGGTAGCACTGATGAGCTCAGTTCTCATCTTTTCATTTGGCTCATTCGTGGTTACTGGCGGTCAGCCTGCCCTTGGTTTCTGTAAGCAAGCACAGCTGCCAGCACAGGTTTATTTCAAAGGTTCTGGGGCTATTTAAAAGAATTGAGGTCATGTTGTTGTGATGTTACTATTATTCACATTTGATAGATAAGGAATTGAAGCACAGACAGTAAAGTAAATTGAACAAGATCACATAAACAGCCGGGATGAACTCAGGACATGGGCATCTCCTTGATGCACTCCCAGCGCCTGGCTGGTCCCTGAAAAGGCATGTTCAGTACTCTCTCTTTACTAGAGCAGGAAAGTGAATACAAGGGCAAAGTGCTTCAACAGCAAGGAACTAAACCAGAAGGGGTTTCTACTTAGCTCATAGATTACGAGAAAGTTCCGTTAATTGGAAGTCCCATTCTAGGATCATTCCGATTAAACGCAGTTAAATAAATAACTTCTCACTATATTGGAATCAACCCTAAAAGGAAAACTTGGAGACTTGAAAGGAGAGGATAGGGAAGGAGGGGCAGAGGTGGGTGGCTTAGCACCACCATTCAGACCTCCCTGAGTGCTCCTTTGGTGCTGTGCAAGCTTCCTTCCACAGTTATTAGAGCAGTGTGTTAGCTAAATGCTGCCAGGGCAGATGCTGTTTGTTCCTCTGTAGCTCCCAGAGCGCCTATGGGGGCTTTGCAAATCACAGAGGCTCAATACTGTTTCAGGAAGGAGTAATTGGAAGAAGGGGCTTGGGAGCAAGTTATCAGTTTAGAACCTTCCAGACTGGTACAGTGTGTTCCATTTAACACTCCAGGCAACAGAATTTGCTTTTTTCCTGTGTCACCAGGATCTACAGGGGCCGGGAACCCATAAGTGGCACATAACTAGCCTGTTGTCTTTGGGGGTTGGTGGAGGGTTTGATGCAGAGACCACCCAACTATGCTTTTTAAGCAAACAGCCAGACCTGAGACCCCTCCGTAAGAAGGTAATCAGATGGCAGAGGATATGATTTTTCATGGATCTTAAATTTGCTTCGTACCTCTTTTTTGCCATATGGCTGACAGGCAAAACCTTGGACAGGTTGAGTGTTGCATAAAATATGAAATGAGCCTGAAGCCAGTGAATCCATGGAGGATTGTTTTTCTTCTTTCGGGCATGTGATAACAAGGGGTCCCCTGTATAACAAACAGCCGGCCGGCATTCACCTCTTGTCTCAAAATCTTCTTGGCGCCCGTTTTTGTTTTTTCAACTTGGAAATGGAATATATGAAAGACAGACTGAACAGTGGCAATCAAAATCCAGAAGGCTGGAGACATTTCTGCCATTCACAGAATTTATGAAAATCCCTTGTCTGGAAGGCTCTTGGAGAGCTCAAAATGCTCGGCGCGGCTGGTGAGTTCCCTGCAGCAGCTGGAAGTGGAGCTATAAATAGAGCGGGGAGGGAAGCGCCCTCCTGAGGGGAGCGGGCGGGAGATTCCCGGCTCTCCCCTCCGCCGCCGCGGCGCGTTCTACGCCGGGGGAAGCCGGCTGGCGGGCGCGCGGCCTTAACCCGTGCGACGCCGGGCAGCTCCTGCGGCAGCCGGGGAGGGCGTGATGGAGACCACGCTGGAAATGGGAATCAAGGCACGTTTCTAACCTTGTACTGGAACGATACATAGTCTGCGATTTCTCTCCCTCCCTGTCTTTCCTCTGCAGCTCCCCCCGGTTAACACCCGAAATTCGGCCTTAGAATACACACACACGATGGAATTTGTTCCATATCTTTTTTTTTAACCTTCGATAGGCATAAATCCAAACCTAAAATTAAAATCATCCCCAAATTTGGTTTTGGGAATCATGTTGGTTTTCACCCTTGAGCGGCGTTCCCTCCCCAGTGCCGCATGCTGCTTAAGGACTGTTACTTTCTTGGGGAGGGAAGTATCAAATGGAAACGGTGTGTGTGTGCGCGCGCGCGTTTATTTTTGGCGCATGCACACCCCTCGGTAGCCTCAAGGTCGGCGATACCCTGAGCATTCGGGCCCCCGCCTGCAGGACTCGCTCCTGCCAGCCAAGGACTCAAGAAGGAGGGAGTCCCCAGTCCCGGCGGGGCGCCTGGGATTCGGTTCAATATTTAGCACAGTCAGTACCGAAGCAGGGGCAGCCAGGTGGGAGCTGGGCGCCCAAAAGTTGGACCCCAATCAGCAGCGAGTGGGCAGCGGGGGCCTGGCTCGCCCGCGCCCGCGCCCCGGAGCTCTCCGGCTGGCTCTCTGCTCCCCGAAGCTGGGGAGCCGGGGGCGCTCTCCCGGGCCGCAAGCAGGCACGGAATTTGACGCCCGAGAGGCAGATGGTCCTGGCTAGGACTCCTGATTCTTCTCAGATGGAAACAGTTTCTCCCGGTGAACCTGCCGGAATTCTCAGTGGACTCGATCTTCAGCTTTGTCCACTGGCGCATTTCACCAAGGCCGCATTTACCGCTTTGAGGCAAATTTGAGCTTCAAATGGAGCGGGACTCCTGGTTGCAGAACGAGGTAAGGTCGCGACTAAGGTGACATTGACTAGGGCCACAGATTTAATGGGGACCAGCCTCCCCTAGGGAGGATACTAAAGTGAAGTTTGCCTGGGCTTTCACTCCTCCCCTCCCTCTTGCTTACTTTTCTCCAGCACCCACTCATACCTTAAAAAGAAACATTCTCCTGGGTGGGTGACTCCCTTAGGCTATATTCAGCATTTGAGAGTTCTGCACTAGAGGCCATGTCACAGCGCGACCTGAAGTTCCCTATCCTCCCTTCCGTCTTCCATCCTTCCCCCCTTGTCCTCTTTCTCGGCTCTCCTCTTTTCCTTATCCAATCTTTTATTTATTTTGCCATCCCTCTTTGGAACTTCTTTTTCCTGTCTATGAAAATATGAACCAAATGAAGGGAGAGAGGGCAGAAGGTTGTGATTTTTCTGTGTAATGCTGAGGTTATAGGGTATATGGATTGATGGTTTATGAGTTATTGATTTGGTTTTGTTGAGCACCTACTCTGTGCTGCTGTTCAACTTCTTCAAGCTGGGGGTGACCAGACTGTTTTCTAGAAAATAAATTGCCCCAAGAACTTTGTCCTACCTCCTCTTCTTCTTTCTCTAGGGTGTGGGAATGCGCATCTGCAAGACCAGAGGATGCAGAGCTTGCAGGAAGGAGGAAACTCACTAGGTTCAGGTTGGTTTGGTGCCTTTATGCCCTCAAGCCATGGGTAGTTAAAACAAAAATCACACATAAATAATACTAACAACACATTTATTGAACACCTGCTGTGTTTGTGGTATTGTTCTAAGAACTTTACAAATACTAACTCATTTAAACCTCATAACTACCCCACAGAGTAAGGAGTACTATTATGTCTTTTTTACAGATGGGGTAACTCAGAAACAGATGATTAAGTAATTTATTCATAATCATACAGTTAGTAAGTGGGGGAACCGAGATTGAAGCTCAGCATCTGAGTCTAGAACAGAGCTCTTCATACATTACATATCTCTGTCACTCACATATTCATCCATTCCCTCTGTGCCAGGTGCTGTGCTAGGAGATGCAACAGTGGACAAGGCAACCAAGATCCTTGGAGCTTGTATTTCAGTTGAGGGAGACAGACTATGTATCAATAAACAAACTATATAATTTCAGGTAGTGGTAGATACTATAAAGAAAAGAGAACAGAGTAATGTGCTAGACTGGTTACCTTCATATGGTGAGTGGACAGGGAAGTTCTCTTGGTGGTAGTGACATTCAGACTGAGACCCTGAAGAACTGAGAAGAAAGACAAATAGCCAATGAATGTATGAAGTGATGGTTGTTACCTTTAGTAATCATGGAAATGCAAATTAAGTCCACATTGAGATATTCTTTTATATGCATTTGGTTGGCCCCAAATTAAAAAGTTTGGCAATATCAAGTGGTTGAAGAAGATGTGGGTCCAAAGGATGTTCAAACATTGCTGATGGGAGTATGAATCGTACAATGACTTTGGAAAACAGTTTGATGTTATATCCTAATTTCAACATTTGAACATGTGTGAACCAACAGTTCAACTTGCTTTTAGGTTTATACCTGTGAGAAACTTTTTACATGTTCGACAGAAGACATGCATGTGAATATGCTTAACAGCCTGGTTTCAATAATGAAAACCTGGAGGGACCACCAAGGCCTGGCACCTTGAGCTAGTGATGAATACAAGCTCAATAATAGCATAATATTAAAAACTACTAAAATAAAAACCCAACTAGGTAGGGGTGTGTGTGTGTGTGTATGTGTGTATGTCTGCAATAACGTTATATAAATGGGAAAGCAAGAGAATGATGAATATGAAATTTGTGATTTTGTGATTATGGTTACCTCAGATGGAGGAGAAACAGAGGCACCATATGGTTAGTTAGAGGCAAGTCAGTGACTGTGTTTTGGCAGGTCACAATTGAGTTTTGGCTGGTAAGGCCAGGTATGCTTGTTACGTTATTAAAAATAACGAGTAAATAACAAAGTATGACAGGGCATGCTTGGGCTAATGATGAAAGTGTATGGTGGACCACGTATTAAGATGAACTCAGTTCTATGTACTGTGGTCCTAAGTGGAAACAGGAAAGAAAGGAATGCAGACACTTTTGTCAGGGGGAGGGCTCTACCAGGAGAAAGAAGTTTGATGTTTTTAAGGAAGAGAAAAGCAGCCTAGAGTGACGCAGTGGGTCAGCAGATTAGAGAGGTGGACTGGGACCAGATCCTGCAGGGCTTTGCAGGTCAAGGTAAAGGGTGGAAAAGTTTTAAGCAGTGAAGAGATGTGATTGGGTTTAAGATTTTAAAAGACCATTGTGGAGCTGCGTGGAGACTGGACTATCGGAGGGGCATTTGGGAGGCCTCTGCAATGGTAGAGGAGAGAAGCTGATGGCAGGACGTGACTGTGTTTCTGCAGGTTACTTACTGCGCAGGAGACCAGCTCGGGGGGTCAAGTTGCTGAAATTCAGCCCATGTTCCTCTTGCCAGGAAATGTCCCAGTGCCAGGCTGTGAAAGCCTGGAGGAAGGGCATATTTTTCAAATTGCACAGAGAGCTCTGCAGGCCAGCAATAGCCTGTTGGTGCATCTGGGTGGTGGGCATAGACTTGAGGAGAAGTGGATAGATTCAGGACACAATTGAGGGCAGAATGGACAAGGTTTGGGTGATGGATTAGATATAAGGGTTATTAAGGGAAAGAGAGGAAACAAAAGAAATTCCTGGATTTTTATTTAACTGCAAGGATAGTGGTGCTGTGTACAAAGAAGAGAAAGAGCAGGGAAGATTCACGTTCAAAGAAATCATATTTTGGACATATCATATTATTTTTAAAATGCTATCATACAGCCAAGTACAAATGTCAGATAGTGAGACATGAGTATGAAGCTTGAGGGAGATTTTAGGGCAAGAGTCATAAATGTGGGAAGTATGAGCATATAGGTGATATAGTTCAAGTTCTCTACTTAGTTGTCATTGTCAGATTGTGAATTCCTTTGGGGCAGAGAAATTATGTGTTTTTTCCCCTAGCAAAGTATAAGGAATAATAGGTTATCAGTAAATATTTGTTGAATAGATGACAGAAGGATGCATAAACAAAGGGAAGGTGGGTAACTAGCCCAGGTTTCTGATGCTGCTGGTGTCTGAAGGCTGAGGCTGTGTTGTTTTCAATCCCTCTTTGGGCTGAGGCAAGTCTAATGGTAGTGCGAGCCCTTTACGAGACCCCAGAGCTACTCTGAGAAGCCAGAAATGGCAGGGACTAGACAGTGAAGACACAGGATGGCCAGGAGAGCCCCTGAAGGTCAAACAAGGAAGAGGAAAGAGTGTTGAGCCAGAAACAGGGTCACAACTAAGAATATGGCTGACCTCATGGGTGATGGGAGACAGTGAAATCATTGAGAGAAGATAGGACTGAAGTGGGTGAATGAAAGGATCAGGCTGTTGGTACAAGTGGAGCCATGAGATTTGGTTTAAAGGCCAGTGTATTGCAGACATTTTTGACAGTCACCAGGTAATTAGCTCGGCACTGGCCGAAACAGTCCCTAACAGCCCTAGCCCCACAGTACCTCAGGCTGTGTGTTGTCCCTTGTGAAATCTCATTTAGAAAATGGTTGCTAAGGCATTCCCATACCAGATATCACATCCCATCATGCTGCTATGAGTATGCAGCACTTAGCCTGCATGTGGGTTTCCAATACCTCTGCAATGCCCTCTTGGTACTGGGATTGGGCAGCTGGCCCTGCCCTGCTACATTTGGGCTTGGCATGGTTCTCCCATGCCACCACATCCCATGCCCTTGGGGACATTTATTTTGTCAGCCTCCACCCTCTCGTTGCAGTTCACATCTCTTTACTTATCTCTGTTCTTTCCTCAAATGGATCCCTTATGTCCCTTATTTACTGGTGTACCTTAGTGCCTGGCACAGTGCCTGACATACGGTGTGTGAGCAGCAATTGTGAAAGGGTGCAAGGAAGGAAGGAAGGGAGTGAGGGAAAATGAAGAATTTTTTTTGCTTGGCTTTGAGGTGATCAAGATGAGACCATCCCATTCTCACTAATGATAAAGTCACAAGGACCTCCCTTTCCTCAGACAGCTGAGTATGGCATTGCTTAACAATGTAGGCTTTGGGATATAATAGACCTGCAGTTCCATTCTGGCTCTACCATATGTGGCTTGGTTAGGTCACAATCTCTTAGAGACTATTTATTTATCTGTAAAATGTGGATAATAACAAAACCTACTGTATAGTGTAGTTGTGAGTTTTAAATAAGATAAGGATGTGAAGTTTCTAGTGTAGTGCCTGGCATGTAAGAAGGGCACAGTGGAAATTCAGCTATTATTATTTTCCAAGCCATTTAATTGTCAATGCTGTCTTTGTTGACCAACTTCAAGTAATGCTTCTAATTCTGAGAATTCAGCCTCCTTACTCAGTAGGGCCAGTGCTCTGGCAGTGGAGTAGTAGCCATTTTAGGCAGATGGGGAACTATTCCTGGGCACTTGGGCATTTGCTGTTCCATTTCTCACATTATGCTACATAGTATTCCATTGCACATAATTCATGGGCAGCTGGGAGTCTGAATAATAGTGAGGATTCAGAATTTATTCATTCAACATTCCATAAACAGTGATTGAATGTCTTACTATGCAAATGGGGATGCAGTGATGACTAAGACACAGTCTCTGCTTTCAAGGAAATCACAGTCTAGTTATTGGCCAGGGGGACAGACAAATAAACAGACAATTGCAAATACACATTCATGGGATCACTCCTAGTACCCCAACTCCAAGACGCTACCTCCCCACCCCCACTACTGCTGAGAAGAATGGTGTGAATATAGTAATATGGTGGTCCCTTGTATTTGCACATATATTTACAGTTTACAAATAATGTTTACTTTTAATTATTTCATTTGATTTTCACAACTTTATGAGATAGGTAGAGATACTACACCCATTTTATAAATGAAATCTAAGACTCCATTGAGCAGATGCCTCTATAACGAAGGCAAAAGTGTCTCATGCAGGACACTGCCATGATTTGTCCTTCCAGCCCTTTTGTACACTGTTCCCATTCAGGGATCTAGTTTGCCACCTTTGTGGGCATGGGGTTTGATTCTGTGAGTTCATTGCTTGGGTTTGATGGCCAAGTTTAGCTTCCCTGTTGGGACCTTTGTTTTCTGTAGATACATGGACAACTCTTGCATTCAGGTGGGTTTGTGCAACCATTCTGATCTCTGGGACTCAATTTTAGCACTGGCCTGGAGGCAAAGCCCAGGTGAGGACCATGATGGTTTCCCTGGGAAGAGGGATTGGTGATAGACATTAGGTTGATTGTCTATGCTTGTGCAACTGGGAAGTGGAGGATCTGGTAGAAGAACCTTCAGATAGCACAGTTTTACGAAGCTTGTCCAGTCAACTGGATGTTTTTCTTGACTAGAGAAAAAATACAGGAATCACTTTATCCTCCTTAAAAACTGAATGACTTATTTACATTTCCCCAAAGATGACCAACTGTAATTGGTCATTTATCAAATATTTAGACATCTTCTCATACAGAATACATCATTGATTAAAATTTGCTTATGGTTATTTATTTAAGATATATGGGTTCTTTTTTTTTTTTTATAAAATTTAGTCAAGGAAAGTAAACTTCACAGACTTGTCACGTAGTTATAATGTGGGAAAATGAGTTTGTTGCCCAGAACAACATGTATTTACCTAATCTACTTCTGTGTTTTTATCTTTGTGTAAGATACTATTACAGTAAGTATTTCTGCTGCCCACAGAATATCTGGGCAGGGCAGCGCAAAGACCTCCTGCCAGACATGCAGTGCAGCAAGAGGATGATTTTGGCTGTAGTGGTTCAGAAGTACTGAAAGAGCACCCTACCTCCACAGACCTGTTACCACAATAACTTTGATTATATTGTCTTATGTAGGAGAAAAATAGGTTTACTGATCATTTTCTTCGACTTTAAATATGAGGTTTGTGAAACACATGAGAAATAAGAGCCAAAGTTTATGAAAAGTGAGTTTTGAAGAGGGCCTTTTAATTTTCATTTGCTTCAGTGTACTAGGGATCAAGTTACATGTTAATTGACTGGTGAAGAAATCCTAGTAAGAAATTTGTCCTATATGCAGGGAGAACAGTCTGAATTAGCAAAAAGTCTCAATTACGGTGTGTGTGTTTTAATAAATATCTTTGTTTTACTTCCAATTCATGCGTTATTATACTTAAAAAGTGTTTTGCATTAGTCTCTTCTTTCATGTATAAGACCTCACATGTAGTTATTAACATCCATTGAATATAAACAGGTAAGTCCTTAAAAAAACCCTGTTTTTCTTTTAAGGCAGTTAAAATGTTAGGATACTAATTTGCTAGACAGAACTCTTCATTGCACTTAGGTAAACTTCATTCCAAGCTAATTCAAAAGAGCATGATTTCCAAATTACTGAAACCTGAATGATTTTTGCTATAAATTCCCATTAAAAATCAAGCATCCAGTCAAAGATAAAGCTTGATTTTCTGCTTAACTTTAAGGAAGAGTTTTTTCTTTCCATGTCAGAGAAAAATTTGCTCACTTGTATTGACAGTTTTAGTGTGTCCTGAAAGAGACAGGCCTTAGCAACTGCAGGCAGCTGTGCTCAGCTCCTCCCTCATTCCACACTCTAGCCCCTACTGTGGATGTAAAAAAGTTTCATGCAGCCCCTCAGACAAATGACTGACAAAAACTAAGCCCCAGATGATGATTATCATGTATGTGTCTGCAGCTGAGGCTGCTCTTTGACAGGGCATCTCTGGCCAGTCAGCATTGATTGACTCATCCTGCTATGCTTTTTATATGCCTGTTGCAATACAGAAATATGATTTTGCCATATGTGGGATAGTAGAGACAGAGGAAGATGAAAGCATGGCAGCCCAGATCAGTGCTTCTTAAATTCATGGTTTTCAAAACACAGATTTCTGGGTCCCACTCCCAGAGATTCTGACTCAGTGTCTAGAGAACCACCCCCCCTCCAAATTTCCATTTCTAACAAAGGCTCCCAGGTGATGCTGATGCTGCAAGTCTGTGGAACATACTTCAGGCAGCACTGGCCTAGATAGCTAATTTTGAGAAGACTCAGGTGAGGATAATGGAACTGCATTTCAGAAATAAAATTCATCAGAACATGACTAGTCCACCAGAGGGAGATAAGGCAATGCTAGGCTGACCAGCTGCACCAGTTTGACCCAGACCATCCTGATTTTAGCACTGAAAGTCTTGTGTCCTAGGAAACCACTCAGTCCCAGACAAACTGGAAAGTTGGTCACCCTAAAAGGCATACTAAGCTAGTTTACTATGGCAGCTTTAATGTAATTTAAAGTGATTGGTGTGTAGTCTAACTTTTAAACTCCTGGTGTGTTTTAAGACAAGCCATTGAGCATACTGTGAAATGACAGGTAACCACATGTAACAGAGGCAATGCCAGCTAGAGCCTTCAGTTTTTCTAAATCTCTTTTCTCACAACTTATGGTGGATCAGGGATTCCCAGACTTGTCCGCAGATTGGAATCACCTGGAGAGCTTAACGAAATGCTTGTGTTCTACTCCCAGAGATTGTGAATTAATTGGCTTGGGGAGTGGCCTGGATGCTTATAGTTTTAAAAAGATCCCCAGATGATTCTAACATGTAGACACATTTAGGAACCCCCATGGTACATAGTCTCCAAAGATGGCAGCTACTAGTGCCTCTCACTTTGTGCAGACACACTGTTCATCTCATCAAGAGGTAGGGTTTATTTCCCATCCCTTTGGGTCCTGCTGCTTTTGTGACTTGCTTTGAACAATAAAACTCAGTGAAAGTGACATTCTGAGGCTTCTGAGCCCAGGCCTTAAGAGGATGGTGGTTTTTGTGTCCTCCTGGGAAGCCAGTCTCCATGCTAGAGGGAGAACCATTCAAAGTCCACAGTGCTGTGAGGAAGCTCCAGCTAGCCTTGTGGGGAGAGCCACCATGTGAGACAGCATTGAGACATCAGATGTGTGAGGGAAGCTCTCTTAGACCTTCTATCCCAGCCCAGTCAGTAGCTAAATCTAACCCGGCGAGTGACCCCAGCTAATGCTACCAAGAGCAGAACTATGCAGGAAAGGTCTTTCTCCATTATTGACTTAGGTCATTTAGCTTTGGGTAGCATGTTATGGAACAATATATCACTGAAACACAAGTGGATTCCTTGCACTTCCTGGGGTAATATAAAGGGGGCATTTTGAAAGTTCCTGTAAAAACAAGGAATGTTTTATCATCTTCAGCTCAAAGTGGAAAGCCAAACTAACCCTGTGTTACTGTATATTAGAAGGGAAACATTGTTATTAATTTCATTAATAAAATTATTAGTGATAGTGAACAAAGATGTGGTAGCTTCAACAGTCTTTCCCTTGTATCATCCAGAGATCAGAGCCCAAGGCACAATGCTTAGGGTGCTGTTAGTTTTTGTGGGGCTGTTCAACCCCAGAGAATCAGGATGAACAAGACAAGATAAAATTTGATGTGATGTGATACCATGTATTCCCACACTGGCTACTGTTAAATAACAAGCTGGGATGGATACACTATGTCACACTACAAGTGAGTGGTGTCACTTGTAGCGTCACCTCTACCAGTGTCACTTGTAGAGTGACATAGTGTATGCACTTGATATTTGGATTGCGAAGAGGAACTATCCCTTGGAGTAGTTCATAGGAGAGAAGACAAAAGAGGAACTTAGCTTTCTAGCTCTCTCCTGTTTCATTTCCTATTGATGAAGTTTTACCCCATGGGAAGCTAACTCCACATCTGGCTTCTCAGTGGCTACTTGGAAATCCAGGCACCATGCCACACAATATGTTGTTTTACCCAAGTCCAAAAGTGGAAGGGCACCTATGTGTACATGAGGTGCTTACCAAGAGACACAGAAAAGAAGTTGAGGAATTCTGAGGTGAATGATTTTTTTGTGTGCTTTAAATTTATTTATTGGTTTTTGCTGAAACACTGTAGGTGTGCCTTATTTTGATACTGCTTTTATAAGCTACATTCTAAGGCTGAGAGAATCTCAGCCATATGCTTAGTATCAACATAAATGCAATATTAGTCTTGACTGGTCTTTTCCCTTCTGATAATCACACCAAACTAAACACTTTCTGTGGACATTTGCAAAAGTGATAAGTAGTAGATGAAAGCTCTGCTTTCATCTGCAGCTCCAAGGATTTGGTTCTTATTTTACTATTTTACAGAGCCAAGTCTTTCCTGGTATAGAGTGGAGTGTGCATGCTTTATATCTTCCAAAAAGAAGCAAGATACCAGTGAGTTGTTGCTAAGAGCTTTTAGCTATTCTCCTATGCAGGTTTTTTTTTTTTTTTTTTTTTTTTTTTTTTTTTTTTGCAATGGGGAAAACAATTTTGGTTGTATAAACATTATGCCATGTTTAGTTATTTCATGAGACTGGGTGGTTCCTAAATATCAGTGGCTTTATATGACTATCATTACATTTTGCAATCCAGTCTGAACCTGACTGTAGGAGTCATAATTTAAGAGAATCAAAAGTCTATTTAACATATTGGAAGATTTCCTGTTCAGAGCTTAATCTTTCTGGAAAAAAGTTGTTTGCATTGGTTTCTCAGCAATCAACTTGGGTTAGCTCGTGTAGCACAAAGGCCATGGGATAGGACCAGATGTATTCAGGATTTAAGCAATGGTGTCATAAAGAACTTTCTCTCTTTCTCTGTCTCTAATTTTATCCCCATCTCTTTGTCTTTCTTTTGTTTATGATGGCTTTGTTCTTAGGCACATTTTGCTCTTGTGGCTCCATGATAAAAACCAACAGATACAAGCTTTACCTCTTGGCATAGTTTTACTTTAGGCAAAACCCTAGGGTTGAGTTTAAATGGACAGGCCTAGAGTAAGTTGTCATTTGCAGATTTGGGAGGAATCTGAGAGCAATTCCCTTGGGGAAATTAAAAATGCTGTATCAGAAAAACGTGAATGAATGCCGGGATGGCAGTAACAACGGATACACACTACTGTGGGAAAGGGGCTCACCAGCTTCCAGCTGAAAGATTCAAGTGTTTTTCTTTTTTTTCTTTTCTTTTTTGAGACGAAATCTCGCTCTGTCTCTGTTGCCAGGCTGGAGTGCAGTGGCGTGATCTCGGCTCACTGCAACCTCTGCCTCCTGGGTTCAAGCGATCCTGCTGCCTCAGCCTCCCAAGTAGCTGGGACTACAGGCGCACGCCACCACGCCCAGCTAATTTTTGTGTGTTTTAGTAGAGATGGGGTTTCATCATGTTGGCCAGGATGGTCTCAATCTCTTGACCTCGTGGTCTGCCCACTTTGGCCTCCCAAAGTGCTGGGATTACAGGCGTGAGCCACCGTGCCTGGCTATGATTCAAGTTTTGAGATCTCACATGACTATCTGTAAATGGACCCAAGTTTCAGGGAGTAGACTCACATAACTGAGCTCAGGGAGACTGATATATAAACTGAATATCAATTTATTATTTCACAGTAAGGACATTCAAACAACTTCAGCTGCCAGTGTTGACAGAACAATTCATTTTCCCCACTTAGGTAAACCACAGGGAAAACCAGTCATAAGAAATGTGCTAAATGAAGATGGATCAGAAAAAAGAGAAGACAGTGTCATGGTCCACAGTAGGATCTGCCACAGGGACCAGATAATTGGGAATTTTTGGGCCAGAGCAATATTGTTCCTAGATGGCATATGGAGAGTCTCTGAAGTGTGAATGCTTTGAGCTTCCCTTTTGACCAGAATTTATCTAAGTGTGGCTCCAACCAGCTGCATTGAAATCACCTGGCAACCTGATAAAATGCAGATTTCTGGTCTCACCCCAGACTGGCTCAGTTGAAACTGATGAAATGAAGCTACATTTTCAACAAGCTTTCCTGGTTTTGTCTCTGTAGTATGAGATAATTCCTTTAAGCAAACCAAATCCCTTTGTCTATGCATCTTTAATCTAATGGGATATAAGTGATTCAATTTCTGTTTAAATTATTAAATATTTTGTTTTTAAATACCTATCATAGCTAAATTTGGTATTTTTATTCCTTTTAAGATTCTAGTCAGAATTATAAAATTATAACTTTGTGATTAGAAATTAATATAAATATAGAAAATTTGGAAGGAATGGAAATATGTGAGGGATTAGGCAAAAGCATCCATAAATTTGTGATGATTTGTTTTATCTTTGGTGTGTGTGTATTCATACCCCACTCCTCCCACAGGGGTCTGTGTATACTGTCGATAGAATTTGATTTCTGTTTCATTTGCTCCAATTTAATTTGAGAACAACTCTCTATATTGTTAGCCTTCACTTGCATAATATTAATGACTATTCTAAAATTTCCCATTCATACATATATAGAGTTTTACCCCCTCAGATCATTAATCAGACATATTATATGAAGTTTTTTTAGCAGTTTGGAAGAATGAGATGTTTACTTTAAAATAAAATGGAAGGAATCACCTGTTTATTTTACTAACAACTAATTTTTCCAGGAGGGAGGCTTTTAGATATGTTCCCAATAAGGGAATATTATAACAAAGTCGCAGAAGTCATGGTTGATGATTAATTACCACAAGACTGGTAAGTGCATTTAACCTCCTATAACTAGAGTAGTTTACAAGTTTAAGTGAAAAAATTAATTTCTACACCAAATATTCTAACAAATACTTTTCTATAACAGATATTCTTAGCCTCAAGGTTAGAGGTCAATAGTCCTTGGAACATAATTATTAAATAAATTTCTGAATATTTCATAAACTCATTTGCCCTGTTTAGAAAACAGACTTGGGCAGAAATTCAACTTTGAGCTTCTAAGGTATGGAAGAAATTTGGAGTTAATTGAAAATGTATGGCCACATACAAATTTTATGGCCACACATGGTCTGTAGTTGTACCAGCCCCTGTTTATTCACTATTTCAGATCAGCTTAGCCCTGTCTACACCTTGGCCTCACATTCACAGCCACAGCTGCCCAAGTGACAGTTTATACTGTTTCCATGGGTAAAAAGCTCAGGCTGCTCTCATGTTCTGGGGCATACATTTCAGAGTCCTCACACATAGCACTCACTGATAAGGTGACTTCTGCACCTGCTCCTATCTCTGCTGCAGAAGCTCTGCCTCTCCCAGTGCTTCCCAGAGGGTCCAGGGAAAATAATTCACAGTGTAGTGAACTTAATGCATCATGGAGTAGACATTGACCAAGGAAAGATAGGAGAGGAAGAGACAGTGGTCAAATTGCTTGCTTTTCTTTGCTTTTGCTTTTCTCTTTTCTCTCTTTTCCTTTCTTTTTCTTTTTCTTTTTCTTTTCTTTTGATGGAGTCTTTTTCTGTTGCCCAGGCTGGAGTGCAGTGGTGGGATCTCAGCTCACTGGAACCTCCACCATCCAGATTCAACCGATTCTCCTGCTTCAGCCTTCTGAGTAGCTGGGATTACAAGTGCCTGCCAACCACGCCTGGCTAATTTTTGTATTTTTAGTAGAGACGGGGTTTCACTACGTTGTACAGGCTGGCCTCGAACTCCTGACCCCAAGTGATCTGCCAGCCTCGGCCTCCCAATGTGCTGGGATTACAGGCGTGAGCCACCGCACCCTGCCAATTGCTTGCTTTTCTTCTTCCAACTATAGATGATGCCAAGATGTAGGAGTTTGTACAGTGTACCTGGTGATGGCCTGAGAAGACTGAGCAGCCAGCCCTGGCTTTGGGGAAGCGTTTGCCAGCTCACTTACTTACTCCTTATGTTTGCTCTCCTTCCCTGCCTGACTTAGTCTTGCTTTACTGGGATTATGTTCACTACCACCCTCCATCAGAAAAAAAATAGCATGCATCCTTTTGCCTCTCATTTTTTATGGTAATGGAGAACTAATGATTTTTCCCTCTTAAAGGCACTTGTGCCAGCAACATCTCCAGTTTTTTTAGTAAATACTGTTGAAGGCTTTAAGCCTTCAACTATAGATTTCTAAGCCTTTTAAACCATTTGGGGCTCAGGATATTTTTTTTTCTTGCTAATAAGATTATAAGGTAACCTTATTTTCCTTTTCTCTAAATTACTGTGGGTTTCCAGACTGGCCACATCTATCACCAGCAATATCTTTTTCCAGGTATAGGACGAAAGTCTCAAAGTTAATAAAGCTTGTTCTGAAAGGCCCGTTGACTACCTATGATTTTCCAGTCCTGCCTCTACAGGTCTTAAAATGCCTTTGGCTGTGGACTACTCTCAGCATCAAGCATGGCCACCTAATTCTCCTCTGCCCACCACAATGATCCCAATCCCAACACAACTGTCATCTCTTCCTTAGTTAATCTCAGCTAAAGGTTAGAGATGGAACAAAGGGAGTGCCGGTGATAATGCATGTCCCAGCTGTTGATGGGAATGCAAGGATACAGGTAAGAGGACATTTTATTACAACTGCACTGACTATCTGTAGAATTATTGAAGGTATAATATATGAATATATCTCACTTTTCTTATATGCATTCATTTCTGGGAAGACAGCTCAAACATTTTACATCGCATCCAGATACCTTTTATTTTCACTATGTTACTGCTGAAATGTGTGGAAAAGCAATCTGATTCAATCTTTTATCTTAACAGTGTGCACGACCATTGCTTTTCCCCTATCTTGTCTTGCTCTGATAGTTGAGAGCAACTGTCTCGACTGTCTCATCCCTGGACTAAAGTAATTGTCTCTTAACTGGTTTCTCTGCCAGTCTTGCCAGTTCCTCCTCTCTGAGGCCTATGTCCCTGGCTTCAGTCCTAACTCCCCAGGAGGGGGCAGGACCCCTGCTGCTCCCCAGCATTCTTTCACTGCCCAACTAGCATGTTTTTGATGTTTCAGCTACACTCCATTACTTAATATTTTTTCAACGAGCCATGCCTTTACCTGAGCTATTCTTTATCTTTGTTTTCCTCCATTGCATTAATGCGCATTATTCCTTCAAGAGCTAGTCCACACATCTCCTCTGAAAAAGCTTCCCGGGCTGTCTCTTCCAGAGACTAGTTAGCTGTCAGGCAAGGCCCCCACCAGTGAAGTTGGTGAACCCCTCACAGAGCGGGAGCTGGTTCTTGTTTTGCAGGTCCAGAAACGTGTGTTGCCAGTGCCCTCAGTGATTATCAGTATTCTCAGGACTGACATGAACTAATCAAACACATGGAGACAAAGGTTTAAGCCCTAATATTTTATCAATTTTATTTGTGAATTATAATTAAAAGGGAGTGTGGTACTACACATATGTGACACTGACTGAGACAGGTCTGAATGCTTCCTAGTGTGTAAAGGTGGGCAGGTTACCAGACCTCTCTAAACTTCAGTGTATTTATATGTAGAATTGTGGAAATTATACTTTTTTCTTACTGAGGAGTTTGAGGAATTAATGCCATTTTTAAGATTCCAGTCATTCACTTACTTCTTCACAATTTTCAACATATTCGTATATTACCTGAATAGTATTCTTTAAATTGGCTACTTTTTAATATTAGCTTCATGCAAAGCATGATTTTTGTGAAATCATAGGGTTTGATATGCTAGCCATATACATATGTATGCATGTGAAATATATATTATCTAAATAAAGATAATTAGTTGCCAACAGTAGAATCTACTCTGGCTAATTAAAGAAGGAAGAATTTTTATTAAAGGATGTTATATAATGGCTGTAATTTCTGAAAGGTCCAGAGAATCAGGCTTGGGTGCAATAATGCCGGAGGTGTGGCAGGTGAGAAGCACACAGCCAGGAAAATTCCCTAAACTACAGAGCTTGAGTAGCAGCACCATGGTAGCCCCATCACAGCTGCCTCAGAAGGGCCTTCAACTCCTAACCCTTGTGAGAAAATCTGAACTCCCACTCTTGGCTGTCAGATTACATTGTTCATTTTCACTTTGAAATTTTGTGAAGACATGCCTGTTTGAAAAAACTTAGGTCACATGCTTGTACCATAGATGCAGGAGATTCCAGGGAGTCCTGTTTGCATTTCCAACTTCTATAGTAAAGGAAGGCAACTACAAGGGGACTGAAATAACAGTTGAGTTGATATACAATATCATCTGCCACATACATTAAAATCAAATAAAAGTTCATTGATATATCACCTAAAATCTTCATATGTACAGAATATATGTATCACATTTTAGGAAAAAAGTGAATGAATGTATACATGGTACTGGATATGGAAAGCTCTCTCAATAGGGGGTGATATTTACATTATTGCAATTCTCTTTTTTCATTACAGTATCTTTTATGGGCAGTACACAAGGGATACCACTAAGTTCTTCTCATATTCACACTGATAAGGGACCATGTGCTATGGTTTGAATGTGTCCCCCAAAGTTCACATGTTGCAAACTTAATTGCCAATGCAACAGTGTTGGGAGGTGGGGCCTCATAAAAGATGATTAGGTCATGTAGGTGCTGCTTTAATGCTTGGACTGATGTTATTGTTGTGGGAGTGGATTAGTTATTGTGAGCATGGGTTGGTTATAAAAGCAAGGTCAAGGCTGGGCGTGGTGCCTCATGCCTGAAATCCCAGCACTTTGGGAGGCCAAGGTGGGTGGATCACCTGAGGTCGGGAGTTCAAGACCAGCCTGACCAACATGGAGAAACCACGTCTATACTAAAAATATAAAATTAGCTGGGCATGGTGGCGCATGCCTGTAGTCCCAGCTATTTGGGAGGCTGAGGCAGAAGAATTGCTGGAACCCAGGAGGCAGAGGTTGCGGTGAGCCAAGATCACGCCATTGCACTCCAGCCTGGGCAACAAGAGTAAAACTCCATCTAAAAAAAAAAAAAAGTAATGTCGATCCCTTCTTGCTTGTTCACCCTCACCCTCTTTTGCCCTTCCACCTTGATGATGAAGTGCAAAGACCCCTGCCAGACCCTGGGAAGTCCAAGAGCATAGTAATCCATAGTCACTATGCATTAGCTATGCATAAAATGGCAGGTAAGAGATAAAAATAGACGTTATTAGCATATAATTAATTTAACATGTTTGTAGTACTTTTAAGCAAAGTAAAAGTATTACTTTTAATGCTCTTGAACTTCCCAGCTTCCAGAACTGTGAGCCAAATAAATTTCTGTCCATTATAAATTACCTAGTCTGTAGTATTCTGTTATAGCAACACAGAACAGACTAAGACAGCACGTGAGGTAGAATGCACAGTGATAAAGCACAGGGACTTTGCAACTAAACCGCTTGGGTTCCAATCCTGGATCTACCACTAACTGGCCTTTTGGACTTGGGAATTTCTGTGGATTTCTCTGTGCCTCAGTTTATTCATTTGTAACATGGAGGTAACAGTATCTACTTTATAAGGTAGCTATGAATATTAACAAGTGAATATTTTAAAGTTTTTAAAAGTAACACTTTTCTTTTGCTTAAAAGTACTATAAACATGTTAAATTAATTATATGCTAATAACATCTATTTTTATCTCTTACCTGCCATTTTATGCATAGGTAATACATAGTGACTGTGGATTACTCTAAGTGATTTTTCTCTGGTCATTCATGAACAGGAGACAACTTTTGTTGTAGTTTATATGGATTGGCTCTGATATGCCGTATTTGTTATGTGAAATCAAAGATTGTTGTAATAACTTCTCTTCTCCCTTAGTCAGTGTTATCATCTTTGTGTTCTTCTGTTTTGTGTCCTGGGTGACATTGGTCTCACTGGAATATTCCCATCAGATGTGCCCTAGAGATTTAGACTGAGGAGTATAGCATTCCCTCTGATGCCGACCCACAGATAATCCTGTGGGATGTCTTTAAATAGCTTGATTGCATTGTTCATAATTCATTTTTAAAATTTCTTTACTTTTGAGTAACTTCTTACATGGCTGGCCTATTGATGTATTCACTCTTTTCCTCTAAATCTGTATTCTAGACTTTATCCCAATGTTCAATTAGCATGGACTTTATTGATGGCTCCTTGTTCATATTTTTGCTATTATAGCTTATTGTTGTAATAATCTTTTTAGAACCTGGTTCAGTGTGAATTCAAAAGAGTCATATCATTTACAGTTCTTCAGGCCTGAATGATGCCTAAATCTATGGCTTCTGCCTATGCTTACCTCCTCCTCTCCTCATCCCCACAGTCTCTTCTCTAGAAAATAAATACACATGTCAGCTTAACATCACATTTAAGACCATTCACTACTTACATTTGTCCTTGAGACTTTGAGAGCTGGTCCTAAGCTCAGTTCATTGTTGTGTTCCCATTGCCTAGTATAGTGCCTGATCCACAGCAGATGTTCAATAATTTTTGAAGTAAATTGAATGCTACTTACAAATAAAGCAATTTCAGGACAGAAGAGAACAATATTGAATATCTACCTCAAGTAATGGAGAATAAACTACGCTTAAAACTTGCTTTAGTAAACAACTAAAAAATAGACAAAATATGGTTCCCTCAGTTTTGTACACAGTGACATAGGGTTTCATTTAATATGTCTGGGTGCTAGGTATTGTTTTTCCCTTCAAGTTTCTCAAGATGGAACAGCTCTAATATCTACAACTTTCAGATTTTTTTCCTGGCATGTTGACTTACTGCCCTGGTTTTATTCTCTCTTCTTATTATGAAAACACTATTTTTGTTTTCTGTGAGGATCTAAGAAAGGCACTTTAAACTGATTATTCAGACTAGGTAAAATTCTCTTGCTCTGGGCATCTATGTTGATGGGATCTATCTTGAGAGTAGGTATGCTCTACCAAAGTATCTCTCTTGTTACCCATCACCATCGGTAGAACTAATTTCTTATGAATTTTAAAGGCCATGTTTGCGTGTGTGTGTGTGTGTGTGTGTGTGTGTGTGTGTGTGCGCGCGCGCGCCAGAGAGAAAGAGGGAAGATCTTTAAGGTAGCTTGTTAAAATGAATTCTTCCACAAGGAGACAAATACCATGAGTTGTTATTAAACAACAACAAAATCCCCCTCACTTATGCAGGCAAAGTAGAGGAAAACACCAAGAAGAATGCTCGAAAGAACAGATTAATCACTGCCAATAGTGGACCTTGCTCATTTCAGATTTATTCAGGACCAGCTTTTGTGGATTTTTAAAGAAAAGCACTAGGGGCAATGAGACTGACCTGTGTTCAGCCCCTCCACTCTGCTCCAACCCTGTGTGGTGAAGCAAGCTTCCTTTGAAGTGTTATCTAAGTGAGAGGCTGGTTCTGGGTAAGAGGAAATTGACTTAGAATTTTTTCCAACTGCCCAGAGAGATTAATATCCTTAGAAAGAGCTTGAAGACATTGTCAGAATTAAAAATAACTTAGTGACAATTTAACAATAGAAAGAAGAAAGTCAGTCCCTTTAAACCTTCTTCAGAGGAGTCAGGCTCTATGAAAATTAAAAGTGATCCAAGGGAAGTTGTTTAAAAGTGCACAATTCACTTTAGTTTTGAAAGTGAGTTGAAGTTCTGGAACTGCATTTCTTGTAAAAGTTATGGGTGTACATCCTGCTGAGCCACCAGACACAAGAAGGCAGGTTCATTCCCTTCTTCCCTTCTTCCTTCCCATCCCTGTGATATCCATACCCCTTAGCACTATGCCCAGGAGCCAGTTAATTTGTAAGAAATGTGTATTATGTGAATGATTGGTGAATGAATCTGGCATAAAGCTCAGTTTAATTGCCAAACACAGATTGGAGACTGGAAGAAATGGTGTTTCAGAGATATAAACATTTTAGCTGGCTGTGATTACTCATGAATTTCTTTAAGGTGTCATTGAGTGACTTGGCTGAAGGCAGGAGGAACAGCACAGAAGGTTGGGTTTTGGCAGGGCAAGAATAATACAAAAGATGCAGAAGCAAATCATCTGAGGAATTCCCTAAATTAGCATTTCTATGTATAATTTTGGAAGGAATCCGAAAGGTTAAATGAGGCTGATAATTTGCTAAAAAATTTCCAATTTCTCTTTGATCTGAAGACTCACAAATTTCATTTCTCATTGAAATTTTACTGTAAAATATGCTGCTGTGTAAAATGCAGGACTAAATTCACCTTATTTACTTGGCAATTGAACCTGGAAATAAAAATGTCATATTGGCAAGCAAAAATATGTATTTCTCTATATAGTACATTGTAAAGTTGGCCACAAATCCTTCCCACCCTTCCATTTGTATACTCACAACTGGCCATTATAAATCCTATTATCAAGAGGTAGGGCCCATGTCCTTATTCCTTGAATCTGGTTTGACCAGGTGACTTGCTTTTTAGCTAAGGGGGCATTAACAAATATGTCTCAAACAGTCTGGAAAAGTGCTTGCACGCTGGGGCTTGTCTTTTGCTATGCTGCAGACCCATGCTGCTACTTCTATGTTGAGAAGCCTGGACCAGCCTATTGGATGATGAAAGAATACCTGGCCCACCCAGCAGCCAGAAGCAGAGCCACTTAGCTCATCACAGATGTGTGATTGAGCCCTTGTGAGACCAACAAAGAAACACCTAGTTGTTCCCAGGCTAAATTGTGAGCCAAATAGTTGTTTTAAGTGTGTGTTCACTAGATTTAGAATAGTTTGTTACGCACCACTACTAATAGTTTGTTAGGCAGCAATAACTAATATGCCCTGATACTGCTGTGCAGGAATTCCGCTCTTCTTTAAATTCCTCCTCAATATTTCTTGAAGTCCCAGTTGGATATTGTGGATACTCTCTGAGGTGTAATACTCTTGGCCTCCACGCCTCACCTACCCTCCTCCTCTTTGGCTCAGAATTCCTGTGCTAATGGCATCTTTGGTAGTTGATGCCCAAAGGGGCAGGTGTGCTGCTGCTGGTACTAGAGATGACAGCCTTCTTGGTATCTACCAGAGATCCCCACACTGTGATGTATAATCCAACTCATTTTGGGATCTCTGCTATGCCCTAAGGATGGAATGAGAGAGATGTGTGTGGAGTGAGTAGAAAGAGGAATAATAACAAAAAGAGAATAGATGTGATTTGAGAGCCAGAGGGGCCTTAAACATCATGTATTTCAACTCTTCATTTTATAAAAGGATCCTTACACAAAAAACTTATGTCACTGGCCAAATCCCATGACATGAGTGTCAGATCTGGGATCAGAACAGAATCTCCTCACTCCAAATATAGCTCTTATTTCCATTTCATTTAAATCAGTTTTGTTTTTCCTAAGTCACATAAGATTTTCCAAAAGAAGAAGGTAGGTTTTCAAAGAACTTTTTTATTTTTTATTTTTCTATTTTTTGAGAGATGGAGGCTCGCTGTGTCACCCAGGCTGGAGTGCAGTGGTGCGATCTCGGCTTACTGCAACCTCAGCCTCCCAGGTTCAAGCGATTCTCCTGCCTCAGCCTCCTAAGTAGCTGGGAGTGCAGGCACGTGCCAACATGCCCGGCTAATTTTTTGTATTTTTAGTAGAGACGGGGTTTCACCGTGTTAGCCAGGATGGTCTTGAACTCCCAACCTCAGGTGATCCACCCACCTCGGCCTCCCAAAGTGATGGGATTACAGGCATGAGCCACCGCGCCCGGCCAAGAACTTTTTAATAGTGATAAATGAAAAGCCTAAGGTATGTTGAATTACCCTTAGAAAATAATTTGAATGTAATGGTAAAAAGGTGCCCATTTTCCCTTTTACATTTGTATCCCTCTATTTCAATGGCTGTTTCATTTGAGAAGTGCTGTGGAGATGGAGTTATCACTTGGCAGGCTCTGCAACGTTTGGAGACCTAAGCATTCTCTTCTCCCAGGCAACAGAGTTGTAAGCAGTTGGAATGGGACTTTCAGTGGAAACTTACACCAGTATCAGTGGGGGTCTGCATTAGCTCACATACTGCATAGGGAGCACACTAGGGGGAACCCCAAAACCACTCCAGCGTTACGAAGACCACATGTGGAAGTGTGGGTCAGTGGGGTACAGAGATGCCTAGGGTCTCTGGATCCTGTATTGTGAGGCCCTCTAGTAGGGGCATAGTGTAGGGGCAGTGGGGTATACAGGATATGGGACACCTGACAACACTGGGTGCTCACATACTAGTTTCAAAAGGTAAAGGACACTGCCCTGGGTCTTGAGGGGCTGCAGCTCTTCTCTCTTCTGCACATTCTAATCAGGTGGTAGATGGCCCTTTTGAAGCATTCCCTTCCTCCTTTCACACTTCAGTATGATATTATAATTGTCACTAGCATCATTTGGGGAATTGTGGACAAGTAGGGAACTGGAACTGCCTGAGGGAGGAGTACAGAACTGTGCTTTGCAGAAGGCCCCAAGAGCATTAGAGCAGTTACACTGAGGCACAGATAAAGCAGGTGTTTGAAAATTGGAGAACATTTCTCTGTCCCGTCTAGGGGAAAGCCTCATTGTGGCAGAGGATCAGAGAAGGGGGGTGGTGAAGACTTGCTCTTCTCCTTCTCACCTGCCCTCTTTGTGCAATTGAAAACAGACCAGGAGAGACTTTATTTAGTTAGACAAATGTATTTGTCTTAGGTGTATTTTTGAAATATTCCCAAGCTTTTCTTTCTGGGCATAGTCTTTGATTATGTTATTGGTTTAATAATGCTGTAAAAATATTACTTGAGGAAAACGATCAGTACAGTTATGTTGCAGATCTGAGGAGACTATCCATTGTGCAAATGTAGTGCAGAAAAATCAGGGAGGTCTAGTCATAACATTTCAATTTCAAGCTTCTGATGGGTATTAAAATGATTAAAATGGATTTAAAAATAATGAAAAGTACCTCGAGGGTGTCGTTTTAATTTAGGAAATCCAAATTGAGACTTGCATCAGTGATTTAAGGCAAATTAGAATACAGAACACATATGACCAACAAAGCAATGACCTTGATGGAAAATTGAGAATGAGAGGCTGTCTCATTCTTGTCCTGCTGACACATAAACTAGGGAGCTTTGTTTCTTGGCTTGATTTCCTGTTTACATCACTAATTCAGGGATTTGGTGTTTATTCAGCGCCTGTCTTGTGTCATCATCGAGTATGGCACCAGGAATATCAGAAGGGAAGGTACCATCCAGGATCCTTCCCTCACGCTCTGAGCCCTGATGAAGACAGATGATCAGCAGGGCACCAGAAGTGGAACCTTCTCTGAAACTGGAGCAGAAGGATAAATCAGTTCCTATGGGGGTGGGATTTCATAGAAGAGAAAGTAGTTTGAGTTGTTACAGCTGCTAAAAGGTGGAGATGGCTGTATGTCTCATAGGGGACAGCCTGAAGAATAAGGCTTAGAGGAATATTTGGAGACTGGTTTTGTTTCTGTTATGGATAAGATGTAGGTAGGTAGAAGGAGGCAGAAAATGAGGCAAGAAAATATAGAATTAGATCATACTGCCAGAGGTTTAGTATTCCAAATCAGGAATCTAAACTTGATACATCATATTCAATTACCTCTGCCTGCAGAGCACCTGCTGATATCATGTGCAGATGGGGTATTTACAACAATTATTAGCAAGAAAGAATGTGTCATCATTTTTTTTGTATGTGTCTATCAACCATATTCAGTTGGAAATTGAGTTGGAAGTTCCCTTTGTGGTGCAGGAGATTTGGGTTAGGACTTGCTTTTAATGACCCAAGTATATTGATTCTTTCCACTACCCTGAGCCTCAAATATACCCTAATTCCTAACAATCTTTGTAAAAACCTATACAGAGGCATTGACTCACAAATTTCCTGGGTAAAATCAAGGAAATTTTCTATTAAAAATAAAGTTAAGTTTGTTTCTGCTTCATCAATCCAGAGAAAGAGACTTTTAATGATTTTTGCAATTCAGACAATCTAGCAGAATTTTGAATGTATTCTAATAAAAACTTTGAATCCAAAGTTAGTCATTCAAAAACATAAGCAGGCAAGCAACAAATATAATATAGCATTATACGTCATGAAAAAAATAGACATCAGTTATTCTACTAGTGAGATATAAAATATAATCAGGATCAAGTTAAACTCTTTCTTAATTAAGCAACATAGCAGAGTAGAAATAGCATGAGCTTAAGGGTAGGGCAGACCTAGGCTCAAATGCTAGCTCTTCTCCTTTCTAGCTCTATGAGCCTTAGCTGTCTATTCACTCTCTAAGTCTCAATTACTCTAGGATAGATATAATAATGCCTAGTGTATAGGGTCATTCAGGAAGTGTTATTGTTCTTTTTTAATACAGTAGAACGTAGAACAATACTGCATGAAGACAAATGTCAGATTTGATTCTGCTTGCCTTGGTGTCTGGCACATAGTAGGCACTTAGTAAGTGTTTAGGAAGTGGAGGGAGTCTTAAAGATCATCTACTGTAGCAGTTCCCAAATGTTTCTTGCTGCAGCCATCAGCTTTAAGAGGAAAATCAATAAACAGTAGATACTTAATATGTGTGTGTGTGTGTGTGTGTGAGAGAGAGAGAGAGAGAGAGAGACAGAGAGACAGAGAAGGTGGGGATGGGGGAAAGAATAATAGGAACTTCATATGTAACTTAGATTGTCCTAGTCCACTCTGTCTCCTGTATGATTTTTTTATTCACTTTCAGCTGGCTTCCCTCTTACTCTCCTGAGTTTCATTACTTTGAATTTACCTATATGGAAGGACCTCTGGTGGATTCACATACACTTGCTATTGCTTGGAGATGATGTTAGTCCCTTGGAGCTTCTTTCCTGAAGTCTTGGGCAGAAAATGACTGGTGTCTCCTCCACACTCTTCTTCACAGTGCCAGACTCTAAGCATGAATATTCTACCGAATGGTTGTGGATGAGACATTTGAAAACTAGAATGAGAAAGCAACTTGCTCAAGGTCATGCATTTAATTAGCAGTAGAACTTATTGCACATTCCTGTTCTGATTTTGCTATCCAGGGAATCCTAGCTTTACAAAATGAGTTGGGAATTTTTTCTCTCTCATCCATGTTCTGAAAGAATTTGTTTGAGATCTGCTATGTATGTTTGTTAGAGTTTACCAGTGAAGCCTTCCGGGCCTGGAGATGTCTGCGTGGAAAGGTTTTTATTTATACATTTAATTTATTTGGTAGATATAGGGCTATTCATGTTATCTGTTTCTTTCCTGTAAGTTTTGAATTTTTCAAGGAATTTGCTCATTTTTTCTATTTTGACAAACTCGTTGATATATAATTATTTGTAATCTGATCATCTCAATTGATTTAGAAAAAGCATTTAATAACATTCAAAACCATTCCATGATAAAAACACTAAACATAGTAAGAATAGTAGGAACTATCTCAACATAATAAAAACCATATCAGAAAAACCAATAGTGAACATGATACTCAATAATGAAAGACTAAAAGCTTTTCCCTTATGATCAGGAACAAGGCAAGGAACTTGTTTTGCCACTTCTATTCAACATAGTATTTAAAGTTCTAGGTGGAGCCATTAGGCAATAAGAAGAAATAAAAGACATCCAAATAGGAAAAGAAGAAGTAAAATTATCTCTGTTCAGAGATGGTATGATCTTATACTTAGAAAACCCTAAAGATTCCGCACAAAACACTGTTAGAACTAAAAGGTGAATTCAGCAAAGTAGCAGGATACAAATTTATATACAAAAACCAGTTGAATTTCTGTATACTAATAATGAATAACCTGAAATGTACAATAGCATCAAAAAGTATAAAAAAACTTAGGAATTAAGAAGTAAGGTGAAAGACCTATACAATGAAAGTTACAAATTATGGTTGAAGAAATTAGACATAAGTAAATAGAAACATCTTATGCTCATGGATTAGAAGATAATATTAAGATGTCAGGTCTACCCCCCAAAATCTACAGATTCAATGCACTCCCTATTAAAATCCCAATGATGTGTTTTGCAGAAACAGAAAAACCCATCCTAAAATTTATATGGAATCTCAAGGCATCCCTAATAGCCAGAACAAAATTGAAAAGGAAAAAAATGGGAAGACTCATATTTTCTCATTTCAAGACTTATTACAAAGCTGTAGTAATCAAAACAGTGTAGTACTGGCATACAGACATACAGACCAATGGAATAGAATAGAGCCCAGAAATAAACCCTCCTAAATATGTTCAAATGATTTTTGACAAGACTGCTGGGACAATTCAATGGAGAAAGTGCTTTCAGCAAAAGATGCCGGAAAAGTTGTATATCCATATGCAAAAGAATGACGGTGGACCTGTATCTAACACCATATACAAAAATTAACTCAAAATGAATCAAAGACCTAAATGTAAGACCTAAAACTCTTAGAAGAAAACATTGCAAAAGCTTCACAACACTAGAATTGGCAGTGACTGCTTAGGTATGACACAAAAGGCACGGGCAACAAAAGAAAAAGTAAACAAATCAGATTTCATGAACATTTTAAGTTTGTGCTTCATAAGACAGCATCAATGGAGTAAAAGGACAACCCATAAAGTGGGAACAATTATTTGCCAATCTATTTCTAATAAAGGATTGATATCTAGACTATGTAGGGAACTCTTAAAATTCAACAAAAGCAAACTAATTTTAAAATGGGCAAAGGATTGAATAGACATTTCTCCAAAGAAGATATAAAAATGTCCAATATATATTCCAAAGAAGATATAAAAATGTCCAATATATATTCCAAAGAAGATATAAAAATGTCCAGTAAGCACGTGAAAAGATGCTCAAGGCGGGATACCTATAATCCCAGTACTTTGGGAGGCCAAGGCGGGAGGATCACTTCAGCCCAAGAGTTTGATACCAATCCTAGCATCATAGCAAGACTTAGGCCGGGCATGGTGGCATGTACCTGTAGTCCTAGCTACTCAGAGGCTGAAATTGGAGGATTACTTGAGCCCAGGAGGTCAAGGCCACAGTGAGCTTTGATTGTGCCACTACACTCCAGCCTGGGTGATAGAGTGAGACCGTATCTTTAAAAAAAAAAAAAAGAAAAAGATGCTGAACATTACTAGTCACTAGGGAAATGTGAATCAAAGATACAAGGGTATATTACCTGAAACCCATTAGGATGGCTACAATAAAACAAAACAAGTGTTGACATAGATGTTGAGAAATAGGAACTCTTCTGCAGTGTTGGTGGTGATGTAAATTGGTATACCTACTGTGGAAAATAGTATGGAAGTTCCTAAAATAATTAAAAACAGAATTACCACATGACCCAGCAATTCTACTTCTGGATATACGTCCAAAAGAAAGCAAGGTCTTGAAAAGTATGTTTATAACAGCATTATTCACAATAGCTAAAATGAGGAAGCAACCTAAGTAACCATCAGCAGATGAATGGGTAAACAAAATGTGTTATGTGCACACAATGGACTTAAAAAGGAATGAAATTCTGATATATGCTATAGCATGGATGAACCTTGAAGACATTATGCTAAGTGAAATAAGACAATCACAAAGTTGAATCCTATATGATTTCACTTATACAAGACACTTAAGATCGTCAAAATCATAGCCACAGAAAGTAGAATGGTGGTTGCCAGGAACTGGTGGAGAGAGAAATGAGGAATTATTTTTTAACAGGTATAAAGTTTGTTTTACACCATGAAGAGAAGTTATAGAGATGGATAGTGGTGATGGTTGCACAATATTATATCCATATTTATAGCATTGAACTTTATACTTAGGAATGGTTAAGATGGCAAATTTTGTCATATGTATTTTACCACAATATAAATCTAAAAAAATATTTGTAATATAGCCTTTATTGTCCATTTGATTCTGTAGGATCTGTATATAGTAATATATTGTAATATCTTCCTTTTTGTTCTTAGTCTATCTAGAGGTTTATTCTTTGAAAATTTTGATTTCATTACTTTTTCACCATTTTTTATTTTGTTGATTTTTGTATCTTTATTATACCTCCTTTCTACTTAATTCATGTTTCATTTGCCCTTCTAGCTTTTTAAGATAGAAGCTTAGATAATTGATTTTAGATACATGTTTTTTTCTTTCTTGAATAAGGGTTCAAAGCTGTAAATTTCCCCTCTAAATATGCGTTAGTTGAATCTCAAAAGTTTTGAAATTTTATGTTTTTATTTTCATATAATTCAGAATATTTTCTAATTTTCCTTATCATTTCCTTGTTAACCTGATTTTGGAAGTGGGTTTTTTAAAATTAAGACTATTTTGGAAAAATTTTAGGTTTACAGGAAATTCAGCAGATAATATGGAGTTCCCATGTACCTCGTCTCTCTCTTATTTATGGATTTCTCTGTTATTAACATCTTGCATGAAGTGGTTTGTTACAATTTATGAACCAGTATTGATACATATTGTTAACTAAAATACCTATTTTAAATTAGGGTGCACTCTGTGTTGTACAGTTCTATGGGTTTTGACAAAAGCATAATGTCATTAATCCACCCTTACGTTATTACAAATGATAGTTTCACTGCCCTAAAAATCCTCTGTGCTGAACCTAGTCATCCCTCTCTTCCCACTCCAAACCTCTGGAAACCACTTATCTTTTTACCATCTCTGTAGTACTGCTGTTTTTGAATGTTGGAATCGTAGTATGTGGCCTTTTCAGTCTGGGTTCTTTCACTTAGCAATATGCATTTAAAATTCCTCCATGTCTTTTCATGGCTCCATAGCTCACTTATTTTTATTGTTGTGTGAAATTCATTGTATGGATGTACCACAGTCTGCTTCTCTAGTCACTTTTTGAAGGATATCTTAGTTGCTTCGTCTTTTTGGCAAATATGAATAAAGCTGCTATTAACATTCATGTGAAGATTTTTGTTCAGACATATGCTTTCAAGTCATTTGGGTAGACATGTAGAAGCATGATTACTGTATGGTATAGCATGACTATGTTTAGCTTTGGAAAAAAACTGCCAAACTGTCTTCCAAGGTGGCTGTAACATCTTGTATTTACACCAACAATGAAGTTCTCATTGCTACACAGTCCCGCCAAAGTTTGATATTGTCCATTTTCAATTTTAGTGATTTTGATACATACGTTATGGTATTTCACTGTTGCTTTAATATGCAATTTCTTAATGCCATGTTGAGCTTTCTTTCAAGTGCTTATTTGCCATCTGTATAACTTCTTTGGTGAGGTATCTGTTCAGATCTTTTTCTTATTTTTAAATTGGGTTGCTTGTTTTCTTACCATTGAGTTTTAAGAGTTCTTTGTATATTTTCGATACAGGTACTTTGTCAGATATATTTGTAAATATTTTTCCCAATGTCACCTGTCTTTTAGTACTCTTAACAATGTCATTCACAGAGCAGATAATTTTAATTTTAATGAAGTGCTACTTATCAAATTTTTTGATCATGGATCATACTTTTGGTGTTTATCTAAAAAGTCATCACAGAACACAAGGCCACCTAGATTTTCTTCTATGTTTTCTTTGAGAAATTTTACGGTTTTTGGTTTTACAACTAGGTCTATGATTCAATTTTGAGTTAATTTTTATGAAAGGTACAAAACCTGTGTCTAGATTTGCTTTTTTGCATGTCCATTTGTTCTAGCACCATTTTTTAAAAGATTGTCTTCTCCTTTGAATTGCCTTTACTCCTTTGTCAGCAATCAATTGACTCTACTTGTGTGAACCTATTTCTGAACTTTATATTCTCTTCCATTGAGATATATATATATATTTTCTGTTCCATTGATTATATATAGAGACATATATATATATATATGTGTGTGTCTATTCTTTAGCTAGTACCGTGCTGTCTTGATTACTGTAGCTTTAGAGTAAGTTTTGAAGTCAGATAGTGTGTGTTCTTACACTTTCTTCTTCGTTTTAGCTAGTATTGTGCTAGCTTTTCTGGGTCTTTTCCCTTTCCATATAAACTTTAGCATCAGTTTATTGATTTCTACAAAGCAGCTTACTGGGATTTTGATTTTAATTGTATTGAATCTATGGGGCAAGTTGGGAATAACTGACATCTTAATAATAATGAGTCTCTCAATTAATTTATATCTTTAATTGCTCTCACTAGTTTCTGTAGTTTTCTCCATATAGATCCTTTACATATTTTGTTAGATTGATAGTTAAGTATTTCATTTTTTGGTGTTATTGCAAATGATATTGTGTTTTTAACTTTAGTTTCCAATTGCTCATTGATGGTATATCAGGAAAAAATTCACTTTTGTATATAACCTTATATCTACAACCTTAGTATAATTTCAGATTTTAAAAATTGATTTCCAAATAAATTCTGTTGTATAAAAAACACACTGTTTAATTTTAACTTTTTAAAATTTATTGAGACATGTTGATGATCAGCATAAAATCTAAGTTGGTAAATGTTTCGAGTGCACTTGAAAATAATTTTGAGTTATTATTTTGTAAATATCAATTAAGTCAATTGGGTAATTTTGGTTTTTTAAAAGTCTCCTTTATATTTACTAACTTTTGTCTTTGATTCCATCAGTTACTAAAAAAGAATTGTTGAAACCTCTAGTAATAGTTATTATGTTATCCGTTCCTTTTTTAAGTTCTGTTCATTTTGCTTTATATATTTTGAAGCACTGTCATTTGGTACATACACACTGAGGATTCTTATGAATTTTTGATGAATGGACTCTTTTTTCAGCATAAAATATCAGTCTTTATCCCTGCTAATATGGTTAGTCCTAAAGTCTATTTTGTCTGATATTAGTATAGCAACTACAGCTTTTCTTTGATTAAAATTTGCATTGCATATTCTTTCTTCCTTTTCTTTCTTTGTCTTGTTTGCCATCTCTCCCTTCCTTCCTGTTTATTTTTTAACCTTTTGCTATGTTTACATTTAACAGGCATTTCTTATAGACAGTATATAGCTGTGTGTTTGCTCATTCTAAAAATCTTTACCTTTTAACTGGGATGATTAGTCCAATCTGTTTATTTATTTACTCATTTATTCTGTTTTTCAGGTTTTATTTTAGATTTGGGGGTATATGTGCAGGTTTGTTACCTAGGTTTACTGTGTGATGCTGGGGTTTGGGGTATGAATGATCCTGTCACCCAGGGACTGAGCATAGTACCCAATAGTTATTTTTAAGTCCCTGTCTCACACGTTTCCTTGCCCATCTAGTAGTCCTCAGTGTCTGTTGTTGCCATTTTTATGTCCATGAGTATCCAATGTTTAGCTCCCACTTGTAAGTAAGAACATGTGGTATTTGGTTTTCTATTCCTGCATTAATTTGCTTAGGATAATGGCCTCTAGCTGCATCTATGTCACTGCAAAGGACGTAATCTAATTCTTTTTTATGGCAGGTAGTATCCCACGATGTGTAAGAACCACATTTTCTTTATCTTATCCACCACTGATGGGCCCCTAGGTTGATTCCATGTCTTTGCTATTGTGAATAGTATTCTGATGAACACACAAGTGAATGTGTCTTTTTGATAGAATGATTTGTTTTCTTTTGGATATATACCCAGTAATGGGATTGCTGGGACAAATGGTAGTTCAGTTTTAAGTTCTTTGAGAAATCTCCATACTGCTTTCCACAGTGGCTGAACTAATTTACATTCCCACAAACAGTGTATAAGTGTTCCCTTTTCTGTGCAGCCTCACCAGTATCTTTTGTTTTTTGACTTTTTAGTAGTAGCCATTTCTGATTGGTGTGAGATGGTATCTCATCGTGGTTCTGTTTTGCATTTCTCGGATGCTTAGGGATGAGGAGCGTTTTTTCATTTTTGTTGCCAACTTGTATGTTTCTTTGAGAAGTGCCTGTCCCTTTGCCCATTTTTAAATGGATTTATTTGTTTGTTCCTTATTGAGTTGTTTAAGTTCCTTGTAGATTCTGGATATTAGACCTTTGTTGGATGCATAGCTCATGACTATTTTCTCTCCCATTCTGTAGTTTTGTGTTTACTCTGTTGATAGTTTCTTTTGTGGTGCAGAAGCTTTTTAATTTAATTAGATCCCACTTGTCAATTTTTGTTTTTGTTGCAGTTGCTTTTGATGACTTAATTATGAATTCTTTCCCAAGGCTCATGTTCAGAATGGTGTTTACTAGGTTTTCTTCTAGGATTCTTATAGTTTGATGTCTTACATTTAAGTCTTTAATCCATCATGAGTTAATTTTTGTATATGGTAAAAGGTAGGGGTCCAGTTTTATTCTTCTGCATGTGGCTAGCCAGCTATATCGGCACCATTTATTGAATTAGGTAGTCCTTTCCCCCCTCTTATTTTTGTCACCTTTGTCAAAGATCAGATGGCTGTAGGTGTCATAGTTCATTCTTATTTATGTAATCTTTGATATGGTTGTGTTTATATCTACCACTTTACTTTCTAAAATCCATCTTATTTATTTTCTTTTCCTCTTTTTCTTTTTTTCTTGACTTCATTTGGATTAATTGAGTAAATTTAGTATTCCATTGTGTCTTCTCTCTTGGCTTATCAACTGCTTTGTTTTATTTTTTAGTGTTTGTTATAGAGATTTTAATATTATCTTTAACTTCTCACTGTCTACCTTTAAATAATTTTATATTACTTTTCATGTAAGAACCATACAAGAATATATTTCATTTTCCTCTCTAATTCCTTATGCTATTCTCAACTGTATATTTTATTTCTATGTGGGTTATAAATCTCATGTTTCTTAACATTGTTATTATTTTTTATAGTTTGCAGATTCTATCTGATATTTTTCTTTAGTAAGATCTTCCTTTAAACCATCTTTAGTGCGAATCTGCTGGCAGTGGGTTCTCTCAGCTTTTATTTTTTTCAGGAAAAGAATCATATTTCACCTTCATTTTTGAAGGATATTTTCACTGGATATAAAATATAGATTTATAGTTTTTCTCTTTCAGAATTTTACAAACAGACATTTATTGTTTTATGGCTGGCATTGCTTCTGAAATGATGTAGGGCTGTGATTCTTATCTTTGGTCTCCTAAAAGTAATATGTCTTGTTTCTCTGGGTGATATTAAGTTTTTTTCATCATTTATTCTCAAAAATCTCATTAAGATTATGATGTGCTTTGATAGTATTTTTGTGTGTGTTTATCCTGCTGTTTTTTTTTTGAGCTCATTTTTCTGCCCTAACTTTTCAGTTCTGTTCTTCTGGGACTCCAGTTACAGCTGTGTTAGAAATCACTGAAGCTCTGTCCATTTTTTTTCCTGCTTTTTTGTTCCTTTGAAAACACTTGATTAGTATCTATTGTTTTTCTTCCAGTATTCTTATAATTTCTTCTTCAATATCTAATCTGTTAAGCTCATCGAGTGTATTTTTATTTTTGTTTTTTGTTGTTATTTGTTTTGTTTTGTTTTTGAGATGGAGTCTCGCTCTGTCGCCCAGGCTGGAGTGCAGTGGTATAGTCTCAGCTCACTGCAACCTCTGCCTCCTGGGTTAAGAGGATTCTCTTGCCTCAGCCTCCCAAGTAGCTGAGATTCTAGGCGTCTGCCACCATTATCAGCTAATTTTTTGTATTTTTAGTAGAGGCAGGGTTTTACCATGTTGGTCAGACTGGTCTCGAACTCCTGACCTCAAGTGATCCACCCACTTTGTCCTCCAAAAGCGCTGAGATTACAGGCGTGAGCCACTGCGCCCAGCCACATTTTTTATTTTAAATATTGTAATATCAGTTTTAAAAAATTATTCTCACCATACTGAGTTTTTTAAATGTAATTCCTTAAACATATTTATAATAGATGCTTTAAAGTTTTTGTCTGTTAATTCTATCACCTGTCGTTTTGGAGCCTGTTTTTATTGACTGAAATTTCTGTCAGTTATCAGTGTAGTTTTCAGCTTCTTTTTATATCTTGTAACTTTTTATTGAATGCTAGATACTATAAATGGTGTGCTACCAAGTGTTTGGATTTTGTTGTCTTCCTTTAAAAATAGTTGAATTTTGTTCTGGCAATTAACTGCTCATGAATGAGCTTGATACTTTTGAGACTTAAGCTTTGTTTGGGTAGATCTAGAATAGCCATTATCACAGGGCTAGTTTACCTGTGAGATTCCAGTCCCGGCTTAGTCCTATTCCTAAGATAAATGTTCCAGATGTTGAGTGTGACGTCTTCAATCTGGCTCACCAGCACTGGAATGTCTCCCAACGCAGTGGGAGCGCCAGTTGTTCAGTGTACAAAAGCCTGGGTATTTTTAAATTCATAATTGTTCTTTGGCAGGCCTTGTGGAATCTCATCCTACTCATGTGTAGTTGGGTAGTCAGGCAAAAATTCAGGAGGAATCTTAAGCAAATTTATAGAATGCTTTTCTTGTAAATTCCAAATTGCCAATTCCAGCTGCCTGTGCCCCCATGAACTTAAATCTCTGTTTTCTTGGTTTAGAGAAATTGCTGTTTTCCTTTTGTATTTCTTCTCCATAGAATGGGGTCTGAAAATTGCTTTAGACCAAAAGCTGAGGCAACAATAATTTCAATTTTTATTTTAATCTGTAGCTTTTGTTTATAATGGCACATAATGTGGGTTAAACCATTCCTGATAAGAGAGAAGTAGAAGAATTTAAGACTGAGAAAAACTTCCAGAATTTTCTGATCTCCCTTTTATATACTTCAAGTACAAATCGAGGATCTGAGTATTTTACTTTGCTTAAAGTATTTCTTAATACTTTTATTGTTTTAGTAGATGTTTTACAATGTATTCTATGTGATGTGGGTGGTCTGGATATTTATTCTCATAGTTATGCCTCAAGAAAAGCTGGCAAGCTTGAATCAATGGATATCCCTTAATTAAATAAGAAAATATGAATTTCAGTGTGTGAACTATACTATACTGTCATTCCAGATATCTTTTTATATATTTAGAGCAAAGGCAATCGTATGGATTTTTAATGACCTAAAATTTAAAAGGTGGTATTTCTTATAGTTCTGTACAAGTCAGTAAGTCAGGAAAATCTCCAAGTAAAGCTTTACAGTGGCAAGAAGCCTTAAGGATGAGGAAGAAATTAGGATATACTGATTCTTTTAAGGTATCTTCTGTGGCACACTCAAGATAACATAGCAATGAGCTAAAACGTCCAGAAGAAAGAATTATAAGTACATTTAAAACCTAGGAGGAAAAGTGGTTTATTTCTTTGCAGAGAACAGACATAAATAATCATCTTAAATTGGAAGGCTGGACAAAATATTCACAGGTTTATGTGTTCTACAGGAAAGACTGAATTCATAACCATTACTATCTGTTTCTCTCTCCCTCACTCTTCCTCTCTTTCTCTCTTCCTCTCTCTCTCTCTCTATATATATATGTATGTATATATATACATATATATACCACATATATATGTGTATATGTGTATACATCATTGAATATAGATATGCTATATTTAAATTGAAGAAAGAACATTTGAATAGAGCTTTATGGCTTAAAATGTATTTTTCACTTTATTATTTTAATCCTCATTATACTATCCTGAGAAAGATATTGTAGCAATCTTCTGTGGAGACTTAGTACTTTTCCCTATTCCTGTTCTTCCAATACCAGTAGCCACCTTACAGTTTTCCGTTGGAGAATCTCTGCCCCCCACCCTTTTTTTAAAATCGAGACAGGGTCTCACTCTGTTGCCCAGACTGGACAGCCTCAACTCACTGCAGCCTTGACTTCCAGGGTTCAAGTGATCTGCCCACCTCAGCCTTCTGAGTGGCTGGGACTACAGGCATGTACCATGCCCGGCTAATTTTATTTTATTTTATTTTGTAGAGATGGGTTTTTGCCATGTTGCTCAGACTGATCTCAAACTCCTGTGTTCAAGTGATCTACCTGCCTTGGCCTTCCAATGTGCTGGGATTACAGGTGTGAACCACTGTGCCCAGCTGTGTGCCCTAGAGTTCCAGGAAGGCTGTTAATCACAGTCTCCTGCTATCCCCTGGCTATTTTCCCCTGGTGGTCAGTCAAAATTAACCACCCTCCCCTTCCACTTCAGTGGCTGGTTGAAAACCTGAATGTAATTCTGTTTGGCTCTATGAGAGCTCTCCTTGGCACTTTCCTACTGAAATCAATATGGGGAACATGTCCTCTTGCCTTAGGGGTTCTGTTACTAGATATATATAAATTCGGAGCTACCTGAAATATCCAAATTGATTAGAGTAGGAGAGAATGAGGTTAAGATCCTGAGTTCAGATGAAATGAAGAGATAAAAAATATTTCCCAGTGGGCTGAAGTCTTAGATCCAGCCATATTTAAGCTGTTTCATGAACAGATAAATTCCTTTTCCCTTAAGCTAATGAAAGATGGGTATTTTTCACTTGCAACCTATATTAGTCCATTTTCATACTGCTGTAAAGAACTGTTCAAGACTGAGTAATTTATAAAGGAAAGAGGATTAATTGATTCACAGTTCATTGTGGCTGGGAAACTTATAATCATAGTTGAAGGTAAAGGGGAAGCAAGGCACCTTCTTCACGAGGTGGCAGGAAGGAGAATGAACACAGGATAAACAACCAAATGCTTATAAAACCACCAGATCTCATGAGAACTCACTATAATGAGAACAGCAATGTGGAAAACTGCTTCCGTGATTCACTTACCTCCACCTGGTCTCTCCCTTGGCACATGGGGATTTTGGGGATTATGGGGATTATGATTCAAGATGAGATTTAGGTGGGGACACAAAGCCTAACCATATCATTCTGCCCCTGGCCCCTTCCAAATCTCATGTTTCTTTCACATTTTAAAACCAATCATGCCTTCCTAACAGTTTCCTAAAGTCTTAATTCATTCCAGCGTTAACCCAAAAGTCCAAGTCTATCTGAGACAAGGCAAGTCTCTTCTACCTAAGAGCCTGTAAAATCAAAAGCCAGTTAGTTACTTACAAGATATAATTGAGCGGGGGTGGGTACAGGCATTGGGTAAATGCTCCTGTTTCAGATTGGAGAAATTAGCCTTAACAAAGGGGCTACAGGTCCCATGAAAGTCTAAAATCTGGCTGGGTAGTCATTAAATCTTAAAGTTCCAAAATGATGTCCTTTGACTCCATGTCTCACATCCAGGTCATGCTGATACAAGAGGTGGGCTCCCATGGCCTTGGGCAGCTCAGCCCCTGTGGCTCTGAAGGGTACAGTTCCACTCCCAGCTGCTTTCACGGCCAGGCTGTTGTTGATTTTCTGTGGCTTTTCCAGGTACATGGTGCAAGCTGTCAATGGATCTGTCATTCTGGGATCTGGAGGACAGTGGCCCTCTTCTTCTCACAGATCTACTAGGCAGTGCCCCTGTGGGGACTTTCTGTGGGGGCTCTGACCCCACATTTTCCTTCTGCACCACCCTAGCAGAGTTTCTCCATGAGGGCTCCATCCCTGCATCACACTTCTGCCTGGACATCAGGCATTTCCTTACATCCTCTGAAATCTCAGCAGATGTTCCCAAACCTCAATTCTTGAATCCTTTGCACCCACAGGCCCAACACCACTTGTAAGCCACCAAGGCTTAGGGCTTGCCTGCTCTGAAGCAATGGCCTGAGCAGTAAGTTGGCCCCCTTTAGCCATGGCTGGGTTGCAGGACACCAAATCTCGAGACCGCACAAAGCAGCAAGGCCTTGGGCCTGGCCCATGAAACTATTTTTTCTTCCTGGGCCTCCAGGCTTGTGATTGGAAGGGCTGCCGTGAAGACCTCTGACATGCCTTAGAGACATTTTCTCCATTGTCTTGGTGATTAACATTTGGCTCCTTGTTACTTATGCAAATTTCTGCAGCTGCTTGAATTTCTCCCTAGAAAATGGGTTTTTCTTTTCTGTCACATTGTCAGGATGCAGATTTTCCAAGCTTTTATGCTCTCCTTTCCTTTTAAACATAAGTTCCAATTTCAGATCATCTCTCTCAAGTTCAACGTTGAACTCTCTCAAGTTCAAGTTCTCTCTCTGCTCAAGATCTCTAGGGCAGAGGCAAACTGCCACCAGTCTCTTTACTAAAGCATAGCAAGAGTGACCTTTGATTCAGTTCCCAATGAGTTCCTCACCTCCATCTGAGACCACCTCAGCCTGGACTTCATTGTCCATCTCACTATCAGCATTTTGGTCAAAACCATTCAACAAGTCTCTAGGAAGCTCCAAACTTTCCCACATCTTCCTGTCTTCTTCTGAGCCCTCCAAACTGTTCCAGCCTCTGCCTGTTATCCAGTTCCAAAGTTGTTTTCACATTTTCACATTTTTGGGTATGTTTTTAACAGTGCCCCACTCCCAGTACCAATTTACTGTATTACTCCATTTCCATACTGCTATAAAAAACTGCCCAAGTCTGGGTAATTTATAAAAGAAAGAGGTTTAATTAACTGACAGTTCAGCATGGCAGGGGAAGTCTCAGGAAACTTACATTCCTGGCGGAAGGTGAGGGGGAAACAAGGCACCTTCTTCATAAGGTGACAGGAAGGAGAATGAATGCAGGAGGAAATACCAAACTCTTATATAACCATTGACTCTTGTGAGAACTCACTTATTATCACAAGAACAGCATGTGGAAAACCACCCCCATGATCCAATTACCTCCACCTGGTCTCTCCCTTGACAAGTGGGGATTATAGGGATTGTAATTCAAGATGAGATTTGGGTGGGGACATAAAGCCTAACCATAGTACAACCTAAAGAATTTTCCCTGTTACAGATATTCTCACCTCAGTTTATAGGTGAAAAACTGAGACTCTGTAAGGTTAAGGAACCAATCTATGTATATATAGTGTGGGAGACTTGATTAAAACCTGTTCTCATTTCAGCTAAACATTCCACCTGCCAAGTAACATGCTACTTAAGAATAAATATATTTGTTTGTTTGGGTTGTTTTTTGTTTGCTTTTTTTGTTTTGCCTTATTTATGGGTGACCTTGTTTTTGTTTCCAAAGAGAGTTTGCTGTCTGACTGTGTAACTTTCCTGCTTGCACCCTAGCAGATGGATATCTGTGTAGCTGTTTTGTGACACTCTTTACCTGCCCTGCTCCCTCAAGGCCAGATTCTGTTTTTTTCAGGTCTTCAGCACAGAATAGATTATCTGTAGAACCACACTTACCCCACCAGACCTGAGCATTTTAAATCTGAAAATTGTTGAGAAGGATCCAAGCTGAGCATCTCAGCTTATACCATTGCAGAATCTTTCGAAAGACTCTGTAGTTGTCTAGTCAGGGTAGAAGAAAGGATTCTTCTTCTTTGTTTAAACATGTGTTGGCTGGCCTTCATGTCCCTAGACAGTGTCCTGCCATTCTGGAAGACCAAATGGCAGATAATTGGGCTTAGGATTTAGGGGAAAAACTACTTCCATGCTTTGTGAACAATAAGAAAAGAAAAGGAACAAGTAAAGTGATTTTTCAAAGGTTAAATACAGTAACACCTCCTGAATTTAGCTTTGCTGGAGACAGCTGCTTCATAAGTGAATTCCGAAGAAACACTTTAAGTACCAAAACCGGTTTATAAAAACCTATTTTGACAATTATAAGATTGAAATCCTTCTAAGATCTGTTGCATACTTCCCTGCTTTGCTCTCTGAATCAGAACTCTCCTAATGTCATCTATTTGCTTGGAAACTTAGGGTCCTCATTATTGACTATTTTTTGATGACCATACAATGGAGTACTCAATGCTTTCTTATAATTCAATCCTGCTTTTATATAATATTGGTTTTCTATTATATATTTTTATATGATAATTTTCTCTATCAACTGCTTTATCTTATGGCTGTTGTTCTTTACTACTGCTTTAAATATTGTCTTATTTTATATGCAATATGCATGAGGCCTGATTCCAGCCTGTCTTCTAGAGTAGAGAGTGAAGAATATGAAGCAGCTTCTTTTCTCTAACCACATCTGTTGTTTTTGGGGTATCTTTATAACAGTGTTGTTTTAAACTACTATGTTTGTGGTAATTTCATTTACATCTGTTGTCTCTAGGTGGGCCTGGACACAGAACATCACTGTGTTTCAGGGAGAGAGAGGAAGCAGAATTTGGCTAAATAAATACCTGCTTAATAATAATAACTATCATTTTGCTGAGCACTTGTGAGGTTTCTGGCACTGTGCCTTATCTCTTTTAAACTTCCCAACAAGGCTTAGAGGAAGATTTGCCAGGCATTGTGCTAAATGTTTAATTCATATTATCTCATTTAATGCTCAGACATCCCTATGAGCCTCAGGAGAAGAAGGTAACTTGGACTTAAAACGAAGGCAGATTATAACCTCATCTCACTGGATCCTGGGAGAGATTTGGCATCACAGTGGAATTACAAATTATATCATAAAAGGTTCCATTTAACAAGGTTGCCTGGAGTCACAGAGCAAATGGCAGAACCAAGATTCAATTCTGATTGTTCCAGGGAGCATGTTTTTAAGCACCATTCAGTTGGCCTTAATTTTCTTATTTGCATTTTCTACCTTGTTTCTCTGCTTAGTACAGCAGGCTTCCTCTAGGGCTTGGCCTACCTAACTCCTTTTAGCTCGTCTTTCCTAGGATGGGACTCCTCTCCCTGCTGTAGTCTACTTGCCTTAGACATATCTCCTTGTGTCCCCCAATAATTTTTTTTGACTTCCAAATTGGACTCCATATATGCACCTGCTGTATCCTTTGTACACTGTGCTGAGAATAGTCCAGTTGTCCAGGATATTTAAGTTTACATTTATATATGCCAGTCTGTCTTTTTTCAAGCATATCAGTATTACATTTATTTAAAAACAGGCTATGTCATCTATCTGGCCTATAGAAAATGCACCTATGGATCTATAGATCCTTTGCCATACCTTGAAGTCCCCTGGGGACTGAGTCCACAGGTTGAGATCACTGTCCAGGAGCAGTGTAACTTAATGTCAGAGAGCCAGGCTCAGCAGCAGTCAAATAGATTTGTATTCAAACTGTGATTCTCCAGCTCTCTAGGTTCTGTGATATTGGCTATGAATCTCAACTACTACCCAGCATGAGTACCTTTTCCTAAGGATTATTTTAACGTTTCAGTGAGATCAGGCATTTAAACTGCTTAACACATAATATCAAGACAGCAATCTATTCGTATATGGAGGCCATGGTTTGGAGGTTAAAGACAGTTAAAACAACTATACACTAACTTTGACCATGCTACACTGGATCCCTGGCTTATTTGGTAATACAATCTCAATTTACAAGTTCTATTACATAATACAATTGAAATAAGGACTTGCACTATCTAGATAGTGAAGAGACTTGAAACCAAGCTATATACTCATGACCTGTACATCACAGAGTCATTCCATGTGGTATCATTCTCCTCTCCTGTCTCTGTCAGGCGCTATGGTGCAGAATCCAGGCCTGGATTTGAAGTTCTTACTCACCTCCCACAGATGTGGGAAATCTCACTGTAGCCCCAGGAAGGTCCCTCTCTCCCTCGTGGTACTCCTCCTGTGTTCCACTCTTTCCTGCAGACTTTCTCTTCCCTGCATAACTTCTCTTCCCCACAGGCTTCATTTCTCACTGGAAAGTCCTGGAGACTCTGCCACAGAAACCCTGGTGATCTACCATCCTAATTGACAACCATGCAAACAAAGGAAAGATGGCTCAAGGAGACAGAGTATTCATCTGTAATCTTTTAGAGGATGGCCAGAATAATAGCTACTGTAACTAAACCTACCATATCCCACTTAATCTTTCCATTACTCCAGTGGAGCAAGTTCTGCTATTACCTCCCTTATATAGATGAGACACTGAGACTCAGAGACACCAGGTAACTGGCCCAGGGTTACCTAGCTAGTAAGTAAAGGAGCAGAGATTTGAACCCAGATCTATTCAACTCTGAACTCTAGGCAATTACACCTCTTTCCATAAATGTATCCTGAAAGTATTAGATCCAAATAGTAGACCTACTTGAATGGTTAGATTTGATAGACATTGTTCGGGAAATATGCTTTTTATGAAAGTTCTTTTTCTTGTAGGTGACATTACAAATTAATTATAGGTCCAATCTTAGTTTTCACATGATGGAAAGTAATCATGGTTGGGGAGGTATTTCCCACAGGGTCCAGTCAATTTCATTTTGTTCGGATTACAAACCCTCTGATCTGCAAGTTAGTTCCAGCATTTAAAAGGATAAAGACTGTTGTAATACCTGTGCAAATCCATTAGCACTGCTGGAGAACTGTCTCTGTGTCCTGTAGTTGATGGTCACTAGTGTCATGGGTATATGTTTAGCATTCATTCCTACCTCATGGATTATGGTGGATCTGAAGTAGCCTGAAGACAGTAGTAGGTTTCATTCACTATAGCTTGTTCCCCTGGCTGAGTGTCAAAATATTAAAATGCTGTCTCTCGCCACTTCCTGCCCAGTCCTGCCGCTATTGAAGGTAGCAGACAATTAAACATGAACGTCTCTTGTTTTCTTTTGCTCTTATTTTCTTCAGAGGGCAAACAAAGCATATAAAGTTCCCCATCCACTTAAAGTATTAGAGCACAGACTCTTTGATTAGAACTTCTATTCCATCTTAAGCTCTGAGAGTGGCCACTAGCTCCCCCTAGATTTATCAAGTGAGCTGCCATTGGTAAGCACCTTGTCCACCTCCTCCCTGGTACCTCCTCTGAATATTCTGCTAATTTGTCTCCAGTGTCCTAAGCTTCCTTCAGTCTCCTTTATTTGTTTCCTTTTGCTGCTGTGACAAATTACCACAAACATAGTAGTTTAAAACAACATGTTTATTTTCCTACAGTTCTGGAAGTCAAAAGTCTGAAATGAATTTTGCATGGCCGAAATTAAGGTGTCGGAAAGGCTGGTTCACTTCTGGAGGCTCTAGGGGATAATCCCTTCCCTTCTCTTTTCTAGTTTCTAGAGGCTGTGCTCCTTCCGTAGCTCATCATCTTTCTTTCCGCTTCTGTCATCACATGGCCTTCTTCTCTGTCTGACTTTCCTACATCCCTCTTTTAAGGACCCTTGTGATTTCATTTGATCTACCTGGATAATCTCTCCATCTCAAGGTTCTTCACTTAATCATATCTGCAAAGTCCCTTTTACCATGTAAGGGAACATTCACAGCTTCTGAGAATTAGGACTTGGATTCTTTAGGGACCATTGTTTGGTCTACCACAGGGGTCCCCACTGCTGGGCCACAGACTGGTACCAGTCTGTGGCCTGTTAGGAACCAGGCTGCATGGCAAAAAGTAAGTGGCAGGCAAGTGAGCATTACTGCCTGAGTTCTGCCTCCTGTCAGATCAGTGGTAGTATTAGATTCTCACAGGAACATGAACCCTATTGTGAACTGTGCATGTGAGGGATCTGGGTTGCAAGCTCCAGCTAATGCCTGATGATCTGAGGTGGAACAGATTCATCCTGAAACCATCCCCACTCCCCCCTGCACAATTCCCCCAACCATGTCCGTGAAAAAATTGTCTCCCACGAAACTGGTCCCTGGTACCAAAAAGGTTGGGGACCGCTGGTCTACCACACTTCTCTTTTATGGAGGATTGCCCAAAGAAAAAGAAAGGTTCTGTGATGTCATAGAATTAACATGAAACCTGTGGCACAGAGATTTGGCTCCAATCTTTTTTTCCCTCTTTTATTTGTATAAATTTATGGGGGTACCAGTGGCATTTGGTTACATACATAGTTTCCACAGGGGTGAATCTAGGGCTTTGGCTCCAGTCTAGAATCTGACATTATACTCACTGTCAGACTGGGAACCAAGTACTCCACATCCTTGAGAGAAGGCTTAATCCACAAATATCCCTCCCAGCTATAAAATTTGTATAACACAAAACATTTATTTATATTAAAATATAAATGACTTGAAGCAATTTTACCACATATTAGGCTTTTCTCCAAAGGATTGACTTTATTCTGAAAATAAATAATTCATCAAATTTGATGTGATAAGTGTTTTCTTTTGACAAAAAACGTACCCTGAACTACTGGAACCACACCACATAGGCAGCCAGGTTCTTCCTCCAGTATTAAGACCAGTCCAATTTGGGGCCAGTCACATACATAAATATGTAGGCCAAGGTTTCTCAGCGTGATTATATATATAATACAGATTATAGCAAGATTATAGCATTATAAAAAATCACCAATTGCTAGAACTGAAAAGCGTTACTCCCACTTCCTCTTTCCACCTCCTTTTTCATTTTGCACATAAGAAAACAAAAACTTGGAGGAGAAAAATTGCTTGACCAAGTCCTAGCAACTACATTGAGGAAAAGTTAAGACTATTATTAGAGTCTTTTTTATTTTTCTTGAAAAGACAGGATCTCACTCTGTTGCCCAGGGTGGAATGCATTGCTTATTCACAGGTGCAATCATAGCATACTATAGCCTGAAACTCTTGAGATCACGGGATCCTCCCTCCTCAGCCTCCCAGGTAGCTGGGACTACAGGCACATGCCACCATACCTGACTTAGAGTCTTTTCACTTCATATTTAGAGTTCATTGGCAATTGTGCTATTTATGATTTTGTTCTTGGAAAAATTTTTGGACCAGATTGCTTTTCTTCAGATATAGTAGCCCTACTTTTCAAAAAGTTTTAGTCAAAAAGACTGTCTATATAATGACCATAGGTATTACGTTTGAATTGATTTATATTTTTGACATTAGAGAGGTCCTCACACAAAAAGGTGTCTTTTAAATAATATATATAAAGAAAAGTTTTTATTTATAAAATATTAAATACATTATTCAAGTAAGTCTTTTGTACTTTTGTATGAACTCCATAGGATATGAGATGCTCAATGTATTTCTTCACAAATTACAATCTATCATGTTATAATATCTTATTCCTAATTTAAACATCTCTATAAATCTCAATCTTATAGATCAGAAATGAGTGAAATTAATTACAAGCAGTGGATGAAAACAGTAGAAAGGAATGAGACCTGAGTGTAATTTTAATGTAGATTTTATTTTGAGCCATATTAATGTTTTACGTATTCCAATAGGAGAAATAAATTTAAAAGGGTGAAGGAAAACCCCCAAGATTAAATGACCCAAAATATACAGCAAATTTATAAAATAACTACAAAGAAGAAAAAAATAGTAGTCCAGGTAGATTTTATAGATGGAGCTCTAGCTTTCTTCCCTTAGTGGAATATATTTTAAAAGTAAAATGAATCCCAAAGAAATATTAATTTGTTAAGTTTCTTGTTGGAATAGTATTGCTGGGTATGGGTGTAGTATTGCTGGATTTTGAGTATTATAGGATTAATCAAGGAACTAAGTATATTGTTCATGGAAACCAGTGTTCTCACTGCAGAGAATGCAGAAACAAACTACGAATGAAAAGAAGAGAGGAAGTATCCTCTTCTTGGGTGTATCAGTATGAATATATGTATCCATGTGGGTATGTGTGTGTTTATGAGTGTGTGTATGTATGTGCTCTGCCCATCTTAAGGGCCAAGAGGCAATGAGTCCCCAGTGACAAGGAGATCCCTGGAGCCCAGACTTTGATTTCTAAATGAAAGGAACTAAGGCTTCTTGGAGAAATTATGGATTCCGGGTCAGAGGAGAAGTATAAGCCAAGCCTAAACTATTTTATTAGGCCAGAAAATAAGACGTATTCAAAACCCGATATGGAGATGTCCATTTTGGCCAAAATTAGAAGGTTTGAACAGGAAAAGAATAGTGAAATAGTGGATTATAAAACATTTAGTTAAGAAGAATATAAGTCCATAGTTACATTACATTTTATATATAATTATTAATATATCAATATTGTAGATCTCTTTTCAAAATATTTATATAATATCCTTATTTTATATACAGACCTATGGATATACTTACATTAAGTGCTTTAATAACTTTATATTTTTCACTATTATTATAACTTTTATTTCTTATGGTTGGATATTAAAGCTCTGTCCATAAATTCTAAACTGAATATTATTTGGTACATGTTTACATTTTTTGGATATAATTTGCTTGGTAGTTTTTGTTTATACCCAGCTGTGGTCCACTTTTAAATCTTTGTGAGTAGTCATAGAATTTTAGAATTAGGAAAAATTTTAGAGAATATTTGGCTCAATAGTCATCCATCCCATAAATATGATTCAAACTTTTACATTTTAGGCACTGTCCTGCACAGGATTATATTGGTCCTGGTGCAGTAGGTGTAATCACATCTCTAGGTGGCGCCATTTACATAGTGGTTTATGCCAGTGGCACCATCTATGGTTTTCTTTTTTTTTTTTTTCTTTTTTTAAAATTATTATTATTATACTTAAGTTCTGGGATACATGTGCAGAACGTGCAGGTTTGTTACATAGGTATACATGTGCCATGGTGGTTTGCTGCACCCATCAACCTGTCGTCTGCAATTAGGTATTTCTCCTAATGCTGTCCCTCCCCTTACCCCCACCCCCTAACAGGTCCCAATGTGTGACGTTCAGCTCCTTGTGCCCAAATGGTCTCATTGTTCAACCCCCACTTATGAGTGAGAACATGTGGTGTTTGGTTTTCTGTTTCTGTGTTAGTTTGCTGAGAATGATGGTTTCCAGCTTCATCTATGTCCCTGAAGAAAACATGAACTCATCCTTTTTATGGCTGCGTAGTTTTCCGTGGTGTATATGTGCCACATTTTCTTTAACCAGTCTATCATTGATGGGCATTTGGGTTGGTTCCAAGTCTTTGCTATTGTGAGTAGTGCTGCAATAAAGATACGTGTGCATGTGTCTTTATAGTAGAATGATTTATAATCCTTTGTGGATATACCCAGTAATGGGATTGCTGGGTCAAATGGTATTTCGAGTTCTAGACCTTGAGGAATTGCCACACTGTCTTCCACAGTGGTTGAACTAATTTACACTCCCACCAACAGTGAAAAAGCATTCTTATTTCTCCACGTCCTTTCCAGCATCTGTTGTTTCCTGACTTTTTAATAATTGCCATTGTAACTGGCATGAGATGATATCTCATTGTGATTTTGATTTGCATTTCTCTAATGAACAGTGATGATGAGCTTTTTTTCATGTGTCTGTTGGCCACATAAATGTCTTCTTTTGAAAAGTGTCTGTTCATATCCTTCATCCACATTTTGATGGAGTTGTTTGTTTTTTTTTTCTTGTGAATTTGTTGAAGTTCTTTGTAGATTCTGGATATTAGCCCTTTGTCAGATGGATAGATTGCAAAAATTTTCTCCCATTCTATAGATTGCCTGTTCACTCTAATGATAGTTTCTTTTGCTGTGCAGAAGCTCTTTAGTTTAATTAGATCCCTTTTGTCAATTTTGGCTTTTGTTGCCATTGCTTTTGGTGTTTTAGTCATGAAGGCCTTGCCCATTCCTATGTCCTGAATGGTATTCCCTAGGTTTTCTTCTACGATTTTTATGGTTTTAGGTATTATGTTTAAATCTTTAATCCACTGTGAGTTAATTTTTGTATAAGGTGTAAGGGAGGGGTCCAGTTTCAGTTTTCTGCATATGGCCATCCAGTTTTCCCAACACCACTTATTAAATAGGGAATCCTTTCCCCATTGCTTGTTTTTGTCAAGTTTGTCAAAGATCAGATGGTTGTAGATGTGTGTTGTTATTTCTGAGGCCTCTGTTCTGTTCCATTGCTCTATATATCTGTTTTGGTACCAGTACCAAGCTGCTTTGGTTACTGTAGCCTTGTAGTGTAGTTTGAAGTCAGGTAGCGTGATGCCTCCAGCTTTGTTCTTTTTGCTTATGATTGTCTTGGCTATATGGGCTCTTTTTTGGTTTCATAGGAAATTTAAAGTAGTTTTTTCTAATTCTGTGAAGAAAGTCAATGGTAGCTTGATGGGAATAGCATTGAATCTATAGATTACTTTGGGCAGTATGGCCATTTTCACGATATTGATTCTTTCTATCCATGAGCATGGAATATTTTTCCATTTGTTTGTGTCCTCTCTTATTTCCTTGAACAGTGGTTTGTGGTTCTCCTTGAAGAGATCCTCTACATCCTTTGTTAATTGTATTCCTAGGTATTTTACTTTCTTTGTAGCAATTGTGAATGGGAGTACACTCATGATTTGGTTCTCTGTCTGTTATTCGTATATAGGAATGCTTGTGATTTTTGCAAATTGTATCCTGAGACGGCTGAAGTTGCTTATCGGCTTAAGAAGTTTTTGGGCTGAGATGATGGGGTTTTCTAAATATACAATCATGTCATCTGCAAACAGAGATAATTTGACTTCTTGTCTTCCTATTTGAATACTCTTTATTTCTTTCTCTTGCCTGATTACCCTGGCCAGAACTTCCAATACTATGTTGAGTAGGAGTGGTGAGAGAGGGCATCCTTGCCTTGTGCCTGTTTTCAAAGGAATGCTTCCAGCTTTTGCTCATTCAGTGTGATATTGGCTGTGGGTCTGTCATAAATAGCTCTTATTATTTTGAGGTACATTTTATCAATGCCTAGTTTATTGAGTGTTTTTAGCATGAAGGGGTGTTGAATTTTGTTGAAGGCCTTTTCTGCATGTATTGAGATAATTGTGTGGTGTTTGTCATTGTTTCTGTTTATGTGATGGATTACGTTTATTGATTTGCATATGTTGAATCAGCCTTGCATCCCAGGGATGAAGCTGACTTGATGCTGGTGGAAGAGCTTTTTAATGTGCTGCTGGATTCGGTTTGCCAATATTTTATTGAGGATTTTCGCATCTATGTTCATCAGGGATATTGGCCTGAGATTTTCTTTTTTTGTTGTGTCTTTGCCGGGTTTTGGTGTCAGGATGATGCTGGCCTCATAAAAAGAGTTAGGGAGGAGTCCCTCTTTTTCTATTGCTTGGAATAGTTTCAGAAGGAATGGTACCAGCTCCTCTTTTTAGCTCTGGGAGAATTTGGCTGTGAATCCGTTTGGTCCTACGCTTTTTTTGGTTAGTAGGCTATTAATTACTGCCTCAATTTCAGAACTTGTTATTGGTCTATTCAGGGATTTGACTTCTTTCTGGTTTAGTTTTGGGAGGGTTTATGTGTCCAGGAACTTATCCATTTCTTCTAGATTTTCTGGTTTATTTTCTAAGAGGTGTTTATAGTATTCTCTGATGGTAGTTTGTATTTCTTTGGGATCAGTGGTGATATCCCCTTTATCATTTTTTATTGTGTCTATTTGATTTTTGTCTCTTTTCTTCTTTATTAGTCTGGCTAGTGTTCTATCTATTTTGTTAATCTTTTCAAAAAACCTCCTGGATTCGTTCATTTTTTGAAGGGTCTTTCATGTCTCTATCAGTTCTGCTTTGATCTTAGTTATTTCTTGTCTTCTGCTAGGTTTTGAATTTGTCTTTGCTTTGTTAGTTCTTTTGGTGATGTTAGGGTGTTGATTTTAGAAGTGTCCCATATATGCTTTTCAAAGAACCAAGTGTAGCATGTTTGTTTGCAATACCCTGGTTCCTGGATATAAACTAGTTGACAAGACAAGTTCTAGACCTATGGAAACTTCTCATTATAGAAAAGAAAAAATACATGCAAATCAGCAAATATACAAGAATGATAAAAGCAACATGACTGGATGCTGTGGGAGTGCATGAGAGGGCCGCCTACCTCAGAATGGGGAGATGGAGGCACACTTCCTGAGAAAATAAGTTATATCTCTGCTGAGGTCTGAATGAAAAAGGCAGGCTCGGGGGAGGAAAGGAGGGGAAGAGAGATGGAGGAAAAATGTTTAGGCAGGGTTCATTGCAAGCTCTTGAAGATAAAGAGAGAGGATTGTGCTCAGGGAGTAGAAATAGTTGTGTCGCAGGAGCAAAGAGGCACAATGAAAAGCTGGAGGCCACAAGAGGTTAAGTGACTTTCCCAGTGTCACCTATTCTGTCTTCTCTTCTGATTCATTAATGAACGTGTTAAATTGCAACAGGTTCATTCATCACGAGTACAATTATATACCCCAGGAAATGTTCTGTCAAAAACTCTATTACAGCGTATTCTCTGATAAATCCTTACCCTAGACTGGAGCTTGGCAGTTCTCAGATGGCTGCAACTATTCCTGTTCATCTTTGCACACCCCGCAGAGCCTATTTGTTGCCTTGCACACAGATCATCTTCAGAGGTGTTTTGGTTGTTGAGATCCCCATCAATATAAATAACTGAACCATAAACAGTGATTTCAGGAAGATATTTGATCCTGATTTGAGGGTATCTTTATATTCAGAAGCTAAATGCAAAAACATTTTTAAAAAGCCAAGAGCAAAAGCTACAGCTTCTTTGATAGCATCCTGTTTGCAAGTCTCATTTGCTTCTGGTATTCTTCCTGTTAGTAGTCAATACAAGTCATCTGTAAGTCAAACAAAATTGAATTGATAAAATGATAAATTGACATGAGTCGATCTTAAGGGAGTCCTAAAAACATTAAGATGTGCTTTGCTTCCATTTATAACAATGTGTATACAATACTGCATTCATGTAATCAAATTATCTTATAATTTTATTTTGAAAAATCAAATATATTTCACATTATTTTGATGCCAAAATACCAGGGTAATTTGTTGCTAATGGATTATCATATTTGCTTTCTTCTTTTATTAGGTTCATGAAATTTTCAGGAATTAAAGTTAGTCCTGAGGAAAGTTCATGAATGTCTAATGCTGGACTGTGGTAAGTCCTCAGTCTTCAGCCATTTTTGTTTGGCAATAATATATATTTAGTTTATTTGTCTGGGTTGGTTAAAAGCAGAATTTGTAATTTCCATCAATATTATCATTTCTTGTTATACTTATTCTGAGATATTTCATATTATTTCTATAAAAAGTTCATTTATTACAGTTTTCTAATTTGTTATAGTCATAGTGTATTTATTCACCTTATGTTTTTCTTTTGAATTGATCATATGTTAGTAGTAACAAGTATATTATTAGTTGTAATATTTTCTCCCAACATTTTACTAATGAAAAATTTTAAATATTTTGGTAAATTGAAAGCATTTTGAAGTGAACATTTATGTACCCAAAATCTGGTTTCTACCATTAGCAGTCTACTTGTTAATCTTTTTCAGCTATTTTTTTTTTTTACTTAATTCTCTTGCCAAATTCTGTGTTTGAATTTTGTACTTTACTCATTCTATAGTTTGTGAATGTTTGGGCTGTTTTCAGTTTTTGTCTATTATGAAGCATTCTGTAATAAACACTCTTGTATAATTTTTGCTGTATATTTACATTCATTGCTATGGTATATATATCTAGGAGTGGAATTGCTTGCTTATAGGATTTATGCATATACAGATCTAGTATATATTGCGAAGGGTTTTCCAAAGTGGTTATATTAATTCCAAAGTGGTTGTATTATTTTAAAATCACAACAGTATATAAGAGTTATAGTTGCTCCGCATTCTCACTAATACTTGGTATTGTTATTCTTGTTTGTTTTTTTTAAAGCTATTTTAATAGATGGATATCATGTTTTGTTGTTGCTCTAATTTGGATATTCCTGGTGACTAATGGCACTGAGGATTTTCCAGTTGTTTTTTTTTTTTTTTTGGTCATTTGGATGTCTTTTTGTGTGTGTGTGTGAAATGCCTGCTGCATACTTTTACTCATTTAAAAATTAGATTGTCTGCTTTTTCTTATTAATTTGCATAATAACTTCATATATTCTGGGAGTCTTCTATCAGCTATATGTATTGAAAACCTCTGCCACTCAGTGGTTTGACTTCTTACTGTCTTAATAACTTTTTATGAACAGTTTTAATTTTTAATGAGGTCCAAGTTATCAACCTTTTTGTTTATGCTTGATGCTATTTCTGTCTTGTTTAAGAAATCTTTGGCAGTTACAAGGTCATGAAGATATTCTCCTATTCAATCTTTTACAAGCTTTATAATTTTACCTTTCACATTTAAGTCTTTAAGTCACATTAAGTCAATCCATCTGGAACTTATTTTTATGCATGAAGTCTAAGGGTCAAGGTTTTTAAAAAATTTTTCCTCTCATATGATTATCCAATTAATCACCACCATTCATTGAGAAAACTATTATTTCTCACTGCACTGTAGTAGCATCTTTGTTGTAAAGTAGGTAATCATACATGTTTGAGGCTACTTTAGAGTTCTCTATTTTGTTCCAACAGTCTATTTGTCTATTTTTGAGCCAGTACCATAGTGTTTTTTTTACTATATTTTTACAATAAGCTTGGTATCTGATAGTGTAACTCCTCCAAGTTTGTTCTCCCTTAAGATTGTATTTCCTAGTGTCCACTCTTTGTGTTATAATGTGCATTCTTTTTGAGATGGGGTCTGACTCCATTGCCCAGGCTGGAGTGCAATGGCACAATCATGGCTCGCTGCAGCCTCAACATCCTAGGCTCAAGTGATCCTTCTACCTCAGCCTCCTGAATAGCTGGGACTACAGCCATGCACAACCATGCCTGGCTAATTTTTTTTTTTTAATTTTTAAGTTATTTTGTAGAGACGAAGGTCTGTGTTGCCATGCTGTTCTTGAAATCCTGAGCTGAAGTGATCTTCCCATCTGGGCCTCCCAAAGTGTTGGCATTATAGGCATGCACCACCTCACGCAGGCATCATTTGCATTTTACAATGAGCCCATCAATTTCCACCATAAATAAAACAGCTAGAATTTTTATAGGAATTACATCAATTTTATCTATCTATCTGTAAATTTGGAATCAATTGACAACTTTACAACATTGAGTTTTCCAATTCTCAAATATACCATAATATAAACCTTCACTTGTATATATTTTTAATTTCTCTTGGTGACGTTTTGCCGCGTTCTTGGTTGCATTACTTTCATTGGATCTACTATAAGGTGTTTGATCAAATCTATTAGAAATGGTATTGTTTTGAAGCTTTGTTTTTTAACTTTGGTAGATAGGATATCTAATGTCCTTGCTAAAGATTAATTTGTATTTTATGTTATCTAAAAATAATGGTGGCTCTCTGTCTCTATTTTCTATCTTTATTTTCTTTTTTTGAAAGCCTCTCTAGGACAGTGTTGCATAGAACTGGTTTTGGTAGACCTTCTTATTTCATGTGTAATGACAAGAAAAAAGTTCGAAGGGAAGGATTTCTACATTTCAGTATAAAATATTTACTGTAGGTTTAAAAATTCTTTATCTTCACTTTATTAGATTATTCATAGTTTGTTGAAAATCTGTTTCCTCGTCATAAAATGGAAGACATTGTTAATTTTATCTAAAGAGTTGAATTTATATTTATAAAATTGTTCACAGTGTCTCTAGTCTTTTTTTAATTGAGGCACAATTTATGCATAGTGAATTATACAGCTCTTAAGTTTATATAATTTGGTAAGTTTTGCCCACATATTAAAAAGCACTATAAAGATTTAGAATATTTTCATTACTAAGAAATTCCCTTATGCCCTGTTCCAGTAAACCTCTAACACACATTTGACTTCTTTCACAGATTACATTAGTTTTTCCTTTTCCTGAACTTCAACAAAAAAGGAATAATACATCTGTATTTATTGGGAGGGGGATTCTGACTCCTTTGTCTCAACATAATATCTCTTAGAGTCATGCATGCTGTTGCATGTATCAGTAGTTTCTTGTCTTCTTATTGTTGAGTAATATGCCATTGAGTGAATAGGACAACATTTGTTTATCAATTCTGCTATCAATTGACAGTGGATTGTTTTCAGTTTGGGGCTTTTGTGGTTAAAGCTGCAATAAGCAATTATATAAAAGCCATTTTGTGGGCATATGTATTACTTTCTCTTGGGTAAACAGAAGTGGAACCATTGGGTCATAAGATAGATGTACATTTGAAGTTATAAAAATTTGCCAAAGAGTTTTCCAGAGTGGTTTATTTATTTTATATTTCCAGTATCAGTTTATGAGAGTTGCTGTTGCTTTACATTCTCACCAATTTGGTGTTGTGCCAAGCTAATCTTGGCAGAGATTAGCTCAGGATCTCTCAGAAGTCTCAAGGTGTCACTCAAGCTTGGAGTCTCATCAGATGCTCAAATGGGGAAGGATGTGTTTCCAAGCTTGTAGTCATTAGCAGGATTCAGGTCCTCATGGATTGTTGGACAGAGGGCCTCAGCTACTTGCTGGCAACTGTCTGAAGGCTGCTTTGAGTTATTTGCCATGTAGCTTTCTCTATAGGGCAGCTTTCTTCACCAAAGCCAGCAATGAAGAGAATCAGTCATTAAGGTCTGGCAGCAGGGTACAAGTTACCATCTTATGTAACATACTCAAGGAAGTAACATCTTAACAACTTTGCCTTATGCTCTTGGTTAGAAGGAAGTTGCAGGTCCTGCCAACACTCCAGGGGAGGGGATTGTACAAGGGCATGAATAACAGGATGTAGGGATAATTGGGGCCATCTTAGAGTTTGTCCACCTCAACTAGTTTCAGGGATGATTAAAACCCTTCTCCAGAGATGCACACTTTTTTTTGTCTTAGCCATAACACCTTGGAGAGTAATGACACAACCGAATATGACCAAATAAATGTAATAGGGTGGGACAAATTGGGAGAACTCAGGTTTTGTAGTTACATGTGTTCCTTCATGTGGAGAAAGTCCAATTACAGTGCAACAAGAGGTTCCAAACTGTGGCTCCTTAATGTCTCAACAGAAACAGGGCACAGGTATGCCTCCTGGCAGATGAGGCAGATGTTCACCATCTGGGGATGTGTTCACAGGTAGCATGTCTGTCAAGGCGTGGGGATTTTCTGGTAGTGTTCCAGTTCCTGGGAGGGACTTGCAAGAGCATGGGTAGTACTATGATTTGAAAGCGGCCCCTCCAAATCTCAGATGTTGCCAATGTGATGGTAGTAAGAGGTGGGATTGTTAAGAGGTGATTAGTCCATGAGGGCTCCTCCCCTCATGAATGAGATTAAGGCTCTTATAAAAGAGGCTTCACAAAGCTTTTGTCTCTTGCCCTTCCTCCATGTGAGAGCATAATGTTACTCCCCTCTAATGGATGCAGCCCTCACTAAACAACTAAACCTGCTGTTGCCTTGATCTCAGACTTTCCAGCCTCAGGAACTTTGAGAGAAAAATATCTATCTTTTATAAATTACCCAGTCTGAGATATTTTGTTGTATCAGCACAAGACAGATTAAGACAGGTAACAAGCCAATACTGGGCATAATAGCAATATAAAGAAATGGGTCTAAGACATAACCATGGTGTGTAAATTATTAGAACTAAGGCAGAAGTTTTAGGAGTAGGCTTAGAAATAAGAAACATAGATCTCAGGACTAAGGTACCAGGTGAAGACCAGCTCAGGTGAATCCTGGAGAACGTGGGGCTCATAAATTCATAAATTTCTCTTGCTCTCAGACAGGATTGACTTTAGAAAACGGAATTAAATCTGAAGCTACAAGGGGAGAGAGACCCTAGAATCCAAAAATATTGTAGAATTGATTGTCAGGGTACTCCTCTAAGGCCTTGGATGCTGGCAATAAAAGTAACCTTACTTTCAGTTTCCTTTTTTTCCCATTCTCTTTTGGACACACCATCTCCAGTGCCTAAATATTCTAGCTCTCCAGGACATTTCTATTTTAAGCTTCTTTCTAATAGTAGAATAAAATGCCTCGTGCCTTAGTTTGGGATTTTGAATATTCTGGGATAGGTAGAAGAGTTGCATGGGAAAATGGCATGCTATGTCTATGTCTTTCTGAAATCATATCTACAGACAGCTACTTATCTTTCAATAAAAGGATCTCTGTCCATTCATTTGCTGAATGATGGTTGAGAAGCTACTGTTGCTATGAACTGTGTTAGTGCTGGAATAAAATTAGAATTTAAAAAATGCACATTATTCCTACCCTCAGAATTGGAAAAAACTACTTCACAGAATTGGAAACAATTACTCTAAAGTTCATATGGAACCAAAAAAGAGCCTGCATTGCCAAGACAATTCCTAAGCAAAAAGACCAAATCTGGAAGCCTCGTGCTACCTGACTTCAAACTATACTACGAGGCTCTAGTAACAAAAACAGCATGGTACTGTTACCAAAACAGATATATAGACCAATGGAACAGAACAGAGGCCTCAGAAATAACACCACACGTCTACAACCATCTGATCTTTGACAAACCTGGCAAAAACAAGCAATGGGGAAAGGATTCCCTCTTTAATAAATGGTGCTGGAAAAAACAGGCTAGCCATATGTAGAAAGCTGAATCAGGATCCTTTCCTTACACCTTATATAAAAATTAACTCAAGATAGATTAAAGACTTCAATGTAATACCTAAAACCATGAAAACCCTAGAAGAAAACCTAGGCAATCCCATTCAGGACACAGGCATGGGCAAAGACTTCATGACTAAAACACGAAAAGCAAGGGCAACAAAAGCCCAAATTGACAAATGGGATCTAATTAAACTAAAGAGCTTCTGCACAGCAAAATAAACTATCATCAGAGTGAACAGGCAACCTACAGAATTGGAGAAAATTTTTGCAATCTATCCATCTGACAAAGGGCTAATATCCAGAATCTACAAAGAACTCAAACAAATTTACAAGAAAAAAACAACCCCATCAAAAAGTGGGCAAAGGATATGAACAGACACTTTTCAAAAGAAGATATTTATGCAGCCAACAGACACATGAAAAAATGCTTATCATCACTGGTCATCAGACAAATGCAAATCAAAACCACAATGAGATACCATCTCATGCCAGTTAGAATGGTGATCATTGTAAAGTCAGGAAACAACAGGTGCTGGAGAGGATGTGGAGAAATGGGAACACTTTTACACTGTTGGTGGGAGTGTAAATTAGTTCAACCATTGTGGAAGACAGTGTGGTGATTCCTCAAGGATCTAGAACTCGAAATACCATTTGACCCAGCCATCCCATTACTGGGTATATACCTAAAGGATTATAAATGGTGCTGCTATAAAGACACATGTGCATGTATGTTTATTGCAGCACTATTCACAGTAGCAAAGAAGTGGAACCAACCTAAATGTCCATGAATGATAGACTAGATTAAGAAAATATGGCACATATACAACATGGAATACAATGCAGCCATAAAAAAGGATGAGTTCATGTCCTTTGTAGGGACATGGATGAAGCTGGAAACCATCATTTTCAGCAAACTATCACAACGGCAGAAAACCAAACACTGCATGTTCTCACTCATAGGTGGGAATTGAACAATGAGAACACATGGACACAGGGTGGGGAACATCACAGACTGGGGCCTGTTTGGAGGTGGGGGGCTGGGGAAGGGATGGCATTAAGAGAAATACCTAATGTAAATGATGAGTTGCTGGGTGCAGCAAACCAACATGGTGCATATATACCTATGTAACAAACCTGCACGTTGTGCACATGTACCATAGAACCAAAGTATAATAAAAAATACATAAATAAATAAAAAGGCTTCTGGGTCACATGAGCTTTTCCAAAAACACATTGATCCAATTTTATTTTTTTCACCAATCATTTATGGTGACTTTGGGCCTGAGATACTTTTTGGGCGATTCTCTAGTAAGTATATAAACTGAATAAAGCAGTTAATCTCAAAGGTCTGTAAATTTCAAGATTGTATTTGTATTACAAACCTCATTAAAAGCTGAAAATGCAAATAAGTATGTGGGTGGAGAAACAGGAAGTATCTATATTAAATTGTGTTTTATTTTCCAGACTGAATTAAAATAATTTCTGAAAAGATGAATAACACCGGTTATGCACATGAGAGTGAGGGCATATTACTTCAAAATGTGTTATGTTTCTACATGCTAATGGGATCTTTTTGCATCCTCTCAGTTCAGAGAATATAATTCCTCTTTTTGGGTAATTTTTATATCTGAAAACTTGAAAGGCAGAAATTAATTTAATCAAATAGCCAGAGTCTGAATTGCTTCATGTTTCAACTTCAAATACTGAGAGAGGAATGCACTTATTAAAGATGGGTAGTGATTCAGACAGGAACCTCATGGAACCATTGAGGGCCAGGCTCCTTAAAGGGTTTTTTAAAACTTCAAAAAATTTTTTATCTGCTTTAAAGATCTCTAAATAAAACCATTTTATCTCTCTTATTTGGGAAATGTTCAATGTCGAATGAGTCTGGAGTTCTTTCCCAGGATGAGTTAAAGTCTCTCTTGCTACTCTTTAAGGCTATTTCTTCTTACTCAGAATGACTGTCAGCTGCCTAGGATCTTTCATGAAATAATGTTTCATATAATTGAGGAGAGTCATGAAGTCAGATCTCGGTCTCATTATCCAAGTTAAAATCACCAAGCAAAAGAGCGGTATGTAATCACATACTTAATGTGGAGAAGAAAAAGTCAAAGGTAGCTTAGGGGAGGAGAAAAACTTTTTTCCTCTCCCTCTTAGGTTCATTGGCTGGGGCCCTGTAAAATAGACTGAGAAAAGACAGATTAACAGGAGAAAAGGCAAAAAAATTTTATCTGACGTTAGCTTTTCTTAACACAGGGGCCTTCCTAGAAAAGAAGTAAAGCTTCAAAGAAGTAGATAGGCCTGAGAATTTATGTACCATTTTTAACAAAGAGTGATAAATTATGGACATGTGACAAGGCAAAGGAAAGATTTTTTTAGCTTCTGGGAGTGGTAACCTGAGGAAGGCAGATATATGGGAGAATCTAATGGAAGATCCAGGTTATTTTAGTAAGGCTTGGTTGTGCAGGTTCATCTTGGTGCCAACTTTCTGTCTTCTTCATGGCCAAAAACTTCCTCGCAGGAGGGAGTCTATGGCAGTACTCATTGCTCAGGAGTTTCTGGTTTTAGTCAGGTAAAGGAAGTCCTGGCAGCTTCTGTGAAATCTCAGTTTCCTTCAGTTCAAAGTAATCCTTATGTCAAAATGACCTATTTTGGGGTAGCATATTTTGGGGTGACATTTGGATCACCTTCAGTATCATAGATAGTCTGTTAGTGATAACCCACTGGGTAAACAACTCTAGCCAACTGTCCCTTTTCTTGTAAGTCTCTTTTCCAAACTTACAATGTATGTTTTTATTCTTCTGGTTTTTCTATTAATCACTTAGATTAGAAGTGGTTATACAGAAGGACATTTCTGTGTGTGAAAAGTTAAATTGATGCAGACTCTTCTTCTTCTTCCTGGACTGCACTGGTGGAATTCACTTACTCATCAAAACATTTTTTTAGAGACAGGTCTCACTCTTTTTCCCAGGCTGTAATGCAGTGCTGCAATCATAGCTCACTGTAACCATGAACTCCTGGGCTCAAGTGATCCTCTTGCTTAGCCTCCTGATTAGCTAGGATGATAGTCATGCACCACTATGCCCAGCTAAATTTTTAAATTTATTTTTATTTTTTGTGGAGACAAGGTCTCGCTTTGTTGCCCAGGTTGGCTTTGAAACCCTGGGCTCAAGTGATCCTCCCACCTTAGCTTCCCAAAGTGCTGGAGTTATAGGCGTAAGCTTTTCCAGTCCTTAGTTTGTTCCAGGTACTGTTAAAGGTTCTAGGGATGCAGCTGAGAAAATGAAATAAACAATGAAAACATGGCTCCTCTCATGGACTATGAATAAAATGGAGTGATTGTACAGTTTATTCTGGAACTGGAAACTGGATTATTCCTTGCTAATCTATTTGTTTTCACTCATCACCTCATTGTTGGTGGTTTTCTAATCAATCATCTAATCAGCATTCACTGAGTGTCCACTCCTGCCAAGCATTAGGCTCTCGTGGAGCTGGTAATCTAGCTAGCAAGAAGAAATCAAAATGGATCATTGCACGACAATTTTAGGCAATCAAAATATTTCACACAGCAATACAGGATTAACAGCTTCGCCTAGACTATTAGCTCAATTCTATGACTTCTCAGGAGGTGTTTGCTAAACTATGTCATGGAATATTTCCTTTTCCCTTCACAATATTAGTTGGTGGGATATATATAATGTAAAAATAATTTGATGTCTGCCTGCATACCTATGAGTTAATAGAATTGCTGTGGTGACATGGTGAAGTTCTAATTCTCTTTCTTCATTCTGGGAATCTCTTTGCTCTGAATGAATTTAGTAAGATGTCAGGCTTTCATTGAGTTCACTAAGCCTAGTGATTATTCCATATGATTGATTTTATTAAAAATAAGCTTACAAGCAGCAAAATGTTGACAATAATTTGATGTTCCCGAAAATGTCTAACTTTTCTAATTTATGCAAATAATTTTTTCCTTATTAACTTGCTTTTTAAGCATTGTATTGAATACTAACCATTTGTCACCTATAAAATGCTTTTACTGCTCCTCAGACCATAGCTAGCATTGTGCAAGTTTTAAAGACAACAAATTAACATTCTATGCTGTGGGTTAACCACTGGAAACCTTGTATAATGGCATTTGATTATATAAGGCTGATGATTTAGTCTCATGAAAATCCTACCTAATCGCTTGGGTAACTTTCATCATCTTTCATAAAAGAAGATGACATGAATGCCAGTGATGATAGGGAAATGTCAGATTCTCTTTCTAGCAGCTGTTGGTACCCAGACTTCCAAAGATTTGACACTTTGTTTGAATCCTGGTAAGCTCTCTGCACTTGAGAAATTATCATTCTGGGTGATTTGGGAAATGTTGGCCCACTGAGGGAAAAAAAAAGGTAAGATTGAAAGGGAAGAAGGAAGTTGTAGTAGACATCTTTTAGGGTATCATCCAGCTAAAGAGCCTGCCCTTTCTTTTGGTGTTTGATACTAGATTTGCGAGGAATAAGCCACCCAGCTTTGTATTAATATAAGCCCCTGTACTCTTGGCGATAACTCCTTGGTTTCTTGTTACATACATATATGTTGGCAGGAATTTCTTTCTTGGGATTTTGGAATCAGGATGCAAAGACAGCTGGCATACATGTAGATGAGAATGGGACAGTAACAACAAAATTTAGGAGCTGAGAATAGAAACTTCTGCCCTGTGAATAAAGGAGGGAGAATGCAGATCTACATAGAATGAAAGGAAGGAAGCAGAGTTTAGCGAGCAGAAGAAATATGAGATGAGTCTGCTGGGTTCTTGTTCCTTCCAGGTGAAGTGGTAGTGGAATGCTTCCACTGGAGCCAAGTAGAAAGTGAGACCTCCCCAAGTCACAAAGAGAGAGAGAGCGAGGGAGAGGTGTATCCCCATGGGAAAACCAGAGGGTCATTGCCAGAGGATGGGAGAATGAATGTCAGGAAAACAAAACAAAGGAGGTTCTCTGCAGTCAGAGAGGCAAAGGGAGAATTTTTAAATAAAAGAAAGTTTTTCTGATTATCCGACTAAAGTTACAAGTCATTGTAGAATTGGAATTAAAATTGTTTGAAAAGATGTTTAAATGTAAGTGATAAGTACACTACTATTTTCTTGCTCCTTATTAACATTGATTTTGTGATCATTTGATCAGGATTAGGGTGATATTTTCCTCATGTATATAGTATATGTAGAAAGGATTCTTTCTAATGAACTGTGAAATTGTGACATAAGAGGGTTCCTGTTTACCCACTTAAGCAAATGCTTCAGGAGGCAGTTTAGTAATATCCATTACTTCGTGCATATATTGCTAATGATTACAAATGTGTTTTTCTGGCACACTTTGAAGGGTAAAACAATATTTAGTAATTTAAACCTTCAGGTGTCATTTCCTGCAGTTATTTTGATTTGGTAAATTTCTACTTGGCCATCATCCATTTTTGATTCTCTAGCAAGTTGTGGGAGACTTTGGTTTTGAACAACTGTCAAATAATTTATATACACTCTTTAAAGAATGATTGGATATTAGGGATGAGGATATGTCCTTATCTTTTGCTTCCCTGGACAGTTACCCATTTCTGTTCATCATAATATTGCCATCTGCTTCCATGAGTATAAAAAGTCATGCAAGGAGACAGTCAGACAGGTCTTGTTTGATAATGGTCATTTGTGGCCTTCTCTGCTTGTAAGAAGGCTCGGAGGGCTCTGTGACCTTCACAATGGTAGACATTTAACCACAGAAACAATGTGAGTAGAAAACATAAGCAGAGAGCCAAGAGGGAAATTTAATTTCTGGCTTACTTTTTACATGAGAGATCAAGACATGACTAAGCATATCGCCCAAGCTTGCTTATGAATAGCCAGATAGACACAGACCTAGGATCCAGCTGGGAGTTTTCTAACCTGGCCACTTTTATACCTGCATTGGGTGTGGCCACTCTGAGAACCGCAGTAGCTTTTTTCACCTCGTCTTACAGAGGGCAGCCTGGATCATGTTCAGTGTTCATTCTCCTGCCTAACCCACTCTGACCACTGTGGTAACCCTCTGAGTGCCTCACCCTTCCTTTTCCTAGTAAACATAGTGGATACCACAGCTTATTCCCTGACAGGGGTCCTGTCTGAGGGGCCACCTGGGAGTAGTCAGCACCAGTGCCTTGGGCCTCTGTTTCTTCAGCAACGGCAAAATGTACTTGGGTGACAACAGTCTGCCTTTGAAATAACTGGAGAGCAGTGAATTGCTTGAGCCGTGGATTGTCTGCATGCAGATATGGACCCAGGCATCCAGAAGAGAGATAGCTCAAGAGGCCTGGGGGAAATAAGATTTGACCTATTTAGAAAGGAGTAGAAGCATTGAGAGGGAGGTCTTTGAGGAGAGGTGGGAAAGCTTTCAGTGGGAAGAACTGCATGACCCAATACAGAACTGGAAATATTAACAATGTAAGTAGTCCTTGAGCCCTCATGTCATGCAGGGCACTGTGCCACATGTTTGACATGCACTATCTCATTTAATCCCTTGATCTTCAGTCCAGTGCTCTACCTCTGAGCTGTACCCTCTCCTTCATTTAATCCCTATAGGTAAGTGCCCTTATCATTCTCATTTCAGTGCAGAGGAAAGCTCAGGGAGGTGAACTGGTTTGCCACATATCACAAAGTTCATAAGGGGCAGAGGCTGGAGTACATCAAACAGATATAGCTACAAAGAGGTGGAAAGGCTGGCCTTGCCATCACCAAGAGTTTGTGTCATATAGAGCTGCCCTGCAGTAATAGCTAGCACAACTGTACAGCTACAGAAGTGTAAAGCTGTACAAAGAAGGGTTACCTTTACAGCATTTCCCTAGCTTAGTGAAAAGGCAAGTCTTGAACTCTCACGATTTCCAGGAGCTGCGGTGCTCTATTGTTGAGTCATTTGAAATTCATTTTCACCCCGTTCCCTAAAAAACCTCAGTAATATCAACACATCAGTGCACACACACAGGCACACACATACACACACTCTCTCACTCATTCATGAGAAAAAGAAAGATTTGTTCTGAGGAATTGGCTCATTCCAATTATGGAGGCCAAGACGTCCTGCAATCTACAGTCTGCAAGTTGGAGACCCGGGAAAGCCAGTTTGTGTAATTCAGTACAAGTCTGAAGGCCTGAGAACCAGAGGTGTAAATCCTAGCCCAAGGTTAGGAGAAGATGAGCTGAGTTGTCCCAGCTCACCAGTGAGGCAGAAAAAATAAGAGGAGGAAGACAGATGCCTTCTTCCTCTGGCTTTGGTTCAGGCCCTCTGTGACTGAATGATGCCCACCCACACTGGGGAAGGCAGGCTGTCTTATCAAGTATGCTGATTTGCATGTGAATCTCAGTCAGAAACACCCTCACAGATGCATCTAGAAATGTTTATTCTTGGCATCCTGTGGCCCAGTCAGGTTGACACATAAAGTTAATCATCAGACATATACCTACTGGATGCCTATGATTTGTTAAGCAAAACCAAAACCACATTCTGCAGGGCACAGCTGATGATGTCCTTCTCACTTTTCCTCACTCAGGAACAACTGAAACAGGTGGCACCTTCGGAGACAAGATGGAGGCAGGATAGGGGAGGGGATGAGGATATAGACCATGGAGACTGACAGACCTGGGCCTTGATCCCAGTGCCACAGTTTCTTCATATAGAAGAGGAGGAGGATAATGCCAATCTCATGGGGGTGGATATAACAAGGAACAAGCAAAACCCCCAAAGGTGTTGATGCCTAAACATGCAGTATATTAAGTGCCTAGTAAATATTACTAAAGCAGTATTGCCAGGAGAATCAGTTTATTCCTTTCTAAGTTTGGTTAGAGGTGTTTCCAGATTTAGTCAAAGCAATCCAGTGGGTCAGCCCAGGAGCGAGTTCTGGAGCTCACAGCTCTGATGTGCAGGCCACTGACTGTTCTCACTACCTCATGCTCCATTATTAAAGAGTCCCATAGAGGGAGAGCATGTTCAAACAACCAAATCGTACTTAGATACACAAAAGTCTGATAAATTAGGGAAGTATTGGGAATGGTCTCATTTATAAGTGTTTTCCATTGGCTTCTTTTAGATACGAAGCTTTTTTGTGCTTTAATTCTTTTTCAAATTAAAGAACATGAATTTATGCACACCAGTTTTCTAATCTGTCCTCAGCATATCTAGCCAGTGTTATTTTTAACCACCGTTATTTGGCACATCATCTAATAGAGGTGGGCTGCTCATATCGCAGGCCCCTTCTATTTTCTGTGAAGTTCTCTCCTCTATACCCTGAACATTCTAATTCCTCCCATTGGAAGCATCCCGTCTTCCTCCTGTCTGATCACACCCTCCCTTTTCTTCAAGACTCTGTTTAAGATCCACGTGTTCTAAGAAGCCCTCATTTTGGGCCAGAGTCCTCTCCACCTGCTCTGATATTTGAAAATCGCATATGATATTCTTGAAAGCTTTAGAGCTCCAAAAAGCCTTCATCACTAAGCAAAGTGACTATAGCCCAAAGGTTCTGACTATCTGCGTGGCTATGCTGATCGAGAAAGACTGAGGCAGACTTACTATGTCTTGGTGTCTCGCATAGGTTTTGAGGACAATTGAGATGCTGGAGATCATCAGCATCATGCCATTAGGAGATGGAAAGTCACCAAGAAGGAAAAGAAAAACACAGCATGTGCGCATGTGCAAACTTATTTATTTACTCAGTAAAGGGCATATAAGAAATCTATGCCAGGGAAGGTCAACAAGGGCAGTACCCTACTCTTTGATCATCATTTATCCAGGAAGCTCTTGATTTTTTTAAAAGAATAAAGCCCTAAACATTATGGAAATATACCTGTTTTCTGAGGTTTCATTAAATTATACTTAAGTTCATTTTTCATGTGAAAAATGTGCTTCAGGCTTCAATATGATGAATCGTTTCCTCCTGTGTGACAGTGGTGGAGGAAGTTAATTTAGCACTGCCGCAGTAGTCCTGGTTGTCTCCTATTTTATTCTGGGGCTGTTGATTAATAGGATTACACTGGAGTGATTACAGCTGCCAATTTGTTTATCCCATCACTGGGGTCAGCGCTGAGGATCTTATTTCAGGTTTCTCTGGTTTTGAAACCTGGTTTGTCATGTTTGTAATGTAATAAACTTCTGCTGTATCATCACCCTTTGGAGTGTTCAACTAAGCTAAATGAACTCTCGAGCCATCCATGTTATGGGAATTTGAGTCATTTGTTCACAAAGTATTGATTGAGCACCAGTGGTGAGCAATATCTTATACTGTGCTGAGAAAATCAAGGCCATTGCACTTGATGCAAAGGGGGAGGCCAATTTATACTTTGGGAACCTGAGTATTGGCAAAGTGTAAGCAGTGGGAGATGGGGAGGCAACATGGTAAGTGACTAATACCTATCTAGGCTTTAGTATCATCAATAATAAAGTAAATAATTAGACCAAATAATTTTTTTGTATTTATTCAGATTGTGGAACACTTTGCCATTTTGTGGAGTGTCAAGAAATACTGACACTTAGTTCCACTATGTAAACTAGGAGATATATTTTATAAGTATGTATCTGCTGTATGATCCTGAGCATGGCATACTTAAAAATATGAGCTGCTGTGTCTAGGGAGCAGTACTTCCCTTAGACCTGGGCAAATGGGGCCTCTGCCCCAGGCCTTATCAATTGGGGTGTCTTGTGCCTTGACTGTGTCTTCCTTGAAATTTTCTAAATTCCCCTATGATGTCTGGAATGGTCCAGGGTTGGTAGTGCCATCCAGTCAGGGTGTCCTGAACCTGGGTTGGAACATGCATGGGCCTCCGTCTCCTTTTTTCCTTTTGGAAGTATTTGGAGCTCTCCACCACACATGACAGATTAACCAGATATCCTGAGGACCTGTGGAATTTGCACCTATGGTATCATCCCAGGGTTCCATGGCTGGACTCAAATGCCAGGACTCTGGTTTCAAAGGGTATCTTGGTAAGTTGATCACTCCTGCAAGCCCATGTAGTATTTCCTTTGTGAGCTCACACAAGATTAGGCTACGAGCATGGTGCCCATGTGATTGATGTGATCATTCCAGGTAACTCTCACATATGTACACAGGATGAGCTCAGGGCCCTGCAGTACCCCTGGCACACTACCATCCCTTAGACCTGAGCCATGTATACGGACCTATATACTGGCTCTTGCTTACCCATGTTGTGACTGCAGGTTCATCTCCATTCGGCAGTACAGAAGGCAGCAAGATTGGAGACAAGCGTCCTTTACCCATAACCCCCCAGCTGCTGACAATAAGGAAAGTTGCCCCATCCTCTCCATACTACATGTTGGGCCATGCCTGGTAGTGGCTGCACCTATTTCCTCATAAGCATTTTTAGACTGTGGCTCTGCAGTGCCAATGGGTCCTCCCAGCTGATATCCTCTCTTGCCTCTGATCGATGTGGTGACATCATACTCTCCCAACTTGGTCTTAAGGTATGTTGGATAAGCGAGAGACATTTCTTGCCCCCATGGAAACACTCCTTTTACCCCCACCTGGGTGGCTGTGTGTGGAAGGCAACAGTGTGTTCAACACTGAAAAAGATCACACTTTAATAATGCCAGGATTATGTTCTTAAGAGTTCAAAGAAGACAAGGGATTGGAGGATGTTTGTTCTGTTTTACACCATACAATTTTGAAGAGTAAATTTAACACAATCAAAGAACAAATTATCATTTACATTTTTGTGCATCCTCTGAGTGAGACTTGCATGTGTAGGCATTGTCAGTAAAGCACAATAACAACTTTTGTGAGAGTCATTAGAAGCCAGTATTTATAGGCAGCACAATGAATGATGTGGTGTTAGGAGTAATAATGTAATCAGCATTAAATAAATGGAGTTAGGGAACTGAAGAGGCAAGCAGGCCTACATTTTTAAGAATCTGAATAGGTTTGAAGAGCCATGGCATTGTGAGTAATAACAGCATTGCTACCTTTTTCTCCCAGAAGGCAGTATGAAAGAGCCAGGAATTAGGCATATGACAATAAAGAATGTGAATTGATGATTCCTCTTCCTGGACAGGAAGAGATGGTGCTTTAACACTAAGAAGAATCTTCATATGCACTGATTGGAAAAGAAACCAATATATATCTCTTTTCTACTCATTATTCTGTCCTTTCATTGAAAAATCACTATACCTTATACGAGCCCATGAATTCCTATTACGTTTTAAAGATCAAACTGCTAGTATAAGACAAGGCCCTGCAAAATTATTTGCCAAGTGTCCTTCACTCCCTAGGGATGTCTTTGTTGGGTAGGATACTTAGTGGTACTCAGGAAATAAGATGCTCTCTGTGCTGCCCATTGGATAATTTGTTTTGAGCTTGGACTCAAAGCTGGAATTAATTCTCCCCAACAAAAAAGGAGAGGAATATGAAGCACCCTATTTCTCAACAGAAAGAGAAAACAAACGAGGAAGAGGGTGAGGGATAGAGAGAGCAGGAGACACCTGGAAGAGAAGGCTGCTTGGCTGCAGACATAGAAGAGAAATCACCCCTGGGATGGGAAGTTCTTGTTTATCTAAGAACACTGGAGGAAAGCAAATTCTTGTAAGTAGAAGAAGAACACGCTATATTTTAAAATATCTGCATTATGTAGTTAGGAACACAGAGATTTAGCATTTTCTGTAATGTAACCAGGAGGTTTTGGAGAATGACAAGTGGATCCATCCCAGAGCAGACTTAATGTGTGACAGATGACAGTGTGAGAGACAGTATATAAGGACGGTAGAAAATGAATGATGTGACACAAAGATAAATCCATGTTATCAGTGCACCAGGCACCACTCTTACTGAGGCAGTGTTTTTTTTGCCCAGATATCTTATATCTCTAATTCACTGTAATTTTTCAAATAATTATTGACAGATTCTTTACTCACATTTGCTGCTGTATTGTATCCACTTTTTTTCTGTGCTTGGAGGTTTGCATGTATTCAAAGCAAGCAGGTGCATCCTTAGTATAACATCACTTACTTTGAGTTCTAATACTGTAAGAGGTACATTTTCTTAATTTTTTTTTTTTTTTTTTTTTTTTTTTTTGAGACAGAGTCTCGCTCTGTTGCCCAGGCTGGAGTGCAGTGGCGCGATCTCGGCTCACTGCAAGCTCCGCCTCCCGGGTTCACGCCATTCTCCTGTCTCAGCCTCCCGCGTAGCTGGGACTACAGGCGCCCGCCACCACGCCCGGCTAATTTTTTGTGTTTTTTAGTAGAGACGGGGTTTCACTGTGTTAGCCAGAATGGTCTCGATCTCCTGACCTCGTGATCCGCCCGCCTCGGCCTCCCAAAGTGCTGGGATTACAGGCGTGAGCCACCGCGCCCGGCCTCATTTTCTTAATTTTTTTGTCAGATCAAATAAAAAGGTCCCTCTTGTCTTCAGCTTTTTTCATAAGCATCAGCAGATTTTTGACTTTGATATTCTAGATTCATGTCAGTCTGTTTTATTTCTCTTACACTGTATGCTCCTACTTCCTTTTTCAAATACATGCCTGTGAAACTTTGTCCCCTTGGGGACTCCCTGTGCAGCCACCTTGGTTTCTTGATGCTCTTACTAATTGCAATTGTGGGCTACACCAGGTCTTGTCAGTTACACAGCTGCTTTTTCAACTTGTCTGACCCTTACTGCCTTCTTTCCTTCCCAAATTTTTGCAACAAGAATGTTGTTTTACACAGAAAAAGCTAAATCTCAGTAATCAAGGTGTCATAAATACCTCATGCTTGTTACGGTTTATAACATATATATTTGGGTATAGTTTTCATTGAATTCTTCCATTTTCTGCTAGTTTGATCAGCCAAGTTGTTTGTCATCATAATGGCAGGTTTGAGGTCAGGATGATAAATGGATTGAAATTATCAAAGGGATAACTTCAAAAAGGTTTTGGACATTCAAATAAAAGGAAAGGAAAAGAACCTTTAGGGGACTCTTCATAAAACAAGTTCTTTCCCCAAATCACAAATAATTCTTGAACATTTGTTACTTTTCTTCAGAGATCTAGAAAGGAAAAATCACAGAACAAATGCCATGGATGTTTGCAAAACTGGAGTTCACTGTGGGCGGTGAGGTAAGGGACACCGTATGGAACTTGGAGAATCTTAATAAGTAGAAACTGCAGCCTCAAAAACCATGATCTGCCCCCCCTGGAATTTCCTGTGGGTGGTGAAGTAAGGGACATTGTGTGTGCCTTGGAGCATCAAAATTATTACAAGTAGAAGCTCTCACCTCTGTTAACTTCCCTTCCCACCACATTACCTGTCTGACCTCATCTCCCGTTACTCTCTCCCTTGTCTCTGCTCCAGTCCAGGCGGCATTTTCCCTGGTCTTTGGAAGACAGTTTGCCCTCAGGATGGCACAATTGCTGTCTCCTCTATTCTCAACATCTTTTCCAAGAAATTTACACTGTTTGCCTTCTCATTTCTTTCTGGTCTTCTATCAAATTGCTTCAGCTCAATGTAACCTTTTTTTCCTGTCCACATTATGTAAAATTGGTATACACCTCCAATACACACACTTTGTGTTATTCTTCTTGGCTTTATTTTTCTTCTCACTATTATCACATCTATCGTTAGAAATACTTTATTTATTTATCTTGTTAATTTTTCCTTCTCATTCACCAGAGGTAAGCTTTGGAGGAAGAAGATATTTTCTGTTCTGATCATTGCTGTGTCCTCAGTCAATACAGTAGTACCTGAGACACAGCCCTGAATAAATGTTTGTTGAATGAATAAATAAAACCTCAACTAAAAGGGGCAATTGGTTACCTAAAATTTTGCTCTAATTTGTATATATTGGAGAAATCGTGTTATAATAGAATATGTTAAACTTAGGGGTTTCTTCCCCCCAAATTTAACTTTTTGTACCCTCATGGTAGGTGTTAGACTAAAAGTTAAACAAATAAAAACTCCAGTGTTTACCCACCATCTTTAAAAGTCTTGATGAAACTGTGTAGCACTTTTCTTTGGAGGGTGGGACTACTTTCCCACTGTAGTTTTGGAGTCTCAGCTGAAATTAAGACAGGAAGTTTCATTTTATATCCTGTTGCATTAGTATTAACATATTTTTAAATTCATGCTAATCAGCATCATTGGTATAAAATGGAATAAAATGAATTTGTAGGGAGTGTTGCTCCCATGTATATTCTAAAGCAAGTAGGAAAGCTCTCCACTTTTATCACCTTGCTTTCTACTCTACAACTTCCTAAAAAAAATCTATTCTCCCACAGTTCTAGAGGCTGGAAGTCCAAGATCAAGGCGTCCACAGGGTCATACACCCTTTGAGACTTGTAGGGTGCATTAGTTTGCTAGGGCTACCATAAGTACCATGGATGTGGTGATTTACACAGAGATTTATTTTCTTACAGTTCTGGAGGTTAGAAGTGTGAGATCAATGATTGGTTTATTCTGAGGCCTCTCTCTTTGTCTTGTAGGTGGCTGTCTTCTCCCTGTGTCTTTACAGCATCTTCCCTCCATATGTGTCTGTGTCCAAATTTCCTCTTATAAGTACAGCAATCATAGTGGATTGGGGCCCATCCTAATGCTTCATTTTAACTTAATTACCTCTTAAAGGCCCTATCTCCAAACAGTCACAAAGGTACTGGAGGTTTGAACTTCAGCACATGAATTTTGGGAGGACACAATTCAGCCCATAACAAAGGGTATCCTTCCTATGTTCTGTTGGTTTTCTAGCAATCTTTGGCATTCCTTGGGTTATACATACATAACACCAATCTTCCATCTTTATGTGATATTCTCCTGGTGTCTCTTCACATCATTTTCCAGCTGTGAGCATCTGTTTCTCTGTTCAAGTCACCCCCTTTCATAAGGACACCAGTGATACTGGATTAGGTCCCATCCTAATGAACTCATTTTAACTTAATTAGCCCTGGAAAGACCCTATTGCTGAATAAGGTCACTATATTACTCTGTTCTCAGGCTGCTAATAAAGACACACTCAAGACTGGGTAATTTATAAAGGAAAAAGTTTAATTGACTCACAGTTCAGCATGGCTGGGGAGGCCTCAGGAAACTTACAGTCATGGCAGAAGGGGAAGCAAACATGGCCTTCTTCATATGGCAGCAGCAAGCAGAAGAATGAGTGCCCAGTATAGGGGGAAGCCCCTTATAAAATCATCAGATCTTGTGAGAACTAACTCATTCTCATGAGAACAGGATGTAGGAATCCTCCCGCATGATTCAATTATCTCCACCGTGTCCCTCCCATGGCACATGGGGATTATGGGAACTACAATTCAAGATGAATTATGGGTGGGGACACAGCCAAACCATATCATTCTACCTCTGGCTTCTCCCAAATCTCATGTCCTCACATTTCAAAACCAATTATGCCTTTCCAACAAAGCCTTAACTCATTCCCCCAAAGCCTTAACTCATTAAGGAATTAACTCAAAAGTCCACAGTCCAAAGTCTCATCTGAGACAAGGCAAGTCCCTTCCACCTATGAGCCTGTAAAATCAAAAGCAAGTTAGTTACTTCCTAGATACAATGGGGGTACAGGCATTGAGTGAACACACCCATTCCAAATGGGAGAAATTGGCCAAAACAAAGGGGTTATTGGCTCCACGCAAGTCCAGAATCCAAAAAGGCAGTCATTAAACCTTAAAGTTCCAAAATGATCTCCTTTGACTCCATGTCTGATATCCAGGTCGCGCTGATGCAAGAGATGGGCTCCCATAGCCTTGGGAAGCTTTGCTCCTGTGGCTTTGCAGGGTACAGCCTCCCTTCCGGTTGCTTTCATGAGCTGGCATTGAGCGTCTGAGACTTTTCCAGGTGCATGGTGCAAGCTGTCAGTGAATCTACCATTCTGGGGTCTAGAGGATGGTGGCCCTCTTCTCACAGCCCCACTAAGCATTGTAGTGGGAACTCTGTGTAGGGGCTGGGGGCTCCGGCTCCACATTTTCCTTCTGCACTGCCCTGGAAGAGGTTCTCTGTGAGGGCTCTACCCCTGAAACAGACTTCTGCCTGAACATGCAGGCGTTTCCGTACATCCTGAGAAATCTAAGTGGAGGTTCCCCAACGTCAGTGCTTGACTTTTGTATACCTGCAGGCTCAACAACACGTGGAAGCTTGCACCCTCTGAAGCCATGACTCGAGCTGCACCTTGGCGTCTTTTAGCCACAGCTGGAGTGTCTGGGATGCAGGGCACCAAGTCGCTAGGCTGCACACAGCAGGGGAGCCCTCGGCCTGGCCTACAAAACCATTTTTTCCTCCTAGGCCTCTGGCCATGTGATGGGAGGGGCTGCTGGGAAGGTTTCTGATGTGCCCTGGAGACATTTCCTCCATTGGCTTGGTGATTAACATTCAGCTCCTTGTTTTTTATGCAAATTTCTGCAGCTGATTTGAATTTCTCCCCAGAAAATGGGTTCTTGTTTTCTATTGCCTCATCAGGCTGCAATTTTTCCAAACTTTTATGCTCTGCTTTCTCTTGAATGCTTTGCTACTTAGAAATTTCTTCCACCAGATACTCTAAATCATCTCTCTCAAATTCAAAGTTCCACAGATCTTTAGGGCAGGGGCAAAAATGCCTCCAATCTCTTTGCTGAAACACAGCAAGAGTCACCTTTATTCCAGTTCCCAACAAGTTTCTTATCTCCATCTCAGACCACCTCAGCTTGGACTTTATTGTGTATATCACTATAAGCATTTTGGCCAAAGCCACTCAACAAATCTCTAGGAAGTTCCAAACTGTCCCACATCTTCCTGTCTTCTTCTGAGCCCTCCAAACTGTTCCAGCCTCTGCTTGTTACCCAGTTCTAAAGTTGCTTCCACATTTTTGAGTATCTTTATAACAGCACCCCACTACCTGGTACCAATTTACTGTATTATTCTGTTCTAGTTCTGCTAATAAAGACATACTCAGGACTGGGTAATTTATAAAGGAAAGAGGCTTAATTGACTCACAGTTCAGCGTGGCTGGGGAGGCCTCAGGAAATTTACAATCTTGATGAAAGGGGAAGTAAATATGGCCTTCTTCACATGGCAACAGCAAGGAGAAGAATGAGTGCCCAGTGGAAGGGGAAGCCCCTTACAAAATAATCAGATTTCATGGGAACTAACTCACTATCGTGAGAACAGGCTGGGAGAAACTGCCTCCATGATTTGATTATCTCCACCTAGTCTCTCGCATGACATGTGGGGATTATGGGAACTACAATTCAAGATGAAATTTGGGTGGGGACACAGCCAAACCATTTCAGTCACATTCTTAACTCTAGTGGTTAGGATTTCAACATATCATTTTCAAGACATAATTTAACTCATAACAGTAATTGTAATAATTCATGTTTTATTTGGAACTCATGTTAAGCTGAGACATTGAAGCTATGTTTAGGGTCTGCCTGCTTTCCCTCACAGGATCATTAACACTAAATTAGTCTGGATTCCATACTTGGGTTAATTTCTAACTGATACTTAAAATCAGAGAATGAAATTAAAAAAATCCTAAAGACAATTTCAGTAAATCTGCATGTTATTTGAGCTTAGATTCATTAATTCCCACAAGCCTACTCCAAATTCAGATTAATATTTAATTCTCTTATCTTGGAAAAGTAAAACTGTGTAATTTTCTAGGTAAATAAAAAGAATCATTGTGTTATGCTACATGTATTGGTCAAGGTCCTCCTTGAAAACAGATAGTACATTCAAATTAGGATAATTATAGGAGGATTTAATAAAGGATAATTTACAAAGATAAGGGTTTGATAGCCTGACTAACAACAGTGGAGTTGTTACCACCCCTAGATCTTAAGGAAGGTGAAATAATGGAGTCAGAAGGATAGAGTAGCAGTTGTCTTTGTTTGTGGGATACAGAAAGGAATGAGGAAGATAGGTTCCCCACCCCTTACTCTCCTTTTCTCCCTTAACTCCTGCTGTAGCTTTCCATTAGCCAAACCCAGCTGGTATCCAAAGTAACTGATGTAATCCATACACATGAGGCTTCTAAGACAGAGGGTGAGGAAAGTCTTCTGTTTGAAACCCAACAAAGAGAATACAAAAAATTTCTTCTGCTACCTTATCAGGATTGTTTCCAATATGGTCATATTTCCACGTAAAACCTAAAGATTAGCTGCCACTGACGCTCTTCATATAAGGTAACAAGAAGAAAAAGGGAAAGAGAGTTAGGAAAACATAGCTGCTAAATTCCCTAATTCTGTCTGTGGTCACAAAACCTTCTTCCATCCTAATCATAGAAGTCTTTTGAACCATCCATTCCATGTTCCCCTTAACTCTTCTGTAACTTCAGCTGGATGGTGTTCTGTGTACCCATCTGGTGACCCAGTCCTCCGGTATTGGGAACAGGATTGGACAAGGAAAGACAGAGGTGACGAAGTGAATACCTGAGTTTCACACGTGGTCCTCTATTGTGTGGCAGCAACCCAATTTCCTCCTTGTCAGGGTCAATAATCTTGGCCATTGTGGAGACCTGCATCATAGACTGTTGGCTCAGTGGCATGAAGAATCCAAAATGGATCTGAGGACATTTGTTTTCATTTGATTCTTCATAACTGTGTTTCCTGGTAGAATCCCTTCTTCTGTGGAGTCTAGGACCTCCAAACACATCAAGCCCAAAATTCTTCCATAGGGTTATTAGGTATAATTGCTAGAGGAGTCACTCCCATCTCTACTCTTGTTTCTAACCTCATTCATTCTGGCAGTGGGGGAGAGAGCACTGAATGTTGGCTATTGCTTTAAGACATAACCTCATCCTATGGAACATCACCTTCCTCCCTAGTATACCAGCTCCTGCTATCATTTAAGAATGCGAAGCACTTTCTTTCTATCATTTTCTGGTTTTCTGGCATAGAGTTTAATAAATATATTCTTTAATTGTTTTACAAGCTATTTATTTTTTTCTTTTACAGAGTAGTTCTATTTCTTTCTGCTTTTCAGTTTATATATCCTTGGTTAGATATAGATCTACTCAAACCTATATTTCTCTAAGAGTAGGATGGTATATTTTCCTTAGCTTGCTTTCCAGTTACTTAAGCACTAGTAGAACTTAAGTGGGTCCAAAATGTGGCTCATGCCATCATTTTATTCGTTCAAGAAGTTGAGGACATGGGAAGAAATATGGGCTTTGGATCTTTCCGTTGGAATTACTTCAATAGGATCCAGATTTCTCTTGCTTGTCTACCAAAATTTGGACCTATTGCCTAGCTCTGTGAATTCAGATTCTGTAATTCTGCTTGTTTGACTATATGCCTGGTTGTTTTGCCATCTCAGCTTCATATTTACTGCCACCTCTTACTTGCAGAGTTAGATGTAGAGTTAGTCTGTTTTTGTGCCTATAGTCCATCTGGATCTTTTTATCTAGCTCTGTCTCTTCATCGCTACTCACTACATAAGAAAGGTTATATACTTCATAATTTTTTTTCCTCTTATGTCCCAACACTAATATAATCCATGCAGGCATAAAACCAAGGATAAAGGCAGACAGCCTCAAAGCATGTATGTATACATCTATGTCAAACACTGTATGTCTATTGATGCACATGCTTTTATATAACGCCTTGCACAGCAGTCATTCAAAAAAGCTCGGTGCTTTCATCTTACTACTCTGTCTGCATCAGATAGCTCAGAGAATTTGGCCTGAGTCTGGGACAAACTTCAAACTATGGTAAATGAGCAAACACTTTTCTGGGTCAAAAATAAAATGTGAACATCCAAAAGTAAATAGAAAACCTTTATGGTTATCCTGACAGCGTTCTTTTTTTTTCTAAGCCATTGAAAGCACAATTTTATTTTCTCTGAAAGCTCTTATTTATTTTATTTTATTTTTAAATGTTATTTTAAGTTCTGGGGTACATGTGCAGGATGTGCAGGTTTGTTAAATAGGTAAACACATACCATGGTGGTTTGCTGCACGAATTAACCCATCACCTAGGTATTAAGCCCTGCAAGCATTAGCTGGTTTTCCTGATGCTCTTCACCCCTGCCACCAACGGGTCTCAGTGTGTGTTGTCCTCCTGACCCCCATGTGTCCATGTGTTCTCATTGTTCAGCTCCCACTTATAAGTGAGAACATGCAGTGTTTGGTTTTCTGTTCCTGTTAATTTGCTGAGGATAATGACTTCCAGCTCCTTCCATGTCTCTGCAAAGTACATAATCTAGTTCTTTTTTATGGCTGCATAGTATTCCATGGTGTATGTGTACCACATTTTATTTATCCAGTGTCTGTCACTGATGGTTATTTGGATTGATTCCATGTCTTTGCTATTGTGAATAGTGCTGCACTGAACACACGCATGCATATATCATCATAATAAAATGATTGAAATTCCTTTGGGTATATACCCAGTAATGGGATTGCTGGGTCAAATGGTATTTCTGGTTCTGTGTCTGAGGAATTGCCATACTGTCTTCTACAATGGTTGAACTAATTTACAAACCCACCAACAGTGTAAAAGTGTTCCTTTTTCTTCACAACCTCAACAACATCTGTTGTTTCTTGATTTTTTAATAATCACTATCTGACTGGCATAAGATGGTATCTCATTGTGGTTTTGATTTGCATTTCTCTAATGATCAGTGAAGCTGAACTTTTTTTCCTATTCTTGTTGGCCACATAAATGTCTTCTTTTAAAAGTATTTGTTCATGTCCTTTGCCCACTTTTTAATGGGGTTGTTTGTTTTTTTCTTGTAAATTTGTCTAAGTTCCTTGTAGATTCTGGATATTAGACGTTTTGTCAGACGGATAGATTGCAAAAAATTTTCTCCCATTCTGTAGTTTGTCTGTTCACTCTGATAATAGTTTCTTTTGCTGTGCAGAAGCTCTTTAGTTTAATTAGATCCCATTTGTCAATTTTGGCTTTTGTTGCAATTGCTTTTGACATTTGTGTCATGAAATCTTTGATCATGCCTATGTCCTGAATGGTAGTGCCTAGATTTTCTTCTAGGGCTTTTATGGTTTTGGGTTTTACATTTAAGTCTTTAATCCCTCTTGAGTTAATTTTTGTGCAAGGTGTAAGGAAGGGGTCCTGTTTCAATTGTCTGTATATGACTAGCCAGTTCTCCCAGCTCCATTTATGAAATAGGAACTCATTTCCCCATTGCTTGTTTTTGCTGGGTTTGTCGAAGATCAGATGGTTGTAGATGGGCTATCTTATTTCTGAGTTCTCTGTTCTGTTCCATTGCTGACAGGATTCTTAAAATCATAAGTTTAAATCCTGATAATACACTTTACTTTTCTTTTTATAAAATTAAGGAAGTAGTTTTGGATGAGAATACATATAATTTTTAACATCTAACATCTTGGTTTTTAAAGAAGCATAGACTCTAATGGTTCATTATTATTTCAAATTGTTTTAATGGAGCCTAGCAACATAAATTGAAATGATTGAGGGATAAAAGCATAATTATAAACAGTAAAAGCATCAAATTAAAAGCCATAAAAAGTAGTCTTAGGTAAGGTCTTGTTTAATTTCTTTCTGTATACTGTATTAGGCAGGAGAAATGGCTTGCTAATACACTTCATGCAAACTAGTACATTTTGCATCATGATTATACGAATCAAACATAACTGCAGAAGGTCAGACTTAGTTAATTTATGATCAAACTATTGTAAAAGATGCCTCCAGACATGAGCACTGATGATGTATTAACAGGGACCTTTTATACACCCTAATCAAGTGGGAATGGAGAGAGAAAGAGAGGGATTCTTCTACCCATATTCCCAAAGTATCTAATACTGATTAGAATTATTTTAAAACCTGAGAAACCAGTTATTTTTTGTGGTTTTACTGAGCCTAAATTTAGGAAACATAATTAATGAATGTCTATGTAATTAGGGCATTAGTTGGAGACTGATAATTATCAGATTCTATAATTTATAATGGTTTCTGATTCCCATCAGATTTTTTTTTTGTGGGTTCCTCTATTTTTATTTTAGAACCACTAGAAGTATAATATACACTAGAGAATAGGCTGATACAGTCCAAGGAATTTAATTTTTATGATTCTTTTCATACCATGTGATTTAGCTGTCCTTTTACTTTTAAAGTGCCTTCTTAAAATTATAATGATAATAGTAGTTGTAATTTTTCTTTGCATAGGCAGTGACTAGGCTTAGAGTATAATTGCTGATGTTCCTTGTAATTACTTTGTTTGGGGAACAAAAAGTCAGGGAGCTCAACTCTGTGTGTTACCTGGGCCATTAATCCACCCTGTACCACGGAGACAGGGAAATGAGTGCTGTGTTGGTCACTTCTCTGGGAGCATTGTTTTTTGGGATTCCAGAATCCCACAGCTTCCATCAGGGCTGGTAAAACCTCATCCTTTTGGTTACCTCTTGGCTGTCACTTTGTGATCTGTAAAAGCTGCTCTAGAGTTAGCTAAAAGCAATTCAGGTCTTTATATGGGGAATCAGATTATAAATAAGTGAAGATCCTAACAGTTACTGAAAACAAATGTTAACACTAATACTACATTCTTCAGATTATCAATGCTTACCCTTGTTGTATGTATCTTTACCAAGTAAGGAGTCCGATGGTATTTTACAAATCGTTAAAAATGCACAGATTCTGATTTCTGTATCATAAGAGATAGCCAATATATTTCTAGTTTGTTATTATACAGAGGCAGCTTGTTTAATTTGGTCTTTTGAACCCATTTAAGGGGCACATTTGCCTAATTATACAATTATATTGCTTCTTCTCTGTATTGGCTGGATGCAGTTCATCAGGAGGTCTCTTCTCCCATTTCCACATGGCAACTGGGCCACGGGTATCCCTGCTCCTAAATTTATCTTGAGATATTATTTTACCAGCCCCCACTTCCCACCTGGTGCTAGGGGAAGCTCAGGGCTAAGGCCGGCTTTTTTTTCTCTTCCCCTCTTTCTCCAGGCTAGTTACTCTCTCCTAGGAAGGATTTTTTAAATTACCATCTAGTATAGCAGGAATTTCACAGCTTATGGGAAAAGCCATACGCTTGGCCCTCTTAGCTTGGGTCCTTAATATTTATTGGGAAACTTTTTGAATTTAGAAAACTTTTTTTTTTCTGGTAAGTATAAGGGTCTAGCAATTGAAAGCTTGACTTATATGTTGTTTCTTCTGAAATAGGCTAAATTTAAGAACCTATTTTGCAATACTTTAACTTTGCAATCCAACCATGATTTATTTATTTATTTATTTATTTATTTATTTATTTATTTATTTATTTATTTTGTCTCCTAGGCTGGAGTGCAGTGGTGCGATCTCAGCTCACTGCAACCTCCGCCCTCCGAGTTCAAGCCATTCTCCTGCCTAAGCCTCCCGAATAGCTGGGATTACAGGCGCCTGCCACGGCTCCCGGCAAATTTTTTGTATTTTTGGTAGAGACGGAGTTTCACCATCTTGGCCAGGCTGGTCTTCAACTCCTGACCTCGTGATCCATCCGTCTTGGTCTCCCAAAGTGCTGGAATTACAGGCGTGAGCCACCGCACCCAGCCCAGCCGTGATAATTCTTATCTTCCTTACAGTAATGCGTTTCTCTTGCTGAACAGAAGGAGAGCCAAGAACAAGAAAATGTGAAAGAGCAAAGTACATTATTCAGGGTAGCTCTATTCCAAAATAATAGGAAAAGCATGGAATTTAAAGATTCTGTTTAAAGATAGGGCATGAACCCATGTATCCAGCATACATATGTAATACATACCTCCCAAATTACTTTCTAAAACTCTAGTAAAATAAAGAAATGTAGAAAGATTTTTAAAAGGCATAAGATGGAGATGAAAAGGAAAGGCAACAACGTCAGAAGCATTTTAAGAATAAGACAAGGAGTGTAGATCTGGGAGAGCTGAAGCTTAAGCCAATAGCGAAGAAACACGGCACCCTAATTTGCACAGAAGGTCCCCAGAATGCTCAGGAATTGTTAACCTTAGATGTCCAGAAAGTGAGGGTGAAGGTGGAGATAAAAACAAGAGAATTGGACGCAAGGCTCTTAAGGAAGCAGTTTCACTCTTTATTCAACACTGTCCCTACTCCAACCCGATAGTAAATTGAAGATTTTTCTCTGTAGATAATAAACTAGGTGTTGCTAAACTGGGCACATATGAAGGAAGAGAACCAAACTGAAACAGGATTATTTAGTGAAAGTTTGCATCTAAATATTAAGACCCCCCAACCCGACTCCAAACAGTCATCTTTTCCCACTGGATTCCCAGAATTTGAGTAATTAGAAATTATTTTCTGGGATTTCCAACAAGCCTAACATACAACATCTAAAAATACCAATATCAGGGTTTCTTAAATGAAACAGACTAGCTACATGCCCGTGTATAAAGCCCACGGTTGAGCATCCATCCCACAGAATTTCCAGTTAGTTTTTCTGATGTGAGCAGATAGGCAATAGTTAACAGACATCTGAGGAAATGTCGAATGTTAAATACAGAAATTAAACAAAAAGAAATCTACTGGAAACAGAGACTGTGAAAGTGAACACTTTGAAATATGGATTATTAATATTCTCAGAGATAAGAAAAAATACTGGATCTGTGAAACATGAACACAATGTGATCTTTAAAAGAATATTCAGAGAAAAGCTCTTGGAAATTAATATATACGTGTGGAAAATTGGAGATAAAAGAAATGTAAGTTTAGGAATTCAGAGGTGGAAAGATACTGTCTGAAAAATAAGAGCTACATAAAGAAGGAACAGAGAAAATGGAGGGGAGGAGAACATTGAAATTAATTCAAGAAAAATTTCCAGAATTAAAGAATTGAGTTACCAGATTGAAAGGGCCAATTGAGTTCCCACAAAAATAGATGAAAATAGACTCAAACCAAAGCATAGCATCATGGAACAGAATACTAGAGACAAATAAAAGGACCTTGCAATAGCCTCTAGTTTAAGAGGTGGGAACACTAAGAGGTGATTAGGCCATGAGGGCTCTGCCATCATGAAGACTAATGCTATTATCATGGGAGTGGGGTTGCTATATCTTGAGAGTGGGTGGTTAGAACTGTGAGTTCAGCCCTCACGTGCTCACTTGCTCTTGTCCTCTTTTGCCTGTCTGCCTTCTGCCATGGGATGATGCAACACAGAGGGCTTTGCCAGATGCTTGTGCTGTGCTCTTAGACTTCCCTGCCTTCACAGCCATGAACCAAATAAATTTCTATTCATTATAAACTACTGGTCAAATGGTGTTTTCTAAATAGGATTATTTAATGAAGTAAATACCAAAAGAAATGGCTCAAAGATGGATAGGCAGTTCATGCTGGACAGTGGAACCTGGTGGAGGGAGGATCTATAAGAAACTAATATTTTTCTTCATAAGCCTTTTAGAATAATTTAACACTTAAACTCTGTATATCATTAATTTAAAAAATTGAAAACAGAAATGGCATGAAATTGGGAATAAGACAAACTATATTTCAATCACAAGACTGTAGTTTCTTTCTAGTGTGGCTTAACCTCTCTGAGCCTCCCTTTCTTCACAAGAAAAAGCATGACTAAATGTGATAGTTTCCATAAAGCACTTAATTATATTAAGTGAGAACCTTAAATAAGCTCTAGCAAGTGGCAGGCATTCAAGTTTGCTTTATATGTTTTCTAAGCCTCTGATAAATAAAAGCTTAGGGTTAATGAGGTTCAATAATTTCTCAAAGTCACACAGCTAAAAAGCATAACAGCCGTGTTTGACTCAGGGAGCCTGAGCTCTGTGCCCACATTTAACCACCATATTGCCTTCTCTGTCCTACTATTCGTGGTAGATAGAAACTGCTTTCATCTTTATCTAAAATATCTAGTATAGTGCAATTAATCAATATTTGAATGAATATTCTTTCAGTATGATTTAAATAGTCCTCCCCCTACGCTCCCTGCTGCCACTGTAATCATTGGCTCTTTTGTTATGCACAGGTCATGAAGTCCCCTTGTTTTAATTTGCATATTAGAGATAAAAATGTCTTCAATGTGGGTTGCAGTACACTCTATTTTAAAAAATAATAGTCAACCCATTCCCATCCTTAAATATATGCAAAAAATATTTCTTAAAACTCGATGGGAATTCTGTTTTAGAAAGAAATGCAAAATGGTAGTCATCTTTATTCCTCTGATCCTTCCCTGCGTATATACTTAGTCCTTCATGCACACATCACAGGGGGAGGATATCATAGTCACTTGATATATAATCTTAAGTTGTGTTCACTTGAAATAATCACACAAACACTATCATTTGTGAGAAAGTTGCCAAAAAGGGCCTAAAAGTAAATTAAATAATAAAGTACTTCGCATAGCATTATGAAGCCTAGATATGTTGTTTTATATGCAGAAATGGCATGGCTTAGAGTGGCAATAATTCTTATATGAGACTTGGAGAAGTGCAGCATACTGAGTACTGTTAGGTTCTGACTGCCTCATTGGCTCTAGAAATCTAGAAGAAATCAAAAAGTAGCTCCAATAATGTTAAGGAGGTGGCAAATGATTTATGAAAAAAGATGAGAAGAATTAAACAAGAATAACTGGATAAATAGTGTAGAAAATAATATTTTATATGGGAAAAATGGAAACATTTGAGTAAATATTGGGGGAAACAATAGGAAGTGTAATTATGATGCCAGTAAAGTATTTGTTTTTAACTAGTTGCAATAAGTGGTATGTGGAAACATTAAAGAATATTTCAAACAGAGCTAAATTTTTCCAAAGATCAGAATTTTAGGAAAATAACATATTGCTTCAACCTGAGGTATTTACCAGGTGGTCAAAATTTGCAATAATCCTTCCAGTTTACTGTCGTTGATATTTTTCACCAAACATGGAGAAAATTTTAGACCAACCATTGAAAATCTGCTGTTTATTGTAAAAAACAAACAAACAAAAAAACCCACAACACATTGACAGTGAATCCAGTGAAAGTTCTGTTGTTAAATTTGTCTGAAGGAATCTTCTTAATGTACTTTAGGTACCAAGAGAGTATTCTGTAAGTATATTTGTTGTCTTTAGGCAGTTCATATTTTATGACAAAATACAACAAACAGCCTGAGCTCTAGGAGGGCAGGGCACATGTCTATTTTATTCATATCGTATCTCCAGCATTTAGCCCTGTGCTTGATACCTAGAGGGGTTTAATATTTTTGAATTAATTAATGAGTTGTATGATTCTGTACTTGACATTTCATCTGCACATTTTTATCAAAAGTCAGACAAAGTTTCCTTAAGGTCGTATATATTTCTCTATCAATTGGGTGGAGATCACAGATTTAGAAACCACTGTAGAACCCAAATCTCTGTTTCTCTTTGGAGCTACAAATTGGTTGTATATTTTTACTTGAATATCCAATAACACTGTTATTAACTTGATCTATTCATCTAAGCCACCTCCCTTTAGGGCAGGGGTTCTCTCATACCTGAATGAGAAACTTTAAGAAATGCAGATCCATTTCCACTGTATAGGTAGTAAAGCACATTCTCTGGGTGTGGGACCCAGATATCTGTAAGGATGGGAGGTAGAGGAGGAGGAAGAGGAGAGTTTCATAGTTGAGGCTAAAGACAAGGCAGAATGAGAAACATGGGTTAGAAGCTACCAATTTTCAGTTTCCTTTTAAGATTTTCTTTATGAACTGTAATGTGTTGGAAGTGTTGCTTATTTGATTTCTGGTCACACGTTATGGCAATTGCACTAGTGCTAAAGAGTATTCTAAAATAAAAGGAAATAAATACTATACCTTTTATAGTTTCTACATCAGAAGTTATACCTGCCCCAATATCTATTTTATATGCTTTTCTTGAGTAATTGGGCTGCCGTATTATTACTTGAAATATACAATGTCTCATAATGGAGGACAGCATATTTAGTAACTAATCCATTTACATGGCAACCTCTCTGTTATTTGATTCCTAATTTGGAGTTTTCTGTCTTACTTGGCTAGAATACATCTAAAAGTATTTTTGAAGAAGACATGTGGATAGTGTTTTTTGCATACTTGATAATTTTGTGGTGTTGTTTTCTCATAAGAATAAATGATTTGATATGAGATTTGGAGTGGAAAAATTTTTACTGAGGACTGTGTAAGTGCTCTAATGTCTTCTGACATTATATGATGCACAGAAGTCTGAAATTGGTCTGGCTTCCTCTCCACTTCTTCCTTCTTTATTTTAATTTGCAAAGCAAAGGAACACACACTCACACAACCACCCCCCCCACACACACACACCAGAAAGGAAAATATATCCATAATTCACATATCATTTCTTAAAACACAGCCTCCAGAGGTTATTATAGTGGCTGAATAGATATTATAATAATAATTTAATGAATAATATTTATATACTCTATATAATATATAAAAATATAGTTTTATAGAGGCTAAATAATATAGTATTTACTTTCATGAACAACTTCCCCTATGCTTGTAAGCCATGTCTAAATATTCACATATACACTTGTATATTTTTTTTTCAAAAATCAGAACTGGCTCTACATACTGATCAACCAGACATTTTTTAGTTAAAAATATATCATAGACTTTGTTTTATATTAGTTCATATAGATGTTTGTGTATAATATCCACAATTAAATGGAACGACAATTAAAATACTCCTGCTTTCCATCTGCATACCTGGGTAAGACTGAATTTTTTTTTCATAGACTTCAACCAAAATAACATATTTAAACAGATTGAATACAGAAATACATACTTCCTTTCTATTAAGAAAGATATTAGATTTGCAAAATATGTGAAACAATGACACTCTTCTCACCTACTGTTTTTGTTTTACAAGTCAATTATTTTTTATATAAATATGTAAGTTTTTTTCATATAGCTTAGTTTTCTTGTTATTGGAAGTTAATAAAAATATTTTAAAAGTTTTAATTTTCTACATGGTAAATAATAGTAGATATAACCTATATAAACAAAGGGTTTCTTGGAATTGTCAATAATTTTTAAAATTGTGAAGAGATCTTGATATTAATATCTTTGAGATTTTGCTGACATATAGTACGAGGTTTATTATCAAGTAGCTAAACCTCAGCTCAGTGCTCTTACTGGCCTGCCAGCCTCTGACACATTTCACTGAGTTATGGGCTGTGCTGCTTTGCCTTCTACACCCTGTCCCCACCTGCTGTCTCTGATCTGTTTACCTTAGAAGGATACTTTGACATAAAAGCAATGTTTGGAAGTAGAAGAATTAATCCCTAAAAGATGATATAAGTAATTTGATTCTAATATTTAAGTCATCATCTACGTAAATGCACTTAGCATTTTACCACCTGATATTAGATGGACATTTCTAGTTTGAGAAGGAAAATAACTGAAGAGAAAAATTTTTATACAAATAAATCAAATTCTGTAAATTGATATTGATTTATGAGCATTTTAGAATTAGGATTTGGTTTTTTTCTATGTATTTATCAATGGCTATCAAAATATAAAACCAAAAATGTTATCATTGATTCATATAGATTAGTCTATTGCAAAACATTACTGTCATCCTCATTATTATTATTATTATTATTATTATTATTATTATTATTATTTTGAGACCCAGTCTCACTCCGTCGCCTAGGCTGGAGTACAGTGGCATGATCTTGGCTCACTGCAACCTCCACCTCCCGGGTTGAATCAATTCTCCTGCCTCAGCCTCCTGAGTAGCTGGGATTGTAGGTGCGCACCACCACACCCATCTAATTTTTGTATTTTTAGTAGAGACGGGGTTTCACCATTTTGGTCAGGCTGGTCTCGAACTCTTGACCTAGTGATCCACCCTCCTCAGCCTCCCAAAGTGCTGGGATTACAGGCATAAGCCACCATGCCTGCTTCATTATTATTATTTTTAGTGTCTCAAAAACCAGTAAAGCTTTCTTTTTTTATTCTTTTTTATACTTTAAGTTCTAGGGTACATGTGCACAATGTGCAGGTTTGTTACATATGTATACATGTGCCATGTTGGTGTACTGCACCCATTAACTCATCATTTACATTAGGTATATCTCCTAATGCTATCCCTCTGTCTCCCCCAACCCCACGACAGGCCCCGGTGTGTGATGTTCCCCTTCCTGTGTCCATGTGTTCTCATTGTTCAATTCCCACCTATGAGTGAGAACACGCGGAGTTTGTTTTTTTTTGTCCTTGTGATAGTTTGCTGAGAATGATGGTTTCCAGCTTCATGCATGTCCCTACAAAGGACATGAACTCATCCTTTTTTATGACTGCATAGTATTCCATGGTGTATATGTGCCACAATTTCTTAGTCCAGTCTATCATTGATGGACATTTGGGTTGGTTCCAAGTCTTTGCTATTGTGAATAGTGCTGCAGTAAACATATGTGTGAATGTTTCTTTATAGCAGCATGATTTATAATGCTTTGGGTATATACCCAGTAATGGGATGGCTGGGTCAAATGGTATTTGAGTTCTAGATCCCTGAGGATTCGCCACACTGTCTTCCACAATGGTTGAACTAGTTTACACTCCCACCAGCAGTGTAAAAGTGTTCCTGTTTCTCCACATCCTCTCCAGCACCTGTAGTTTCCTGACTTTTTAATGATCGCCATTCTAACTGGTGTGAGATGGTATCTCATTGTGATTTTGATTTGCATTTCTCTGATGGCCAGTGATGATGAGCGTTTTTTCATGTGTCTGTTGGCTGCATAGATGTCTTCTTTTGAGAAGTGTCTGTTCATATCCTTTGCCCACTTTTTGATGGGGTTGTTTGTTTTTTTCTTGTAAGTTTGTTTGAGTTCTTTGTAGATTCTGGATATTAGCCCTTTGTCAGATGAGTAGATTGCAAAAAATTTCTCCCATTCTGTATGTTGCCAGTTCACTCTGATGGTAGTTTCTTTTGCCGTGCAGAAGCTGTTTAGTTTAATGAGATCCCATTTGTCAATTTTGGCTTTTGTTGCCATTGCTTTTGGTGTTTTAGACATGAAGTCCTTGTCCATGCCTATGTCCTGAATGGTATTACCTAGGTTTTCTTCTAGGGTTTTTATGGTTTTAGGTCTAACGTTTAAGTCTTTAATCCATCTTGAATTAATTTTTGTATAAGGTGTAAGGAAGGGATCCAGTTTCAGCTTTCTACATATGGCTAGCCAGTTTTCCCAGCACCATTTATTAAATAGGGAATCCTTTCCCCATTTCTTGTTTTTGTCAGGAAGTCAAATTGTCCCTGTTTGCAGATGACATGATTGTATATTTAGAATACGCCATCATCTCAGCCCAAAATCTCCTTAAGCTGATAATCAACTTCAGCAAAATCTCAGGATACAAAATCAATGGGCAAAGATCACAGGCATTCTTATACACCAATAACAGACAAACAGAGAGCCAAATCATGAGCTCCCATTCACAACTGCTTCAAAGAGAATAAAATACCTAGGAATCCAACTTACAAGGGATGTGAAGGACCTCTTCAAGGAGAACTACAAACCACTGCTCAACAAAATAAAAGAGGACACAAACAAATGGAAGAGCATTCCATGCTCATACATAGGAAGAATCAATATCGTGAAAATGGCCATACTGCCCAATGTAATTTATAGATTTAATGCCACCGCCATCAAGCTACCAATGACTTTCTTCACAGAATTGTAAAAAACTACTTTAAAGTTCATATGGAACCAAAAAAGAGCCCGCATTGACAAGACAATCCTAAGCCAAAAGAACAAAGCTGGAGGCATCACGCTACCTGTATTGCGGGATCTGGCCAGCAGCCTGCAATGCAACGGGGCTCTTTCCTTTTTCCCAGGTGGATTGACAGGTCAAGAAATAATAAACGCACACAAGATAGTGAAAGCTGGGTCCAGGGGGGTCACCGCCTTCTGGTCCCAAGATGCTGCCAATGCACTGGATATACCAGCATTTATTATTAATTTTAGTGAGGGTGGGGGTAGATTAGTAAGAAATTTAGGGTCATTTGATTATGAGGTGAGATGGTCACATGGGAATGAAGTAATTCTTTAACAGAACATCTGTATACAGAAGTACAGTATACAGAGATAAAAATTTACAATATAGTGTGTGCATCAGTAATTTCTAACAGAGCCTTAAAACAGAAACACAGTCTTTCCATAACCTATGATTGGGAAGATATTAATCAGTAGTAATAGTTGCAGCAAAAGCTGGTTACAAACAATCCATAGAAACAACGTGATGCTAGACAACCGGTTAGACCAAAAATTCTCAGAAGGGAGTATGCCTTAACCCTAAAGAGGCCTAAAAGAGCCATGGCAAAATGAGAGCGTTTATAGCCCTGTCTTATCCCTATGAACAGGTGCCCCTCGTGCGTCCATTTATAGGCTCTCCACAAGGGTCGCATTCCATACCCAGAGCTATGAACATCTGTTTTTCTGTGATAGGAATCTTGGTGATGTGAAACCTCCGTGACTGCACGTCCATTCATAGGCTTTTTGCAGTGGGAAGTACTTCATGTGCCGTTGGCTCATTCTGGCAGTCCAGCCTGGCATTGTCTTTACACAATCCTGCGTGCAACTTTGTATTTACAATAATCAGGAACATTTCATCTTTTATTCTGTAGTAGCAATAGTTTCAGGGGGTCTCCCTACATCTCCCCCTTTTCTCTGATTTAAATGAACCGTAGCAATCATAGCTTGGCACTGATCATGATTGGACTGAAGAATATTTTTTCTAGTTTTACACATGAATAATAAAGCAATAGCACAAATTATACACGAACAAAATTAACGATTGTGGATCCTCCCAAAAATTTTACCCATTGAATGGTGTTGAGATTAGATAACCCGTCAGATATACTGTCTAAAACTTCAGCACCAGGTAAAGCAGTTAAGTGTGCTTGAGAGGCCTCAAAAATCTGTTCTTTTAGCTTGCTTATGTCTAAACTTAAATTACCTTCAGTTCCTTGTCAATGGCGTTTTACTGATTCCCAATTGTGAACAGACTCATTATGTTGAAACGGAGTTATACAAAAATCAGAAGTATTCCAATCACATTGCATTTGTGATCTTTGTTCTAAACTCATAATTCTATCTCCCATCCATATAACAGTTTGTCTTAGATCATTAATTTGGCCAATTTTTGATCAATACCTGACTGAGAATTCCACATCCAAGTAGAATTTTTTTGCCATTTATCCACAAAATGGGCAGTTTGAATTGATTGATGTAATGGAACTCCAGCAGTAGCAGCAGTCACCGTAGCAGCAATCAAGCCCATCATTACTGCAATTAATGTAAAAATAAATAGTTTACTCCTTTTAAGAATTTTTTGTAGAATATTGTTAATAACATGGAGAGAGGGGAAAGATTCCCAAGGCCTATGTAAGGCTACGGGGAGCCAAATACCTTCTCTGGCTCTGACTATTAAAATGCTATGATACTGATTAAAGGATGAGTCAATACAAGTATACAAGTAACAATTAACACAGGTAATTATGTTGGTTTTTGAACTAGTATGCATCTTTCCTACTAATAACATATATGGTGGTTTAACACAACTTTTAAGTAGTATAGTTTTGTTGGATTCCATATAGACAGTGTATATATTTTGGGATGGTACTCTGTGAATGTGGGGTGGGGGGAATAGGTTGTATGAGAGGTGGTGGGGGGACATTAGTGATGGGGGGGTATAAGTCCTCATAATCTTTACTGTCCCATCTTTGAATTGACCTTTTGACGATTGCCATAGTGATATTTTTGGCTGTGTGGAAATAGTAGTGTAAATCAATCTGTTGTCTTAGTTTTTGAGGTGACAAGGTGGATTTACTTATAACACTTTCTCCAGCCCAAACTCTCATACCAGTCATAGCTATGGTTAATCTCCATAATTCTGAATGTTCAGGTCCTAAGTGGGGAACAATGAGCCTTGGCTTTGGAGGGGCAACCCCTGCCCCTTTCCACTTAAAAGGAAAAAAGGAGTTAAATCTACGATATAATAGGGGAGGGTTGTCACTACTTTTTTGTAAGTAATATTATAGAGAAAATGTTGACAATCTGTGACCCTGAGAGCAATCATTAGTAATATGACCTTTAGGAGCCCAATCAACAATGGTATAGTGAGAAGAATTAAATAACACAGTTCCTTCTGAACTAACACAATCCTTCCATATTAATTTGTTAGCATTTGAAGACACGTTGAGAGGACACACAGGTCCTAAAGGCTTATATTGGGATGTGTGAATATAATCAGCGAGCAATTCCTATTTTGATCTGCCTTAGAAGTTTTAATGAGAGCCCTGATACCAAGTGTCCTAAAGGAGGGACAGAGTGACCAGATGGTAGTGTGACTGCCCAAGTTTGAATATCTAATGAGAGATATCCATTAGTGGGTCCCAGGAACAAAAGTGGATACCTAAAACCTAAAGTGATATTGAAAGGGGTTCCGTCTTCTGAAGGTTGGGCAGGACAACGATCATCTACAGAACCAGGCATCCAAATACTATCATTAACATAGACCTGATAGGAGCGTCCATCCATATCATGGCTCAAATAAGAGGAGGAAAAGGAATATAGGCCCAATATGTATAGTTTTTAACAGTCTGTGGAGTGACACAGGGTAGAAGGATCAGTGTCATCAGGAGGGGGCAGAGGGTGAGCCGGACCTGGACCGCTGGAGACGAGTTGTTTAGGATGGCTGACTGGATTGTCTGTTGTAAAGGAGTTAGCGTGGTTATTTTTTTTCTTTTTGACGGTTGGATGTGCTAGTTGTTTCCTGCTGTGGCATTTTTTCAGCAAATTTCTCTGTCTCGTTGTTGCATGCATCTTCAGGACACAATTTCAGGTGTCTAGCAGGAATGCAAACAGGAGGTTGATGTTCACCTGGGGAAACACAAGCATAGCCTCTTCCCCACGTTAAAATAGAAGCTTTTGACCATATATTAGATTGAACATCTTTCCACCATACTTCCCTTACTTGGTTTATTGTCAGATGGTTACCAGAAAAAATGTTTTTCGGTGACAGTAACAGAACTAGATTTAGGAATATTAAGAAAATTTAACATGAGCAATGCCAAGTTTAGTTGTATGTGAGGGGTAGACAACTCCTTATCCCCCTCTTTTGTTTAAGTAATTATAATTTTAAAGTTCTGTTACTTCTTTCTACAATAGCTTGGCTTTGTGGGTTATAAGGAATACCAGTAATATGTTTAATATGCCACTGATCAAGAAAATTTTTAAAAGCTTTACTGCAATAGGCTGGACCGTTGTCTGTTTTGAGCTCACTAGGAATTCCCATAACTGCAAAACATGAAAACATATGTTTTTAACATGAGAAGTGGCTTCTCCGGTTTGACAGGTATCCCAGATGAAATTGGAAAAGGTGTCAACTGTGACATGCACGTAAGCTAATTTTCCAAAAGAAGGAACATGAGTAATATCAATTTGCCAAAGAGCATTAGGAGAAGGCCTCAGGGATTAACTCCAGTGTTGAGACAATCTCAACACTGATATTGAGAACAGTATTGTACAATTTGTTTAGCTTGTTTCCAACTCAGAGAATATTTATGTTTAAGACCTGAAGCATTAGTATGAATGAGTTGATGAAATTGTTCTGCATCTGTAATGGCTAGAGAAACTAGAATATCAACTTTATGATTACCACTGGATAAAGGTCCAGGCAAATTAGTATGAGATCAAATGTGAGTGATGAAAAAGGGGTGGTTTCAGTTTCTGACAGGTTTTTGTAACAAAGAGAACAAGGAAAACAGATTAGTGTCAGCAATATTTTTGATGGTAGCTGTTTCTATTGCCTTAGTGACAAGCACTATATAAGCTGAGTCAGAGACAATATTAAGAGGCTGATCAAAATCTTGTAATGCAGAGATAACAGCAAACAGCTCGGCTTTTTGAGCAGAAGTGTATGGAGTAGAAATGACTTTATCTTTTGGTCTTACGTACACTGCCTTTTCATTACTGGATCCATCAGTAAAAATGGTAACACCTGCCTCTAGTGGTGATGAACGAGTAAGTTTTGGTAGAATCCAGGAAGTGTTTCGTAGACATTGAAAGAATTTTGGCTTAGGCAGATGATTATCAATAGTGCCAGTGAAGTCAGCCAGATTAGTCTGTGCCAGCACAAGGATGTAGAAAAGGCATTTTTAACCTCATTTTTTGACAAAGGGACCACAATAATGTTTGGATCAAAGCCGGAAATTTTAGTGATACGTTGACGTCCTAACCCAATTGAAGTGACCATTTGATCAAGATATATTGAAAGAGTTTTAGAGGCTGAATTAGGAAGAAATACCCATTCAACAAGAGAATCATTTTGTACTATAAGTCCTGCAGGACAGTGGATGAAAGGAAAAACTAAATTTGTAAAGGCAAATTTGGGTCAATATGAGAGACTTGTCCCTCTTTCACTCATTGTTCTACAAAAGACAACTCTTTTTCTGCTGGTTCAGATAGACAGTGAGGACTGTTTAGATCTGTATCTCCTGATAAAGTAGCAAATAGATGAGATAATGCATAAGTAGGGATGCCTAGGATTGGTCTGAGATAATTGATGTCACCTAGTAATTTTTGAAAATCATTTAAGGTGTTTAAATTGTCAGTATGAAGTTGGACTTTTTGGGGCTTAATGGCGCGAGCTTCTAGGTGCGTTGGTGCATTCCTAAGTACAGAAAAGGAGTGGCTTGTTGAATTTTATTAGGAGCAATGTGGAGTCCTGCATTGGCAACAGCTAATTTTAAAGAGGTAAAACATTGAATTAATTCATCTTTAGTAGGAGCAGCAATCAGTATATCATCCACATAACGAAGAATGTAATTATTTTTAAAAATCTGTCGAATAGATTGTAACACAGTACTGACAAACAACTGGCAAATAGTAGGACTGTTAATCATTCCTTGAGGTAAAACTTTCCATTCATATCTAGCTGTAGGAGCTGAATTGTTAATGGAAGGTATAGTGAGAGCAAATTTTTCACAGTCTGACTTGTCTAAAGGAATATGAAAAAAGTAGTCCTTAAGGTCAATGATAATTAAAGGCCATTTCTTAGGAATCGTGGAGGGGGAGGGCATACCAGGTTGTAACACCCTGATAGGTTTAATAACTGCATTAACAGCTCTTAAGTCTGTTACCATCCTCCATTTTCCTGACTTTTTTTGTGCAACAAACACAGACGAGTTCCATGGAGACAAGGAGGGCTCAATAATGTTTGCTTGTAGTAAATCATTAACAATTTCAATTAAAGCCTCCAACTTGTGTTTGGAAATTGGCCACTGCTCTACCCAAACAGGTGACTCATACATCCATTGTGTAGAGGCAGAGGAAGAGAAGGAGAGTGAGGGCACTGGGACGTGGACTTGGGGGAGACAGGATTCTAAGCCTCTGAAAGAAGGGGTCCTGGAGTGTCGAAAGAAACAGTAGGCTTAGAAGAGGGGAGAGTTCTAAAAGGATGAGAGGAATGAGAAACAGGCCATTCAGATGAATGCCACATGTCCTCCTCTGGCAGAGGGGGCAATGGCTTAGTAGAAGAAGAGTTAACATATACAGGTTCCAAGATAGGAGGTGGAGGGAGGGGATCATCACCAGGTTCCTCCTCTTGGGGAGAAAACAAGGAGAGATCAAATTCCTCATCATGATCAGAAGGAGGACTAGTAGGGGGTCAGCTACTCGAGGTACAGGGAGCGGCTCACCATCCGTGTTAACTTGTGGCAGTTGAAGAGGATCACCAGACTGAAAAGGAAGTAAAGTGACCTGAATAAGAGCCCAGTCAGCCCAACCAGAAATAGGAAGTAAAACACCATCTCTCATGAGTTGGCAGAGGGTGGTGCCAACTCTATCCCAGTCTAACAGGTCCATAGAACCTTTGTCAGGGAACCAAGGACAATATTTTTCAATAGTCTGAAATAAGAGAATAAGGTTATAGGAATCAGCCTGGATTCCACCCTGTTTAAGAAGACGTTTAATAAAAGACAGATAAGCCTGGTGTTTAGAATGTGATTGTCCCATAATAACCCTGGAATAATACCAGTTGACAAACCTGAAAAGAGGGGAGAGTCAGAAAAGGTGTACCTGGAGACCTTATCGTCGAGACCGAAGACTAGTCATCATGAACCCACACTCAGAGTGCACTGAGCCGAGGAACAAAGAAGGCCATATTGGGTGCCAGATATTGCAGGATCTGGCCAGCAGCCCACAGTGCAGCGGGGCTCTTTCCTTATTCCTAGGCAGATCGACAGGTCGAGAAATAATAGACACACACAAGATAGTGAAAGCTGGGTCCAGGGGGGTCACTGCCTTCTGGTCCCGTGATGCCGCCAATGCACTGGATATACCAGCATTTATTATTAAGTTTAGTGAGGGCGGGGGTAGGTTAGTGAGGGATTTAGGGTCATTTGATTATGAGGTGAGATGGTCACATGGGAATGAAGTAATTCTTTAACATAACATCTGTATGCAGAAGTACAGTATACAGAGATTAGAATTTAAAATATAGTGTGTGCATCAGTAATTTCTAACAGAGCCTTAAAACAGAAACACAGTCTTTCCATAACCTATGATTAGCAAGATATTAATCAGTAGTAATAGTTGCAGCAAAAGCTGGTTACAAACAATCCATAGAAACAGGACGTGAAGCTAGACAACCGGTTAGACCAAAAATTCTCAGAAGGGAGTATGCCTTAACCCTAAAGAGGCCAAGAAGAGCTGTGGCAAGATGAGGGCATTTATAGCCCTGTCTTATCCCTATGAACAGGTGCCCCTCATGCGTCCGTTTATAGGCTCTCCACAAGGGTCGCATTCCATTCCCAGAGCTATGAACATCTGCTTTTCTGGGATAGGAATCTTGGTGATGTGAAACCTCCCTGACTGCATGTCCGTTCATAGGCTCTCTGCAGGGGGAAGCACATCACGTACTGTTGGCTCATTCTGGCAGTCCAACCTGGCATTGACTTTACATAGTCCTGCGTGCAACTTTGTATTTACAATAATCAGGAACATTTCGTCTTGTATTCCGTAGTAGCAAGAGTTTCAGGGGGTCTCCCTACATACCTGACTTCAAACTATACTACAAGGCTACAGTAACCAAAACAACATGGTACTGGTACCAAAACAGAGATATAGACCAATGGAACAGAACAGAGTCCTCAGAAATAATACCACACATCTACAACCATCTGATCTTTGACAAACCTGAAAAACCAGTAAAACTTTCTTCACTTCCATTCTTTTGCCTATAACAGAAAAGTAGAGAAAGTAAAAATGTTTGGTTTACAAAGATAAGTGGCCTCTTTAACCAAAGAAAATCAAAACGTCGACAGCATGAAAGACCAAAGATACCTCCCCACATTCCCTGAGCTGACCCTTGTCATCTTACACAAAGCCTTTGGTCCACTGGCCAGGGGTCCTATATCTGGCCAATTTAATATGAGGGCTCAGGAATCAGACCCGTCTTTTCCTGTGACAAGAAGTCAAATGGAAACTACACCAAGGGCCAAATACCTGTATCTTACAGGACTCAGAAACTAGGCAGCTTCTTATAAAAACCAAATAAGCAAGGCCGGGCACAGTGGCTTACACCTGGAATCCCAGAACTTTGGAAGGCTGAAGCAGGCAGATCACCTCGGGTTGGGAGTTCAAGACCAGCCTGACCAACATGGAGAAACCTCATCTCTACTAAAAATGCAAAATTAGCCATGCATGGTGGTGCATGCCTGTAATCCCAGCTACTCAGGAGGATGAGGCAGGAGAATTGCTTGAACCCGGGAGGCAGAGGTTGCGGTGAGCTGAGATGGCGCCATTGCACTCCAGCCTGGGCAACAAGAGTGAAACTGTGTCTCAAAACAAACAAACAAACAACAACAAAAAAACAAATAAAGCAAGATTCCTTTCAGGCACAACTTTTTAATTTGTTTTGTTTTTGAATTTTTTTTTTCTTTAAAATCAAATATCACTGAGAAACTTTCTAGTGTAAAACAGATCTGTTACATTTGGGTAGAGTTGAGAAAAAAATGATTCTTTTGGCTTTCTTTTTCTGGTAATAGAAATCACAGAGCTTAAGGGATCTTAGAGCTAACCCTCTCACTCATTTTTGATTTTTGAAACTATTAATAAGTTAAAACTTGATTAAATGGCAGTGGGTTGGGGACAGGGCTCAGGTACCCCCAGCCCCTTCTTTACTCCAGTGTGTTCTCATTCCACCGTCCTGCCACTCCAGCTCCCTTCCTTCCACTTGGTGGGACAGCAAAGGGGGTTGTAATGAGAAGAGTTGGGACAGTCAGCTTGGGTTAGGGTTGCTTATCAGCTCTTTCTTTCCATGGCAATTTCAGTTGCAACAAAGCACATGAAAGAGAGAGAGATGTCCCAGAAAAAAAAAAAATTGGTCAATTCAATGACCTGTTTTGATCAATCACATTGAGCATGTGATGGTATGTGGACACACTTTCCTTCAAATAAAAGGTTAGTGATTTTTTTTAAACTTCTGAACTAGTGAAAGAGCTTTTCTAGAGTCACCACCTCAGCTGCTACTGACACAGACTTCCAGTTTGAAGTAAGGTAGAGAGATGTATTTCCAAGGAGTTATCCTGATGTTTGACTTTGGAGTTGGTGGAACTGTCTAGAAAAAAAAAATCTCTCCATGGTACTATAGGGAAAGTGCTTTCTCTTTATCACATTTTTCAATGAAATAGGAAATGAAAATATGAATGCTTGTGTTCATGCAATGTTAACACTGTACCTTTATAGATAAAAATGAGGAAATTAAACTGTTCCTGTTCTTAGAGCAATAAGGCAGTGCCAGATATATTATATTGTGTTTTTATTCATGTGGAGCTAATACCTATTTTTCAGTTTATATATTTCTTCTTAAATATTAAAAATACGATGTTAAAACTAGGAATTTGAAGCTCAGATGTTATGGATGAGAATAAGTGCTTTGGCATAGCAATAAAAATGTCTCATTATAGTTCCAATTACCATTTTTTTTTGCTACATTAATTTAGATTCAAATTGCTATAGGGGAAATGGTGCCCCACCCACCCTTTAAAAAGTCATGTTTTGGGATTCAGAAAAATATTGATAATATCATGAAAATATTTGGATAGCAAATCTTCATTTTAGCACAATAAACACTTAAAATGTATTTTATCTAACGTCATACTATTCTTGAAAATACTTGTTTGGATATTTTCCTGTCTTGTTGAAAATCACCAAATAAACTCAAAAAAGATTCTCTAATCCAATGTTATGTTTAGTCAAGTTATTTGCAAATATAATTTTTTATTAGACTAGGAAGACTGTACAATAGGTGTGCTCTTCAATATTTGAAGGGTGTTTTATTTGACTGTGACTTAGCCCTATGTTTTATTGTACTCATTCTTCCAATACATTTTTATGGGAGCTTATTCTATAACAGGCATTGTTTTCCAAGCTGGGATTATCATGGTGAGCAAAAATAGTTTCTACCCTGATAGAGAACACAGTCTGGTGGGGAAACAAAGACATGACCACACTGGAATGGTCAGGGTAGCTATCTCTAAGGAGGAAATTTGATCAGAGATCTAAAGGATGAGTAGGAGTTACTCATAGGGAGAGGAGAGGAAAACACGTGTCTGGAAGAGATGCCAGCATGTAAAAAGGCATATGGTGGGCGGGAGCATGGCTAACATGAGGAACCATAAGACCAAGGTGGCTAAAGTACAGAGAGCGCTGAAAGGGAAATAGGATGAGGCAAAAAGCATGAGAAGCCTTGATGGAGTAATCTGAAAGGGAGATGGTGTTGGCTTGAACAAGGCTGGTGATAATAGTGATGAAGAGAAATAAACAGATCAGTAATGTCTTCATATTGACGAGATAAGATTTGGGGAGTGAGCAGTGAGACAAGACTAAAACACGTGTTGGCAGCTGGACAGAATGTGGTATCATTCCGTGAAACTGAAAACGTTGGGGCTTTGAGACATCCATGTGAAAGCCAGTGGGCAATTAGATATATGAGTCAGAAGTTCAGAATATATTCATGTTGTCAGGTCTGGAAGTACTGTTTTGACAGTGAGGGTGTAGCATTTAGATGATCTGACAAATATATTGCACTTGCCCCTTCAGATGCACTTCTCGCCCACCTCCACTTTGTTCTCACTCCAGTAGGCTGACCTCCATGGAATAATCAACATATTTTCCTGCCCTCTGACTTCAGGTTATGTTCTGCCAATAGGGACCCCTGTCAAGAACTGTGAAGGGCCTTAGAGTTTACCCTACTTATAAGCATATGAGTTAGTTTGCCACAGTATCACAGATACCTCCCTGGTCAGAGACAAAAAAAAACTGTATCACTTACAGCAATAGCAGTAGCTAGGGTTTATGTGTTTCTTGTGTCTGTTTCCCAAACCCTAATGTCCACAAGGCACTGTGAGAAAGGTCAGGTAACACCTGGTGCAGACAGGAGAAGCTTGAGCTTAGCAAACATGAATCTTACGGTGGATAGTAAGCAGCCATCCTTATCTCTGGAAGGAAATGCTATCATCTTCCCAGATTATTTGCCATACAAATATCCCTGAAAAGATGGAAAAAAGGCAGCATCGCCTTGGCTCTCAAGACATGCAGAAAGACAAAACACTCATGGAGAACTTCTCCAAACGATCTCCAGGAAGAGATCCACGGGAGTGAGGAGACTGTGGTCAAATGTATTTATTTCCCTCCCTTGGAGGTTTAGTTGGTCTTGTTTTCCTCAATTGAAGGTCACTGTTTCTCTCAAGGTGATTTTCTAGACAACCCTCTCCTAAGTTGCAGGCATTACTCTCTCCTAGTCCAGTGGGTCTAGAGATGGTGACAGCTCCTCCTGTGTTCTGGCCCCAGGTTCTTGCAGTATCACATGCCATCCCCTTGTATCATGTCTGCTTCTTTATAAATAGCTTCATTATAATAAACCCTTCATGTTTTACTCCAGTCTGAGGGTGCCACCTGTTTCCTGCTGGGATCTTGAATGATACCAAGGTCACTGAGTTATGGGAGTGGATGAGATGAAAACAAGAGACTGAACAGTGAGAATAAAAAGAGAGCAAAGGGAAAACCCTGAGAAATACCAGTGTTATGGCATGTGCAGAGAAACATGAGCCCATAAAGGAGCTTTTAGTGAGCACAAAAATTTTGCTTTTGGATTTTGTAGTATAGCCTCTCTTTTGATAATTTTATTATTGAAGCTGCTCTAGGGCTCTGTGTGAGATGGAAATTGTGCAGTGAAATGTGGGTGGCACTAGAGGAACATCAGCAGGATGGAAACCAGAGACCTCTGGATTGATTTTATTACCTACTCTACAGGCTCAGAAATTTGATTTTGGTAGCATACTGCAAGTACCTCTGTTTCCAGAAATGCTGTAAATACCCTTTTACTTATTTTCAGTGAGAAATAATACTGTCATCCAGATGGACTATATAAATCAGTATAGTCTACTTGTAGGCATGTCTCTGGGTCACCAAAACTTTCTAGTTTGGGTTGTTAAACAAGATGTTTCTGAAGCCAGGTTCCTTTGAGCTGGTCAACCATCTCTACTCTCTGGCCCTCATTTAAACATGGTATCTCTAGACCACCCCTCCTTCTGATTGTCATAGAATTTCTTTAGAATCATTACTAGGGTTGATCAGACAATGGCTATATTCTTACTTTTCCTACTTGTAGCAATAGAAATATTTTGCTCTAGGGAACATTCTTTTTTTTAACTTTTATTTTAAGTTAGTGGGTAGATGTACACGTTTGTTACATAGGCAAACTTTCATCATGGGGGTTTGTTGTATAGATTATTTCATCACCCAGGTATTAAGACTAGTATCTATTAGTTGTTTTTCCTGATCTGCTCCCTCCTCACACTCTCCACCCTCAAATAGGCCCCAGTCTGTGTTGTTCCCATCTAGGTGTCCGTGTGTTCTCATCATTTAGCTACTACTACTAAGTGAGAACATGTGGTATTTGGTTTTCTGTTCCTGTGTTATTTCGCTAAAGATAATGACCTCCAGCCCCATCCATGTCCCTGCAAAGGACATGATCTCTTTATTTTTTATGGTTGCATAGTATTCTATGGTGTATATGTACCACATTTTCTTTATCCAGTCTGTGATTGATGGGCATTTAGGTTGATTCTGTGTCATTGGTATTGTGAACAGTGCTGCAGTGAACATACATGTGCATCTGTCTTTATGATGGAACAATTTATATTTCTTTGGGTGTATACCCGGTAATGAGATTGCGGGTCAAATGTTATTTCTATTTTTAGGTCTTTGAGGAATTGCCACACTGTCTTCCATAATGGCTGAACTAATTTACACTCCCTTCAACAGTGTATAAACATTCCCTTTTCTCCACAACCTCACCAGCATCTGTTATTTTTTGATTTTTTAATAGTAGTCATTCTGACTGGTGTGAGACAGTATCTCATTGTGGTTTTGATTTGAATTTCTCTAATGAGCACCAATGTTGAGCTTTTATTATGATTGTTGGCCACATGTATATCTTCTTTTCAAAAACGTCGGTTCATGTCCTTTGCCCACTTTTTAATGGGGTTATTTGTTCTTGTAAATTTGTTTAAGTTCCTTTGAGATGCTGGATATTAGACCTTTGTCAGATGCATAGTTTGCAAAAATTTTCTCGCATCCTGTAGGTTGTCTGTTCACTCTGTTGGTAGTTTCTTTTGCTGTACAGAAGCTCTTTGGCTTAATTAGATCCTGTTTGTCAATTTTTGCTTTTGTTGTGATTGCTTTAGCTGTCTTCATCATTAAATCTTTGCCCATGCTTGTGTCCCTAATAGTATTACCTAGGTTGTCTTCCAGCATTTTTATAGTTTTGGGTTTTACATTTAAGTCTTTAATCTATCTTGACTTAATTTTTGTATATGATGTAAGGAAGGGGTCTAATGTTTCCATCTTCTGCATATGGCTAGCCAGTTATCCTAGCACCATTTATTGAATAGGGAATCTTTTGCCATTGTTTGTTTTTGTCAGGTTTGTCAAAGATCAGATAGTTGTAGGTATATGGTCTTATTTCTAGGTTCTCTATTCTGTTCCATTAATCTATGTGTCTGTTCTTGTACCAGTACCATGCTGTTTTGGTTACTGTAGCCCTGTAGTATAGTTTAAAGTCAGGTAGCATGATGCCTCTAGCTTTGTTCTTTTTACTTGGCCTTGCCTTGACTATATGGGCTCTTTTTTGGTTCCCTATGAATTTTAAAATAGTTTTTCCTAGTTCTGTGAAGAATGTCAATGGTAGTTTAATGGGAGTAGCACTGAATCTATAAACTGCTTTGGGAAATGTGACCATTTTAATGATATTTATTCTTCCTATCCATGAGGATGGAAGGTTTTTCCATTTGTTGGTGTCATTCCTGATTTCTTGGAGCAGTGGTTTGTAGTTCTCCTTGTAGAGCTCTTTCACCACCCTAGTTAGCTGTATTTCTAGATATTTTATTCTTTTTGTGGCAGTCATGGAAGGAATTCTTTCATGATTTGGCTCTTGGCTTGACTATTGGTGTATAGGAATGCTGGTGATTTGTGCACATTGATTTTGTATCCTAAGACTTTGTTAAAGTTGTTTCTCTTTTTTTTCCTAAATTCATGCCTTTTATTAATATGTTGTAAGATGATTTGAAATTAACAAAGGAATTATCAATGATGCAGTCCATGTTAGTTCCTTTTCTAAAGGTAAGACTTTGCCAGTAGACATAGCTTATAGTCTACTGATGTTCAAAATACTCAAGCAAGTATTTTTTCCAGGTTGTTTAGTTATGTAGTATACCTCTAAGGATTTTACTGGAAATGCACTTTGGGATTTCTTTTTTTTTTAAATTTTATTATTATTATACTTTAAGTTTTAGGGTACATGTGCACAATGTGCAGGTTTGTTACATATGTATACATGTGCCATGTTTGTGTGCTGCACCCATTGACTTGTCATTTAGCATTAGGTATATCTCCTAATGCTATCCCTCCCCCCTCCCCCTACCCTACAGCAGTCCCTGGTGTGTGATGTTTCCCTTCCTGTGTCCTTATGTTCTCATTGTTCATTTCCCACCTATGAGTGAGAACATGCGGTGTTTGGCCCTTTGTCCTTGCCATAGTTTGCTCAGAATGATGGTTTCCAGCTTCATCCATGTCCCTACAAAGGACATGAACTCATCATTTTTTATGGCTGCCTAGTATTCCCTGGTGTATATGTGCCACATTTTCTTAATCCAGTCTATCATTGTTGGACATTTGGGTTGGTTCCAAGTCTTTGCTATTGTGAATAGTGCCGCAATAAACATACATGTGCATGTGTCTTTATAGCAGCATGATTTATAATCCTTTGGGTATATACCCAGTAATGGGATGGCTGGGTCAAATGGTATTTCGAGTTCTAGATCCCTGAGGAATTGCCACACTGACTTCCACAATGGTTGAACTAGTTTACAGTCCTACTAACAGTATAAAAGCGTTCCTGTTTCTCCACATCCTCTCCAGCACCTGTTGTTTCCTGACTTTTTAGTGATCACCATTCTGACTGGTGTGAGATGGTATCTCATTATGGTTTTGATTTGCATTTGTCTGATGGCCAGTGATGATGAGCATTTTTTCATGTGTTTTTTGGCTGCATAAATGTCTTCTTTTGAGAAGTGTCTGTTCATTTCCTTTGCCCACTTTTTGATGGGGTTTTTTTTTTTCTTGTAAATTTGTTTGAGTTCATTGTAGATTCTGGATATTAGCCCTTTGTCAGATGAGTAGATTGCAAAAATTTTCTCCCATTCTGTAGGTTGCGTGTTCACTCTGATGGTAGTTTCTTTTGCTGTGCAGAAGCTCTTTAGTTTAATTAGATCCCATTTGTCAATTTTGGCTTTCGTTGCCTTTGCTTTTCGTGTTTTAGACATGAAGTCCTTGCCCATGCCTATGGCCTGAATGGTATTGCCTAGGTTTTCTTCTAGGGTTTTTATGGTTTTAGGTCTAACATGTAAGTCTTTAATCCATCTTGAATTAATTTTTGTATAAGGTGTAAGGAAGGGATCCAGTTTCAGCTTTCTACATATGACTAGCCAGTTTTCCCAGCAGCATTTGTTAAGTAGGGAATCCTTCCCCATTGCTTGTTTTTGCCAGGTTTGTCAAAGATCAGATAGTTGTAGTTATGCGGCATTATTTCTGAGGGCTCTGTTCTGTTCCATTGGTCTATATCTCTGTTTTGGTACCAGTACCATGCTCTTTTGGTTACTGTAGCCTTGTAGTATAGTTTGAAGTCAGGTAGCATGATGCTTCCAGGTTTGTTCTTTTGGCTTAGGATTGACTTGGCAATGCAGGCTCTTTTTTGGTTCCATATGAAGTTTAAAGTAGTTTTTTCCAATTCTGTGAAGAAAGTCATTGGTAGCTTGATGGGGATGGCATTGAATCTATAAATTACCTTGGGCAGTATGGCCATTTTCATGATATTGATTCTTCCTACCCATGAGCATGGAATGTTCTTCCATTTGTTTGTATCCTCTTTTATTTCATTGAGCAGTGGTTTGTATTTCTCCTTGAAGAGGTCCTTCACATCCCTTGTAAGTTGGATTCCTAGGTATTTTATTCTCTTTGAAGCAATTGTGAATGGGAGTTCACTCATGATTTGGCTCTCTGTTTGTCTGTTATTGGTGTATAAGAATGCTTGTGATTTTTGCACATTGGTTTTATATCCTGAGACTTTGCTGAAGTTGCTTATCAGTTTAAGGAGATTTTGGGCTGAGATGATGGGGTTTTCTAGATATACAATCATGTCATCTGCAAACAGGGACAATTTGACTTCCTCTTTTCCTAATTGAATACCCTTTATTTCTTTCTCCTGCCTGATTGCCCTGGCCAGAACCTCCAACACTATGTTGGAAAGGAGTGGTGAGAGAGGGCATCCTGTCTTGTGCCAGTTTTCAAAGGGAATGCTTTCGGTTTTTGTCCATTCAGTATGATATTGGCTGTGGTTTTGTCATAGATAGCGCTTATTATTTTGAGATACGTCCCATCAATACCTAATTTATTGAGAGTTTTTAGCATGAAGGGTTGTTGAATTTTGTCAAAGGCCTTTTCTGCATCTATTGAGATAATCATGTGGTTTTTACCTTTGGTTCTGTTTATATGCTGGATTACATTTATTGATTTTCATATATTGAACCAGCCTTGCATCCCAGGGATGAAGCCCACTTGATCATGGTGGATAAGCTTTTGGATGTGTTGCTGGATTCGGTTTGGCAGTATTTTATTGAGGATTTTTGCGTCAATGTTCATCAAGGATATTGGTTTAAAATTCTTTTTTTTGATTGTGTCTGTGCCAGGCTTTGGTATCAGGATGATGCTGGCCTCATAAAATGAGTTAGGAAGGATTCCCTCTTTTTCTATTGATTGGGATAGTTTCTGAAGGAATGGTACCAGTTCCTCCTTGTACCTCTGGTAGAATTCAGCTGTGAGTCCATCTGGTCCTGGACTTTTTTTGGTTGGTAAGCTTTTAATTATTGCCTTAATTTCAGAGCCTGTTATTGGTCTATTCAGAGATTCAACTTCTTCCTGGTTTAGTCTTGGGAGGGTGTATGTGTCGAGGAATTTATCCATTTCTTCTAGATTTTCTAGTTTATTTGCGTAGAGGTGTTTATAGTATTCTCTGATGGTAGTTTGTATTTCTGTGAGATCGGTGGTGACATCCCCTTTGTCATTTTTTATTGCGTCTATTTGATTCTTCTCTCTTTTCTTCTTTATTAGTCTTGCTAGTGGTCTATCAATTTTGTTGATCGTTTCAAAAAACCAGCTCCTGGATTCATTGATTTTTTGAGGGGTTTTTTGTGTCTCTGTTTCCTTCAGTTCTGCTCTGATGTTAGTTATTTCTTGCCTTCTGCTAGCTTTTGAATGTGTTTGCTCTTGCTTCTCTAGTTCTTTTAATTGTGATGTTAGGGTGTCAATTTTAGGTCTTTCCTGCTTTCTCTCGTGGGCATTTAGTGCTATAAATTTCCCTCTACATACTGCTTAGAATGTGTCCCAGAGATTCTGGTATGTTGTGTCTTTGTTCTCATTGGTTTCAAAGAACATCTTTATTTCTGCCTTCATTTCATTATGTACGCCATAGTCGTTCAGGAGCAGGTTGTTCAGTTTCCATGTAGTTGAGCGGCTTTGAGTGAGTTTCTTATTCCTGAGTTCTAGTTTGATTGCACTGTGGTCTGAGAGACAGTTTGTTATAATTTCTATTCTTTTACATTTGCTGAGGAGTGCTTTACTTCCAATTATGTGGTCAATTTTGGAATAGGTGTGGTCTGGTGCTGAAAAGAATGTATATTCTGTTGATTTGGGGTGGAGAGTTCTGTAGATGTCTATTAGGTCCACTTGGTGCAGAGCTGAGTTCAATTCCTGGATATCCTTTTTAACTTTCTGTCTCGTTGATCTGTCTAATGTTGACAGTGGGGTGTTAAAGTCTCCCATTATTATTGTGTGGGAGTCTAAGTCTCTTTGTAGGTCACTAAGGACTTGCTTTATGAATCTGGGTGCTCCTGTATTGGGTGCATATATATTTAGGATAGTTAGTTCTTCTTGCTGAATTGATCCCTTTACCATTATGTAATGGCCTTCTTTGTCTCTTTTGATCTTTGTTGGTTTAAAGTCTGTTTTATCAGAGACTAGGATTGCAACCCCTGCCTTTTTTTGTTTTCCATTTGCTTGGTGGATCTTCCTCCATCCCTTTATTTTGAGCCTATGTGTGTCTCTGCACGTGAGATGGGTTTCCTGAATACAGCACACTGATGGGTCTTGACTCTTTATCCAATTTGCCAGTCTGTGTCTTTTAATTGGAGCATTTAGTCCATTTACATTTAAGGTTTGTATTGTTATGTGTGAATTTGATCCTGTCATTATGATGTTAGCTGTTTATTTTGCTCGTTAGTTGATGCAGTTTCTTCCTAGCCTTGATGGTTTTCACAATTAGGCATGTTTTTGCAGTGGCTGGTACTGGTTTTTCCTTTCCATGTTTAGCGCTTCCTTCAGGAGCTCTTTTAGGGCAGGCCTGGTGGTGACAAAATCTCAGCATTTGTTTGTCTGTAAGTATTTTATTTCTGCTTCACTTATGAAGCTTAGTTTGGCTGGATATGAAATTCTGGGTTGAAAATTCTTTTCTTTAAGAATGTTGAATATTGGCCCCCACTCTCTCCTGGCTTGTAGAGTTTCTGCCAAGAGATCAGCTGTTAGTCTGATGGGCTTCCCTTTGTGGGTAACCCAACCTTTCTCTCTGGCTGTCCTTAACATTTTTTCCTTCATTTCAACTTTGGTGAATCTGACAATTATGTGTCTTGGAGTTGCTCTTCTCGAGGAGTATCTTTGTGGCGTTCTCTGTATTTCCTGAATTTGAATGTTGGCCTGCCTTGCTAGATTGGGGAAGTTTTTCTGGATAATATCCTGCAGAGTGTTTTCCAACTTGATTGCATTCTCCCCATCACGTTCAGGTACACCAATCAGACGTAGATTTGGTCTTTTCACATAGTCCCATATTTCTTGGAGGCTTTGTTAATTTCTCCATATTCTTTTTTCTCTAAACTTCTTTTCTCGCTTCATTTCATTCGTTTTGTCTTCCATCGCCTATACCCTTTCTTCCAGTTGATCACATCAGCTACTGAGGCTTGTGCATTCGTCACGTGGTTCTCATGCCATGGTTTTCAGCTCCATCAGGTCCTTTAAGGACTTCTCTGCATTGGTTATTCTAGTTAGCCATTCGTCTAGTTTTTGTTCAAGGTTTTTAACTTCGTTGCCATTGGTTCAAGCTTCCTCCTTTAGCTTGGAGTAGTTTGATCTTCTGAAGCCTTCTTCTCTCAGCTCATGAAAGTCATTCTCTGTCCAGCTTTGTTCCATTGCTGGTGAGGAGCTGCATTCCTTTGGAGGAGGAGGGGTGCTCTGATTTTTAGAGTTTCCGGTTTTTCTGCTCTGTTGTTTCCCCATCTTTGTGGTTTTATCTACCTTTGGTCTTTGATGATGGTGATGTACAGACGGGTTTTTGGTGTGGATGTCCTTTCTGTTTGTTAGTTTTCCTTCTGACAGTCAGGACCCTCAGCTGCAGGTCTGTTGGAGTTTGCTGGAGGTCCACTCCAGACCCTGTTTGCATGGGTATCAGCAGTGGTGGCTGCAGAACAGCGGATATCGGTGAACCGCAAATGCTGCTGCCAGATTGTTGCTTTGGAAGTTTTGTCTCAGAGGAGTACCCGGCCGTTTGAGGTGTCAGTCCGCCCCTACTGGGGGGTGCCTCCCAGTTAGGCTACTCAGGGGTCAGGGACCCACTTGAGGAGGCAGTCTGCCCTTTCTCAGATCTCAGGCTGTGTGCTGGGAGAACCACTACTCTCTTCAAAACTGTCAGACAGGGACATTTAAATCTGCAGAGGATATTGCTGCCTTTTGTTTGTCTGTGCCCTGCCGCCAGAGTTGGACCCTACAGAAGCAGGCAGGCCTCCTTGAGCTGTGGTGGGCTCCACCCAGTTTGAGCTTCCTGGTCACTTTGTTTACCTGCTGAAGCCTCAGCAATGGCAGGCACCCCTCCCCCAGCCTCGCTGCCACCTTGCAGTTTGATCTCAGTCTGCTGTGCTAGCAATGAGTGAGGCTCTTTGGGCACAGGACCCTCCGAGCCAGGTGTGGGATATAATCTCCTGGTGTGCCGTTTGTTAAGTCGGTTGGAAAAGCGCAGTATTAGGGTGGGAGCGACCTGATTTTCCAGGTGCCGTCTGTCACCCCTTTCCTTGACTAGGAAAGGGACTTCCCTGCCCCCTTGCACTTCCCGGGTGAGGCGATGCCTCTCCCTGCTTCGGCTCATGCACGGTGCACTGCACCCACTGTTCTGCACCCACTGTCTGGCAATCCCCAGTGAGATGAACCGGGTACCTCATTTGGAAATGCAGAAATCACCCGTCTTCTGCGTCGCTCAGGCTGGGAGCTGTAGACTGGAGCTGTTCCTATTTGGCCATCTTGGCTCCACCCCTGAAGTTGTTTCTTAAGCTGTTTGTTTAGGAATCTTTTGGGCTGAGATAATGGGGTTTTCTAGATGTAGGATCATGTCGTCTGCAAACAGGGATAGTTTGACTTCCTGTCTTCCAGTTTGAATGCCCTTTATTTATTTCTCTTGCCTGATTGCCCTGGCCGGAACTTCCAATACTATGTTGAATAGGAGTGGTGAGAAAGGGCATCCTTGTGGCAATTTTCACTGGGAGAATGATTCCAGCTTTTGTCTATTCAGTATGATATTGGCTGTGGGTTAGTTATATATGGCTGTTATTAATTTGAGGTATATTCCTTTAATACCTAGTTTATTGAGAATTTTTAATGTGAATGGATATTGAATTTTATCAAAAGCCTTTTCTGCATCTATTGAGATCATCATGTGGTTTTTGTCTTTAATTCTTTTATATTACCCTCAAGTCCATTTTGTATGGACTCTGATGTCTACTGCTTTCACTGTTGTTGCCCCTTTATGCAGGGCATTAGGTAGTCTGTTTCTTCTTGCCCTCTCTGGTGTTCCTGATGTGCATCTCCTGGTAATATGGGGAGGAAGGATGTGTGTCTTATTATACACACAGTTTAGCATGGCTTTGAGACAACCCATATGAAGGTCAAATGTGAAGAGGCATATGAAGTGCTTTACAAAATACTTAACATACATAAGTAGCCAGTAAATGGTTGCTATGGCTGTTATTAATGAAATGGTTAGAAGACATTCTGCTGCTGAGATATTGATGAGAAATTAGGAAATATTTTCTGCCTTTTTTTTAAGTATGCTTTATATTAGTCATGGGTGTAGAATATTGAGACCAGAAGATGTTTTCATTATTTAATGGGGGTGGGTGTCTTCTTTTGAAACTCATGGAATGAACCTGATTGTCAATATGAGTGAATTGGTAATTTCCAATGAATTGTGCTATGTCTTACAAGAAGGATTACAAAAGTATTCAAAAAGTATTACAAAAGTATTACTCTCTGGTGAAATGTAGTATAAGAAATCCAACTTGCAAGTAAGATATATTTAGAACAAATCCATAGTACAAGAATTACCATTAGTCAGGAAATCTATTTTTAATGTGCATTAGGATGAGGACAAATATTAAGGTAAGAAGTACTTGTACCAGGGAGTGTTAAGAGAAATATTAATATATCCTTTAACTGACCTAGGTTTATTTTTACTTTAGCCATAACCAGTTTTGATTTAGCTTTCCATTTTAAAATTAAAGTGAAGTGCTGTAGTCATTCCCATAAAAAATTTAAACTAAATTTACTATATTTTTTTCATGCAGTTGGTAATTTCAATAATCAAGAATATTGGAAACTAATTTTGGACAGCCTGTTGAGGTGACATGTGAGTGGAATGGAGTTAGAAAGTAGCCACCTTGGAAATTTACCAAATTCAAGTTATCCAACAATAATATAATTGTCTCCAAGAAAAATCAAATACAACACATCCTAAGGAAGGGCCAGAATGTGTCCATTAAAATTGGAATTCTATGACTGGAATTGAGTACCTGAGATTGCAAATGCGCATTTTGGATGTACATATTTAAATTTAGTAATGTGACGATCCTATAAGTTGTAGAACAACTTAGCTCCCTTTTTTATTAAGCAGTATAGCTAATTCATAATTGTAATTAAATAAATCATCTGATGAAGGCTTTTTATACTAAGATTTATTTGGACCGTTTCTATTACTAATCGTAGTTAGCACTTATTGAGTGCTTATATGCCAAGTACTGTTTTAAGTTTTTTGCACGTAATAATTAACTTAACGTTCCTAATGATCCTATAAGGAAGGCACTATTGTTTTACAGATGAGACGAGTAAGGCACAGAAAGTTTAAGTAACAGTAACTTGCCTAAAGCCACACAGCAAGCAAGTGTTAAAGGTCGGATACAAATCCAAGTAGTCTGGCTTCAGGCTCTGTGTTCTTAACCACTGTTATAAATAGTCAATCCCTGAACAAAATGGGTTTGAACTGTGAGGTCTACTTACATGTGGAGTTTTTTCAATAAAAGTTATGCCAAGTGTGCCTGTGCCTCTTGCTTCCCCTTTCACTTCCTCCACCTCCTCTGCCTCTGTCACCCCAGAGACTGAAAGACAGATCCCTCCTCTTCCTCTACCTCTTCAGCCTACTTAACACGAAGACGAGGATGAAGCCTTTGTGATGATGCATTTCCACTTGATGAATAGTAAACATATTTTCTCTTCCTTATGATTTTCGTTTTTTCAGATTAAAATTTATTTATGATCTTACGGCCACTTTGCAAAAACAGTTGTGAAACAATAAATTGGTTTATTACTTAATATGGGGTGTGAAATTGTAACAAGGCATAACATCCAAGTGACTAAAAGTTCTTTACTTAGTTTATTGATTAGGTTGATTGTGACTTCTACTTCTCTCTGTAAGATATTAAAACCATACTGCCTGTTTAGATTTGGTTCTTATCCATGGCCTTATTGGTCTTAATTGTCCTGTGTGTTGCAATTCCGGGTTTGCAATTTGGTTAAGTTTTTTTGGAAAAGTTATGATTTTCTTAATAACATTTACTTTTCTCTAGCTTACTTTAGTATAATAATATAATACATGTAACATACAAAATATGTATTATTTTACTGTTTATGGCATTGGTACGCCTTCTAGTCAACAGTAGGCGATTAGTAGTTAAGTTTTGGAGAAGCCAAAAGTTATACATGGGTTTTTAACTGTGTGGGGGTTGGCGTCCCTAACCCCACATTTTTCAAGGGTCAACTGTACTCATTCTTATTTTTGCCAATGTTTTTTTCTTACTGACTTTGCTAGTTGATAAGAATAAGCTGCCTATATGTCTTACCATCTATAAATCCTCATTTTAAAAACATTTCTTCTTATGAAACAATTCTTTTTTTTATTATTATTTTTAGTAGAAATGGGGTTTCACCGTGTTAGTTAGGATGGTCTCAATGTCCTGACCTCATGAACCACCCTCCTCGGCCTCCCAAAGTGCTGCTTATCAAACTTAATTCTATGATTCAAACACAACAGTCTTGCTAATACTCCAAATTCTCTTTCCCCTCTGTCTTTTGCATCTGGCAAAGCCTCATTCCTAATGAGCCCAAGTATTTGTTTCTTTGGTATTTACTCCATAACAACCAAGAACAGCTGGACAAAGTTACACAGTAGAGCAAATGTTTCTACTGTGTAGTAGATATCACCAACCTCAGGCGAGTGTTACATGCTGCCTTCGCGGTATGTCTCTGATCAACTTACTCTCTCATTTAGAGTGGCCTTTGCAAACTCTGGCCAATTGTGTTTTTCAAAAAACACATAGAACAATATCCTACTAACTGGTAAAACAATGTGAGTTTGCTGTTTCTTTTATTAGAGTGCTGAGGTCTATGTTACCTTGTTACTTAAGAAGTGGCATTCAAGGAAGTCATAAAAGGTGGTACGGTTTTCACCTGGTTCTCTTGGGAGGCTTTCTTCTACAACCCATGTACCATGCTATAACAAAGCCCAAGCAGCCTCCTGGAAAGCCTCCAGACACATGTAGATGTTTGCTATGGGCTGAATGTTTGCATTTCCTCCAAATTCATATGTTGAAATCCCAACCCGTAATATGATGGTATTAGGGGGGTAGGGCCTTTTGGAGGTGATTAGATCATGAAGGTGGAACCCTGATGAATGAGATCAGTGCCCTTTTAAGAGACATAGGAGCTTCTGCACATTCCATCTCTGTCTGCCCTCCACTATTTGAGGATACAAATAGAAGCTGGCTATCTGTAAACCAGGAATTGGTCCCTCATCAGACAGCGGATCTGCCAGCAGCTTAATCTTAGACTTTCCAGCCTCCAGAATTGTAAGAAATAAATTTCTGTTAAGCCATCTAGTCTATAGTATTTTGCGATAGCAGCCCAAACTAAGATATTTCATTCAATTGCCTCAGCTGAGATCCTAAACAATAGCCAGTACCACTCTCCAGATATGTGAGAGAGTGAACTTTCAGATGATTTCAGGCCCTAACCTACTACCAGCCTTCACATCTTCTCAGCTGAGGTCATAGACATTGTGGAGTAGAAATAAGCCATCCCTGGTGTGCCATATTCGTATTCTGACACATAGAATTTTAAATAATAGTAAAATGGTTATTATTTTATGCTACCAAGTTTGATTTGTTATACAGGATTAATAATAGTAACTGAAATACCTTCTCAATTGTTTTTTAAACTTCTCTCTCCTCACTTGGAGCATGTAATCTTACCATCAACTTCAGAGCAAATAGAAGTGATCAGATGAGAATGCCTTTTTATTTTCACTAACAAACATACTAACTTACCTGTATATACACTCATTCTGTTCTTCTTTTTGTCTGATATTTTAGAAGAGTAGTTTATCCTACTTAAGGCTAATAATCTCTACTTGTTCTATGTAACCTGTACCATCTTGCCAATAAACTAGAAAGAGTTACTATCTGTTTTGTTATATTTTGACCTCTTCCCTTTGAAGTGGACCTGCCCCATTTCAAAAAGTATTGAGGTATAATTGAAGTAGATAAACCCAGATATGAAAATGTACAAACTGATTGGTTTTGACTTATGCATTCACCTGAGAAACCATCACCACAATCAAGACAGTGAATATTTAACCCCAAAAGTTTCCTAATGCCCATTTGCAGCCCATCCCATACTTTTCAAGCAACCACTGAACTTCTTTCTGTCACTACAGATCAATGTGTAAGTTTTAGAAGTTTATATAAAGGGTATCATGCAGTAGGTACTCTTACCTGGGCTCTTTTATTTAGCATATTGATTTTCAGATTCATTCATGTGATTGCAAGTATCAGTTGCTGTTTACTTTTTATTGCGAGTAGCATGTGAGTAGTATACCATTGTATAGCTAGTTTCTGATTTATATTCACTTGTTGATGGGCTTTTGTGTTGTTTCTAGTTTTTTTAAGTTTTAAATATATGTAGCATTATATATGTGTGTATATAGATATATAATCATATATATGTGGATATATATACACACACACACACACACACACACACAACATCTAGGTAGTATGATAAATACACACACATATACAAGTCTGGTTATGGGTTTTCTATTTAGTTTCCATAGGATATTTATCATTCTCTGTGCTAATACCATGTTTTACTTTAATAAGACAAGTTCCCTGTCTTTAATTAAATACTTCAAAATAGAGCTATTTTTGCCTAAAAGACGCTACTTTATCTCCTCAATTTATAAATCTCCGGTTGGTTAAGCATTTCTTCCAATGACTAAGCCAACTTTGTCCTTGACAAATCATAAGCCTGTTTCTCAAGGCTAATATTCTTCATGAAGAATAGGCATTAGTTATGTCAGCTTGCTAGTATTAGAGTCATTTGCAGTAAATTTTGTTGAGAACAAGCTAAAAATATTTATAGTTTTTATTTATATTTTCTTTCTATTTTATTATATGGTCAGGATATTTTACTGGCTAAGCTCTCCGTTCTCAGTGTCAGTGGATTGGCACAATGACATGTTGTGGTCTGTTCTGCAGCGTGTAGCAAAACCATTTCTTGTCCTAACACTTGCTGAAATTATGCCAAATATTTTATCTTAATTATTAATGATATATGGCTAGTGGATCCAAGAATTCTGGCCTTCTAGACCTCCATTATCTCTCCTCATTCACAAAAAGATTCCCAAGGAAGGTGTTTCTCTATGTATAATATGGTTTGGCTCTGTGTCCCCACCCAAATCTCATGTTGAATTGTGATCCCACGTATTGGAGGTAGGGCCTGGTGGGAGGTGACTGGATCATGGGGACAGATTCTGCCCTTGCTGTTCTAATGATAGTGAGTGAGTTCTCACAAGATCTGGTTGTTTGAAAGTGTGTAGCATTTCCCCCTTTACTCTCTCTCCTTCTCTGTCATGGTAAGATATGCTTGCTTCTCCTTCACCTTCTGCCATGATTTTAAGTTTCCTGAGGCCTTCCAGCCCTGCTTCCTGTACAGCCTGCAGAACTGTGAGTCAATTAAACCTCTTTTCTTCATAAATTACCCAGTCTTAGATAGTTCTTTAGAGTAGTGTTGGAATGGACTAGTAAAAGATACAAGGAACAATGTCAATGTCAAATGGGAGCTTCTCATTGTAACCTAGTTCACTTGGCTTGGAAGACAAGGCCAACCCAAAGGCTATTGGAGGGAAGTCTGTAGCTCTATCAGACAAAATTCTAAGACAACATGGAAGAGTAAGAGTCAGAGTGGGAGAGAGTGGTACAGGACATATGAAAAAGAATGCTGAATTTCCCATAAGAAAAAAGACATTCTGGCTGCAAAGGATGAAGCAGAGACAAGTGGGAGAAATAAATAGACATATTCTGGGGATTAGTTCCTGGAACTTTTATCTCCTCTGCAGTTTAGATACCAGACAGGAAGAATGCGACAGAGCCGTTATTATGTGCTCCATCTTTTAATGTACTGTAACCTCTTGGTTGTAGTATGGCTCAGTATGAGTTTTGGAATCTGACAGGTCAGTTTCATGTGCACCCCTTTTGGTGAGAAGTGAGGTAGAAAGAGATGTTGAACAAGGACATAGATGTTTGTTTTTCCCCTATTCTGGAAACAGTTGGGATAAGTTACAGAAGCTTAATATAGATTCCAGGTTACTGATGTATTTAGAGAACTGAGTATTTAATATGTCAGAGAGGAGATAAGGACTGATGAAAATGTTTCAGAGAAGATGGTAATTTTGAGCAGTGTGAAATAGGAATATAATTTAGGCCCCCTTCTTATTATCCAGCACCTTAGTGAATTACTTGAATTATTTCTAGATTGGTTTGATGCACACCTTCCTGCTATTGTAAATGGAAAGATGATTCTTCTTCTTCCCTACTTAGTATGTTATATTGTCACTAGGAATAATCTCAATAGATAATTGATTGTCATTCAATAATTATCAAAAACTGTTGCTAGGAATAACCTCAACAGATAATTGATTGCTACTTAATAATTGTCAAAAATTTTGGCTTGAGCTCAACTGTCCTACTCCGAAAGCATCATTTTTGGCCATATTCTTCATTACATAATTAACTTATATGTAACACTCTTACAGAGCAGGTCCAATCATTCATTTACCTCACAATATATTTTACAACTAAATGATTTTTAAGGATTTGCTAAGAAGCTGTTGTGCATAAATAAGATCCTATATGGGTTTTATTGAGATTTTATTAAGGCAATAGTGGCATAATGTTAATGACTAGTAAAATTTTTTTCATAAAATTACTTTGGTTATGCTTTGTGGTGGGGAACACTGCACATCATTTAATCTATGTGCTGGAATAGACCAGAAATTTTTTCAAAGGAAAAGCTTTACCCTATCTGCACATACCTATGCATCACACCTCCACATGAAGTTGGGGCCGCCATGTTTTCCTGCACACAGTAAACACATTTTCCTAGGAGGATGACAGCAATATCCAACTTTCCATATGTTGAAAGTTGAAAATTATGGCTCGTCTCTCAATTGATAGCCTTAAATATTTGTACTCAGTTTCAGAGTATACAAATTTAAAATCTGTCTCTCAATTTTTTTCCAAAAACCTAGTCATTTACCTATGTTTGTATCTCCTTTTAAGCTTTATATATCTTTCAGTGCCCTAAACTACATTCTTGAATTCAGTCAGACCTTTAGAAACCAGCTTACCTGGACTACATCATTGTTCCCTTTTTAAGAAATCCACCAAAAACCAACACATTTCTCCATTATCTCAAGCTATGCTTTTCCTCAGAATTAATTCTTTTTTATCATATAGGTACTGTGAGTGTATTTCACTTTTGGCTTCAGTCTGGGAGGCTCAAAATTATATTTGTTAGCCAGCTTTAACAATTGAATAGGACTTGTGGTCTGACTTTTGAATACTGATCCTGACTCTCTATCTTTCCATTCTGATGTTCCACTGTTTTCTAATTTTTCATTTTTAAAATTTAATATTCTTATATTGTATGCATCAATGACCATGTCTAAAAGTACCAAAGTAAAAGCCATTTTTAGGAAGGAAGTATGCATTCTAGTAGCTTTGTCTTCAACTTGGAGGCCACATTAGATATTAAAAAATAATAACAACATAAAAGAAAACCTTTGCAGTTCTCTTAAATATGACACATACCTCATAGGTAACATGCCTTCTGAGTTGGAGGAGAAGCACTCAAATAGTTGATACTTCAGTTGTTTCTCATTGCCTTGCAAAATATCAATATTGTTCCTTTGGCTAAAACATTTTAGAAAATCAGTGGAGAAATTTAATGAGTTTTACTAATTATTCGATTAATATTTCTTTTCAATACAGCACTCCATTTCTCCTTCACCTCTCCTGCTCCTTGGGAGCAGAACACAGACCCACAGTATATGTTTAGGACTTATCGCTCTCCTTATAGCATGTATGGGCATACACTAGTCCCTCGTTAAGGACTTTCCTCTCTAAACTTTGAACTTATTTAAAATTGTGGAATTCCAGAGCCTCGCTTTTCTTATATGCTTTTTTTTTTTGAGAACTGTGTTCTCTCCACCTTCATATTTTTCCCTTGATGCCTAACCCTAATTTTGAATGAATACCCTGAGGGCTACTCACTAATGATTTTTCATGCTAACTATAAATGTGCTCTTTGACCTGTGGAATGTCATTTTATGGCTGCTTTACCATGTCTTTGTGACTTTGCACTCATGTAGCCTGAAAGTGAACTAAATTGTGTGTGTGAGGAAGGTGTGAACTTATCAGTATAATTATCCCAGTTTTCAGGGTGTATAGTATGGAGCCCTCTTGTTGTGATAAAGCAGTGAAGATGAAAAAGATGGAATGTGCTCTGGGTTTTAGGAACTCAGGAAACATTATTGATCCTATAATGCTTCTAAGCTTGACCAAGGGAAGGGAAGTTTCTACAAACCTATTGAAGATAAGCCTTTGGAGATGACCATATATAGTTTCTCCAGTTGATTCTCAATTTCGTACAACCCTCACTTTCATCCCAACCTACCAGTTTACACCACAAAGTGAACTACCAGCACCACTTGTTAATTCAACAAATATTTATTTGGTGCTTATTATGGGCAAAGTATCATGCAAAGCACTTAATAAATATTAACAAAGAAGGTAGGAAGATTGGTTTCATTTCTAGGGTTTTTACCTTATTTTTTGAAATTCTAAGAATTATACTATTACCTGTTAAGCCAATATCTCCATCCATTCCAGCCTTCTCATCCCTCACCAACTTACCAACTTACGTATTTTCTCACCTCTATTTTAGCTATCACTGGGATGTTCACAAGTTCTTAACAATTAGAGAATTACCTTGTCTTTCTGGAAATTAGAAAACATTTACTGTGTGTGGGAGAGTTATACTGCATCATGGAAGCTTTCAAGTGGGAAAATATAAGGAGATAACACATATTTAGTTATATATATATTATAGTTTATATAACATATATATCCCATATATTATAATATATAATATATATTATGTTGTTTTGATTTGCATTTCTCTGATGATCAGTGATGCTGAGCACCTTTTCATATGCCTGTTTGACACTTGTATGTCTTTTGAGAAATGTCTATTCAGATCTTTTGCCTGTTTTTTAATCAAATATTAGATTTTTTTCTGTAGAGTTGAGTTCTTTATATATTCTGGTTATTAATACCTTGTCAGATGGGCAGTTTGCAAATATTTTATCTTATTCTGTGGGTTGTCTCTTCACTTTGTTGATTGTTTCCTTTGATATGCAGAAGCTTTTTAACTTGATATGATCCCGTTTGTCCATTTCTGCTTTGGTTGCCAGTGCTTGTGGGGTATTACTCCAGAAATCTTTGCCCAGACCAATGTCCTGGAGATTTTCCTCAATATTTTCTTTCAGGAGTTTTGTAGTTTGAGGTCTTAGATGTACATCTTTAATTCATTTTTATTTAATTTTTGTATATGGCAAGAGATAGGGGCCTAGTTTCTTCTGCATAAGAATATCAAGTTTTCCCAGTGCTATTTATTGAAGAAACTGTCTTTTCCCCAACATATGTTGTTGGCACCTTTGTAAAAAATGAGTTCACGGTAGGTGTATGAATTTGTTTCAGGGTTCTCTATTCGGTTCCATTGATCTATGTGTCTGTTTTTATGACAGTGCCATGCTGTTTTGTTTACTGTAGCTCTGTAGTATAATTTGAAGTCAGGTAATGTGATTTCTCTGGTTTTGTTCTTTTTTGTTCAGGATAGCTTTGGCTATTCTGGTGGGTTTTTTGTTTTTGTTTTGTTTGTGTGTGTGTGTGTGTGTGTGTGTGTGTGTGTGTGTGTGTGTGATTCCCCATACAAATTGTAGAATTGTTTTTTCTATTCCTGTGAAGAATGTCATTGGTATTTTGATAGAGATTACATTGAATCTGTAGATTACTTTGGGTAGTAGGAGCATTTTAACAATATTGATTCTTCCAATTCATGAACATAGAATATCTTTCCATTTTTTGGTGTCCTCTTTAATTTTTTTCATCAGCGTTTTGTATTTTTCATTGTATAAATCCTTTAGTTCTTTTGTTAATTCCTACATATTTAATTTTATTTGTGGCTATTGTAACATTTGATGTTATAGAATATTTTTACTATATTATTTTTATTTTTCATCAATCATCATGTCTAAAAGTAACAAAGCAGAAAATGTCTAAGAAAATCATTAGTGATACTAGCACTGAGATGGCAGATTCACTAAAAATTTAGTTATAAAATAATGTTTTTTATTTTAATTTTTACTTTTTTTTGCACTCAACCTCCAAGCATGCTTTTTATTTTAACTTTTCTGAAATGTCACCATGACAAAGTATGATAATGAAAGAGCCTTTACATGTCTAATTTTCACAAATAAATTCTAAATGAGTATGTTTCCCCCAAAGTACCTTTTTAGTTAAATATTTCTTACAATGCAAACATTATTCTCAAACTCTTCAAGTGGCTCAGAATTATTTCAGTTGAAGTAAAACGATCAAAAACAAAATGAATTTAGAAAACCCAAGGACAGCTGTCAAATTTTGTCCCCCAGTATAACCAACTGGGTAGTTGTCATGGCTTCATAAGATACATGAACCCTGCTGGAGACAGTGATATCTTAGAAAACAACGCAGAAAGTGTTTCTGAAGAATTGCCTCCCATAGTAAGTTTGCTTTCTGACTAAGCAGTGACACAAACAGACCTACTGCAGATGGATAATGGTTGCCTTATAGAATTTGGCATTAGTCTAGACAAGAGCATTTAGAGTAGATTATGGAAACTGACCTGCCCATTATCTCATTTTATGTTTGGAAACCCTAAGTTTTCTTGTATTTCTTACTTCACTTCTGAACTGACCTTTGCCTGAAATGGAAGATCCTCTATCATGCAAGACTGGAAGAATTTATTCTGTGTTGCATGTCCTTTGATGTATATTTCAAAGATTTCAGCTATATCCAGTCATGCTGCGTTTGCTCAGGTGCAATGAAAAACCTCTGTGTTTGGCATACCCTTGTAGGTGAATTTGTATATTTCCCTTCTCGATAAAACAGGATGTCATGAAATTTAATTCCTGATTAATTCCAAAAGGCCTGCTTCCTCAGGTATGGATTAAAATATATTCTATCCTTGGGATAATTTTGGCTGCCCCAGCAGCTGCCAAATATAAATTAAATGAACTGGATTTTCTGTCCAAGACAAGGCAGGAAATAGGAAATTATCATTTGAGCCCTTAGTATATGTGAAACCAAAGCTGCCCCCAATGGGCTGTGTGAGTTGTGCTGTGTCCTCCCTTCAGGAAATAACTAAAATCCTCAAGAAATAATTAAAATCTTTAGTCCCTCCAACACTGCATCGCTTTTAACCACTGATACTATTTATTTGCTGGGCTGTTTTCTTTTTATTCTCAGCATGTTATGACAGTTTGGGCTTGTTTAGCAAGAGGTAGTTATAAGCTGTGGTTTCAGAAATGTTTTTCTAAAAAGATTAGAATGATTAATACTGTAATGTTAACAATTGCTATCTCTTTAGGCTAGGATTATGAGGAATTCTTAGATTTGGTATTATTCTCACACATAAAATGTTATAACTTGCCACGTATATGTATTACAAAGTTTCTTACTAAGGATTGGCATCTGTTGCTGCCAATAACTATATATAAAGACTTTGAATTTCTGCAACATTAAGTTGTGCTCTTTCTAGGCATAGGTAAATTTGATTCCGCCCTTTAAAATAATGTACTCATAAATTTCTGAATAGACTCTTGTGCATCAGGTGTACATGTCAAAGGTAAATAACATTTATAATCACATATGGTGGGATCTGCATCACTTTGAAAGGATGAAACTTTTGTTGATATACTCAAAGAGAAAGGCCTGATAGTATTATTTTTATGCTGAAGATCCTGAAAAAAACAGGTATAGTTCTGTAGGTGAAATAATTTCTGAAATTCTAATAGTGACTGAAGGAGGGAGATGTAAAGTATAGGCACACTCAAGGACACATTTTACAGGGAGAAAATAGACACTTTGCACAAAAATTCAGGTAATAAATGACCAAAAATGAAATTAAATCTATGAAATATTTTAATTCTTTTGTGACTTAATGTAGCCCATAAACTAGTTGCAATTGCACTTTAGTTGAATTGCTGTATAATTTGCCATTTTGCCAGAGTTATTGTAAAAAATGAAAAGAATTTGATATTCATAATGTTCTACATCAATTCTGAAATGACTTGCAAGCTTTATCTCCTGAAAACAGTAAATTTCAAAGGCAATTGCTATACAGTTATTTCTTAGGTTAATATAGTATTCACATACATATTTCTTATTGGAGATAATTACATTTCATGTGCAATTGTTTTCTTTTTTGTTGTTGCCTGATAATTTCTCAAATCACTTTTCTTTGCTACTGTAGACCAGTGTTTCTTGACCTCAGCACTGATGACATTTTCAGCTGGATAATTCTTTGTTGTTGGGCCTGTCATGTGTAATGCAGAATCTTTAGCAGCATCCATGTTCCTTAACCACACGATGCCAGTGCACCCTTTCCCAAGTGTGGCAACCAAAAATGTCTTCAAACTTTGCCAAATGTCCCCTGGAGGGAAAATTGATCCTGGTTGAGAATCACCTCAGACAAAGCTATAACAACGCTTATAATCATAAGTTTTTTTTTGGTATTTCATCCTTAGTTCTTTGTTTTTGGGGAAAATAATCTGTTATTCATGTCAAATTCAGTGATATATTAAGCCTGCTTTTCCCAGGGTTCAAAAGACTTTGGCTCTGTAAGGCTGAACATCTAAGTTTATAAAACATTTTATTCATGGGCTAGAGTTGCTCAAATACTTTACATTCTAATATCACTAAGAAAACATCACAAGAATGACTGAGAGGAATGGAGTTGTTTTTGATGATGCATTAATAAGGAATGCTATTATCATTATTACTAGAAGCCATTAGTCACTAGTCATGACTTTCATGCAGATATAAAATAAACACATGTCAAAGGTGTTCTTCTACACATTTATTAATGAGGGTACCAGTAAGATGTTAAACTAATCCAAAGAGCATTTGAGAAGCTAGGTATTCATAAGCAATTTAATAAAGGGATATTAGATACAGAACTGGTTAATGTTTTATGAGGGCGATGAATAATAACTTTTGGAGATTTATTTTTTCACCAAACAAATATTATTTGCATCTCTACAAGATAAAAATATGTAAGTTAATATAGAACTTTACCTAGTCTCTCTCTCTCTCTCCAGTGTGCAACCTCTTCTTTACTTCCTTTTTCTTTTTAAAGGAGGAACAGTTTTTTTTTAAACCATAACTCTCTTCTCATGTCTGAAAAACTCTTAGAGTAAATGGTCTACAATCACTTCATTCATTTTCCACACCCTAAAGTCAGGCATCCAACATTTTCAAATTATTAAATATAAGATATCAAGTGTTGGATAATAACAGCAACATTGCTAATATGCTGGTTTTTTTTTTTTTTGAAACGGAGTCTCGCTCTGTCGCCCAGGCTGGAGTGCAGTGGCGCGATCTCGGCTCACTGCAAGCTCCGCCTCCCGGGATCACGCCATTCTCCTGCCTCAGCCTCCTGAGTAGCTGGGACTACAGGAGCCCGCCACCGCGCCCGGCTAATGTTTTGTATTTTTAGTAGAGACGGGGTTTCACCGTGTTAGCCAGGATGGTCTCGATCTCCTGACCTCGTGATCCACCCGCCTTGGCCTCCCAAAGTGCTGGGATTACAGGAGTGGGCCACGGCACCCAGCTAATATGCTGTTTTGTATGTATGTCACACATCACAAGTAAATTTATATGTATTCTATATATCCATATATATATATATTTTTTCCATTAGCCTTGGGGGACTTGTGAAATTATTTCATACAGTTGTTGGTGACCTAAGGTAAAATTTGCTAAGTTAATTATGAAATACACCATACAAAACATTAACATAGTTCCTGAAACAGATATTTAATAAATATATTAACAATAATAATAATTACAGCATTTTTATAGAGTACTTTAATTAAAATTGTGCTAACTGTGAAAATCTAGAATAACTTTGAAAGTTAAAGTATGAGGTAATTAATCAAGGCATTGCAATCCTAGTATTCTGTTTTAAATTTAATTTAAGACATTATCTTCTCAGTTAAGGAAAAGAGGAAAGACAAGAAAAGGAAACAAACCATTTTGATCAATTAGACATCGGATTAAATCAAATAAAAATAAAAATAGATTTGAGGTCTTTGTAAAACAGCATATGTTAAGACCCAAATTCAGAAACCTGTGTTACGCCTGTCTTAAGTTTGAGTGCCTTGTAATTTTATCATATGACATTGTTTTTAATTTAGTCATGAAAGACAATGAACGTCTTCTTAAATGTGATATCTTTTTGTATTCTTCCTATTCACTGCCTATTCCTTTCCACCAAGGAAGAAAATGAAGATAATAAAACATGCTGAGATAAATCAGTAAAATGTTTTTTACATTTTCATCAGTAATTAAATAAGAAATGTATAGACTTCCCACTGCATGTGTATTCTGACTTCTATAAAGGCTCAGCTTTTCCCATAACTTAAAAAATATAATAAATAAATGGAAGGTGGCCAAATGAGAGTTCCATAAACTGCCATCTGGCAGTTCCTTTCCACTTTGATCTGATTTACTTCATCTGGTGGTAGAATGTGTCCATCTGAAGATAAATTCACACACAGCTCAGCTATGTAATTATATTACATTTCAGGAAAAACTGTATGTGGTCAAGCTTGTTAAAGATAGTCAGTTTCTATGGAAGTACACACATTTTCAAAGCTGTTGGAAGATTATCAGAAACTGTAGGTGACAAATTCCAGATAGAATTACCCATTCCCTCTCCAAAGCCTGATCTCTGTTTATTTCCCTTGCAATAGGAACCTCTACAATGCATAATTTTCCCACTTCAATTCATTTAGCCTTTTAGTGGGGCTCCTCTTCATTTTATGTAACACTATTCTTTTGATATTTTTAAGTGCTTCTGTTTAACACTTCCAAGAATAAAGCAGTTAATTTCCCATTGCATTTTATCTCACTCTAAAATTAAGGTTAGTCATAGAGTTAGGGTTTCATTTGTCATTTTGCTAAGGAGGCCGGATCATGTGAATGTATTCAGTTTAAATTGCACTTTGATGTCTGGGTTGACATATTTTCTCAGTTAAGAGCAGAAATACCTGGCAAGTAAATTAGCTTTCCTGTGACCTTCAGTCTTTTCTTAATCTGTTTGTAGTTTAAGAGGGAATATGAATATGGTCTAGCCCCTGGAGACTTTGAATGCAAAGACATTAGCATCTGTAGGCTTTTTGAGATCCCTCCAAGACAGAATTCATTTGGTGGAACATAAACTTGGGGAACTGTATTAGTTACCCATTGCTATGTGACAAATTGGGCCCAAACTCATCAGTTTAAAAACAAGTATTTATTTATTATCTCACAGTTCTTGATGGTCAGCAATATGGATATGGCTTAACTAAATGGTTCCAGCTCAGATTCTCTCCCAACGTTTAATTAAGCTGTAGGCTGGAGCTGCAGTCATCTCAAGGCTTACAGAGCTACAAAATTTATTTGTAAGCTCACTCAAGTGATTGTTGTCACACCTCTGTTCATGCTGGCTTTGGCTGGAGGCTTCAGTTCCTTTCCACATGTGCTTCTCCGTAGGGCTGATCACAGCCTGGGAGCTTGCTTTCCCCAGAGTGATATAAGAGAAAGAAAGGAGAGAACAAGAGTACCTCCACTTTTCCTCCTCATTGTGCTTTCAATCAAAGGTTATTATCTCCATTTAGAAAGTAGAGGCACAGGGTCAAGAACAAGCCTAAGGTCACTGAGCCAGTCAGTAGGTAAAGAGCCCATGCTCCTTTCATTATACTCTCCTTTTCTTATCTTGGGAAACTTCCCTGTCTACTTTTAGACAGTGTTTGGACTTCTGAAAGAAAATGTCAAACTTTTTTTTTTCTAAAGCTTTCTTTGGTTTATTTTTACCTCTCCAGGCACAATCATCACTCCCACAGCAACACTAGCCACCCATTTCCTCACAGTAGAGCGTTTAAAACCTTAAAATAAGACTCAGCCATATAGTAGTTTTTAAATTTTTCGTCTTAATTAAACACATTTTTGAAATCAAATACCGCATTCTCACACCGTGATAGAGACTATGCAAAGAATAGAAAGTATGGATATTATCTTCAAGAAGCTTAAAATATTTAGAGAAATAAAACACAAGAAACATTTACAGCCACTTATCTTTATTTTATTAATCCTAGATTTTTCCCCCTTTGCTTCAACCTATTAAATGTATTTTTAAAGAAAATTGAACATGACTTCTATAGGTCAAGGGATATTGGCCATATGTCTTTTCCCTGAAGCACGAGGGTGGGTGCACTCTGTGGACAAATATAACAAGACAAAACGGATTATAAGTTAAACGTTCAATAATGAGTGGTAAGACAGTTTGAGTTGACAAATTCTTCATACTTGGGCTATGGTTCCTACCTCCAAAATCCATATAGACATTTTTTTTTCTTTGAATCTCAATTTGAGCTCGTGATCTTCTCTACCCAGAACTTCAGTCACTACTACCGAGTCTCATTTTGTACACAACTGAAATTACTGTATTTAAGACTTGTTTTATACCCTTATTGTCACAATTACAGTTAGCAATACATTTCAGACAATATTTATAACCCTAACAATTATATTCTTCCTTAAATTTCTTGCCTCTGTGTTTATAGTTAACACTATAAAAGTGCTGAATTTTGAGGGCTTTGCTTTTAATCAACTTCTTGTGTTATTTTAATAATACTTTTAAAAGAAAAATATAAGAATTCTAATCTTTTAAATAAAAGCCATTCTATGCAAAAATACTTTTTATTATCTATTATTATATTAATGTCAAAGAATAATTTGGCTATCTATACATATATATGTATGTAGATACTGGCATACCTTGTTTAATTGCCACTTGCTTTATGAGCTTTGTAGATACTGCAACTGAGGGTTTGTGACAATTCTGTGTCAAACCACCCAAACCCCTAATACAATACAGACTATAGCCATCACTGCAAAAAGTTCCCTCAGCCCCCTTCCTAGTCAACTTTCTCACAAACTCCTCAGAGACAACCACTGATCTGATTTTGTCTTACTATTTCTGCCTGTTCTAGAACTTCATATCAAATGGGTCATACAATTATCTACTCTTTTGTATAATGCTTCTTTCATTCAGCATAATGTTTTTAAGATTCAGACATATGTTGTTACATGTATGAGTAGTTGGTTCTTTTTTATTCTTAAGTAGTATTTCATCATGTATATTTATGTTTATCTAATTTCTTATTAAGAGCTACCTTGGCTGTTTCCATTTTGGTTTTTGTGAATAAAGTTGTTATGAATACTCTCATGCAAGTATTTTTGTGGACATGTGCTTTCTTTTCTCTTAAGTACCTAGTACTGAAATTGCTTGGTCATAGGGTAGATGTAGGTTTAGTTTTCCAGAAAATGCCAACCATTTTTCCAAAGTGGTTGCATCATTTTTATGAGAGTTCAAGTGATCTACTTTCTTGCCAGTGTTTGTTCTCGTGAGTCTTTAATTTTAGCCATTCTGTTTTGTATGTGTAGTATCACCTTGTGGTTTTAATGTGCATTTCACTGATGGATAAATATATTGAATAGTTTTTAATGTGCTTATTGGCAATGCATATGTCTTACTTTGTGAAGTGTTTTCAAATACTTTGCTGTTATTTTTTGGATTGGTTATATTCTCATTACTGAATTATGAGTTCTTTCACATTCTGGACAGCAGATATTTGCCCATTAATTTCTCCTTGTATTGAATATGTGGGTATTCATTTTCCTAATGATATATTTTTTAGTCAAAGTTTTAAATTTTAATAAAGTCTAATTTATCAATTTTTTTATTTTGTGATTGTTGTTTTCTGTTTCCTGTGTTGCAAAGGTACTCTTTTATGTTTGCTTCGAAATATTTTTATAATTTTGGCTCTTATGTTTAGATCTATGTCCATGTCAAATTAATTTTTGTGGGCAGGGTGTGGTGTCTCACGCCTGTAATCCCAGCACTTTGGGAGGCTGAGGTGGGCAGATCACCTGAGGTCAGGAGTTCGAGACCAGCCTGGCCATGGTGAAACCCCGTCTCTACTAAAAATACAAAAATTAGCCCAGCGTTGTGGCGCACGCCTGTAGTCCCAACTACTAGGGAGGCCAAGGCAGGAGGGTCACTTGAACCCGGGAGGTGGAGATTGCAGTGAGCAGAGATCAAACCACTGCACTTCAGCCTGGGCAACAGAGGGAGAAGCTGTGTCAAAAAAAAAAATTAATTTTTGTGTATGTAAGGTGTGGGTTAGATTTGATATTTTTAAAAATATGGATATCCATTTATTTCAGGACTCTTTACTGAAAACTCTTTTCTTCCTGCATTAAATTACTTTGGATTCATTGCAGAAACTCAAATGACTTTAGAATTATCAATCTACTTCTGAGTTCTCTACTTTGATCTAGTAGAAACTTCTGAGTTTCTCTACTTCTTTGTTTCATTGATCTAGTTGTTGATCCTGCCTGCTGATATGTCTTTATTACTCTAGCTTTATAGTAAGCCTGAAAATTAGGTAGTGTAAGTCCTTGAACCTTATCTTTTAAAATGTGGATATGAGATGTATTTTTTTCATATTTCCATATAAAATTCAGAATCATGTCTTCAGTTTCACAAAAATAACTGAAAATTATCATGGGGATTTCATTGACTTCATAGAGAGGTAATTACATCTTAACAATATTGAGCCTTCCAACCACTAACATTATATATTTTTTCATGTATTTATGGTTACCTGAATTTCTTTCAGCCATCTTTGGTGGTTTTTAGTATAGAGGATTTTTGTGATCTCTCCTAAACCTATTTCTAAATATTGTATGTGTTTTTGCACAATTGTAAGTAGAACTATTTTTCTAATTTCATATTCCAACTGTTAGCTGCAAATATGTAACAATACAACTTATTTTTATATATTAGCCTTGTATCTTCCAAATTTGCTAAATTCATCAATTGGTTTCTAGTTTTTATATTCTATAGATTTTTCTATGTGAACAATTATATCATTTGCATATAGTGATAGTTTTACTTCTTTATTTCTGTTTGCTTGCATTTCATTATTTTTTCTTATTTTATTGCAATGGCTACAATTTCAGCACAATGTTGAATAGAAGTTTTGAGAGTGAATATCATTACCTTTTTTCACAACATAGGGGAAAGCATTAATATGTCATCATTAAATAAAATGTTAGCTGTAGATTTTTTATAGATGTCTTAATCAGATTGAGGAGAGGAACTTACTTTCTGTTCCTGGCTTGTCGAGAGGATTTTATTTTTAATCATGAACAGATGCTGAATTTGGTAAAATATTTTTATTCATCTATTGAAATGATCATGAAGCTTTTATTCTTTATAATCTTAATAGAGTGAATCACATTGATTTATTTTTAAGTGTTACATCCATCTGGCATTTCTGGAATAAACCTCACTTGGCATGAAATCTTATCATTTTTATGTATGCTAATATCTTAAAGACTTTTTCTTCCTAAGTTCATGACTGTCATTGGTCCATAGTTTTCTTTTTGGAATAAATTTGTCATTTTTTAATATTGGGATTATGCTGCCTTCATAAACTGTTTGGAAATTTTTCCCACTTTCCTGTTTTATGAGAATATGTGTAAGATTATTGTTGTTACTTTTAAAAATATTTGAGAAAATTCTTGAAAAACTATCTTAGCATAGAGTTTATTCTGTGGAAAAGTTTTAAACTCTGAATTCAATTTCTTGATAGATATACAAATAGATTCTCTGCTTCATCTTTTGTCACTGTTAGTAAGTTGTATATTTGAAGAATCTGTCCATTTCATGTAAGTGTTGAATTTGCAGTGTAAAATTATTCATAATATACTCTTATTATCTAGTTATTTTCTGTAGGATCTGTATTTATATAAGTCCTTTCAGTTCTGATGTTGGTAATTGTTGTACTCTCCTTTTTTTTTTTCTTTTTAACTTGATCAGACTAGTTAGGGATTCAGAATTTTGTTGATCTTTTCCAATAACCAACCTTTAGGGCTTTAAGCTTTTTCTGTTTGCTTGTTTTCTGTTTTATTATTTTTTTCTGATTGTTGCTGTTTTCTGTTTTCTATCTATTTTGAATTTGCTTTGCTCATCTTTTTATAGGTTCTAAAGGTGGAAAATCAGGACATTGAGTTTAATAATTAAATCCTAGAAAATTAAAATAAAATGCTGAAAGATATATGCCTTGATAATGCAAGAGTTAGAATGTGAACATAGGTCTAATAGCTTTTAGTCCAGTGTTCTTTGCACTGAATCATATTGCCCACTTCCTCTTCCCTATTCTTTTCTACAGCATTTTAAGTTACTTAGATGTTTAAGTTTGTTCCAAGTACTGTGAAAGGCGAAGAGCACACTTTACTAATTACAAAGGACTCAGTATCATAGTGTTCTCAAAACATGCCTAGCTGATAAATCAGTGCTGCAAGTGATTAGGACTGCCCTACAGCACTGGAAATGCTTTTACTGGTGGGGAATTCTAAAGTGATTCTATAACTTAAAATCTAAAAATATTATCAGATTGGCAGCAAGGTTGATAAATTCCTGGCAGTGTTGGGGAAATAAAGTGACTTAAATCAAAATATCATAAAAAGATATGTAGAAAGAAAAATGGAGCTAAAAGATGTTGAGATTGCAAATTCTGCAGTAATTAACAAGCATTATGCCATCTCTTCATAATTATTCAGAAAAGTTTGTCATGCTTATTATGAGTTATACTTTATAATTATAGGATGGCCTTTTGCTATGACATTTTCATCAAATTTGCCTGTGGCTTTAGTGTTAAGAATGCTGGATTATATTTAAAAATATATGCTGATATTTTAAAGATTAAGTCAGAATAACAAACTAGTGAGGTTATAGTGATTCTTTTTTATTTTAGGATTAAATGAGATAAACGATGCAAAATGCTTACCACTCTCCTGCCACAATGTAGGCACTCAAGGAATGTTAGTTAATTGCCCCCTTTCGCTTACCATGTAAACAATATTTCTGAGGTTTCAGATTATCCCTAATACAACTCCTTTTGGACTTAGTTTTATAATAGGTACAGTATCACTAAGTACAAATTTATTCTGTTTTTGTAACATGTCTGTGTATCATTTAAAGCGTAATCATTTTAGCTGTCTTGTTTACAACAAATAAGTTTTAATTATAAGTAGCCATAAATCTACACAATTCTAGCAAGGCTGTTTTTGGTGTTTAAATGAAGTGCTGCAATGTAAGCCTTTATTTCAGGTTTTAGAAAAATTCTTGGTTGTTGATGAATAGTGGAGCTTTTAACCCTTATGAGAAAGTTGCAATGTCCTCTAGGTGATTCTGAAGTTAAAAAAGGTTAAAAGGAAAGAGAGGAAAAGTGTAGAACTAGGAGTAAGTAGAACTCAGTTCAAGGCCTGCTCTGCCATTATCTAGATGTATATGTTTTACTGCAAATTATTTTACCTTTCCTGTATTTCCTCTTGCAAAATCAATTTAAGCATAATTATCAGATCTAAGAATATACCCATCCTTACATGTCAGTGTCATTATAGACAACATGAAAATCTTGAAACGTAAGACAGTAATGAGACAGCCAGATGGGAGGGGTTCCCTGGAGAAACTCCAACCAGCCTGCCCACTGAGGCGGAGCCTCAGGAAGTTCATGACATTTGCAGCAGGGAGGAGCCCGGCCTCTCCTTTTCCTGTGTGGAACGTGGGATTCAAATGGCTGGCAGGAAGCGCTCTAGCAGGGAACTCTGGCCTTGTGGAGGATCCCTGTTTTCCCTATCTTTTTCCTTCTCACCCAATAAAACCCTGCTGTACTCACCCTTTAAACCATCTGCGAGCCTAAATTTCCATGGCCGTGGGACAGACAAGAACCCCGTCTTTAGCTGAACTAAGGAAAATTCCTGTAACAGTAATTGATACGTAGAGAAATGAAAGTTGCATTTTATCTGCCAACAAAATTTGCATGATTGCTCAGAATTCAAGGAATTTGACTAATGACAAGGAGGAGCCTTGTCATTAGGACAATCTTATGAAATGCTCATCAGCTGGTTTGGTTAAAACGTTGGTTGTATCTGGTTGAAAACTATTGTTTTGGAAACAGGCTGAAATATAATGATCATTGGATTGAAGAGACAGTGGGAATTTTGGTTTGTGTGTGATAGTTTAGATGATCTCTGCAGCTGAGACCTTAATTTTTAAAGCAGAATATGTGTACTCTGATTTATGTTGTTCATTTCTCTGCATCTTTCATGTTTCATGTTATTGATTATTCAGTTCCTGGCAAATGTAAGTTTCTTTCCTCTTTCCTTAGAGGAATTGTGAAATGTGTGCAATCTTAAATGTTATTTCTCAGTGGAAAATTACACTTTATTTCTGTGACCAGTATACTAAATAAGTACATATTTGTAAACATTTTTTGGCTCAGAATTTGGTGTCATTAGATAGCCCTGTTAATTTGGGTATAGTATGGCAATCCCCGTAAATCTAGATGTAAAATTGTTGAATCATATTTGAAAGTACTTAGGTATTTTCTTATATTAGCTCATCAGAAATTGGAATAAAAAGCTGGGAAAAGGTCCCAAAACCCAGAGTAACTGATAGAAAAATGAGGTGCCATTTTCTGGTCAATTTGTGGAAGTAAGGTATTAAATAAATCATTGATATTCCACACATACCAGAGGCTGAATAAAACAGAACTAATAAATTATTTAATAAGGCTGAGCTCAAAAACAAAAGAATGAAATAATCCCAAATACAAGAATTAATTCAAAATGAGGAAGGTGCCTATGTGCTGAAGTTAGGAGTTTATAAGGATAATCATATTGGTCTTAACTGTTACTATAAACTTTATGATAACAGTTTTGACAGCATAAGTGAAATGGACCATTTATTTGGAAATTATACGTGATAAAAATGGACTTAAGAAGAAATAAACAATAACTTCCAAAGATTAGTAATCAGTTACCATTTTAGCTCCTTGATCATGACACCAGGCTCAGGTGGTATTCAGGAAGATGTTAAATACCCTTCAAAGGAGAGAGGATACATATTTTGTATAAACTGTTAGAAAGAAGATAAAGCTACCCAGCCATTTTTATAAGGCCAATATAACCTTAACACCAAATTTGATGGAATACAGAGATAAAAATCACGAGATAATCTCCCTATGAACATGGTAAAGAAGTCATAAATATAATGTTGGTACATCCACCCCATAAATGGTTCAAATTAAATATATTATCATTAATTAAGGTTTACTTTAGAAACGTAAGAGTGATATAACATTAGAAAAATCTATTAATTTGGTCAGTTTTTAATATTCATAGTTATTAATTTTATCCTAAATGACTGGTTAAGTATTCTAGGTGAGAGACAGATTTGTTATTTGTTACCTTATATTAAATAAGTGCATTGCACCACCCCCACCCCACTTTTGCTGCAGGCCTTACTCCTGGGATGACACAGTTAAAACTAGACGGAAAAAATCTCCTACATGAGTAAACTGACACACTATAGGCAAGAGGTGGAAAACAATAGATGTTCTCCTTTTATTGGTGGGAGAGAGATAATCATCCCTTTTCCTTCCTGAAAGGAGAGAAAAATATTTTTACTCATTTGATGGAAAGTATCCTAGATTCCTGGCCTAACCTTTTGGAATATAAATATCTTTCCAAGGGCTATTAATATGTAAATAGATGGTATCTCTGGCTTTTTTTTTTTTTTTTTGAGCGGAAGTCTTACTCTGTCACCTAGGCTGGAGTGCAGTGGTGCAATCTCAGCTCACTGCAAGCTCCGCCTCCCGGGTTCAAGGGATTCTCCTGCCTCAGCCTCCTGAGTAGCTGGGACTACAGGCACCCACCACTGCACCCGGCTAATTTTTTTATATTTTTAGGGGAGATGGGTTTTCACCATGTTAGCCAGGATGGTCTCAATCTCCTGACCTCGAGATCCACCCGCCTCGGCCTCCCAAAGTGCTAGGTTGACAGGCATGAGCCACCATGCCCGGCCCCCTTTTTTTTCTTTTTTTTTTTTTTTGAGATGGAGTTTGCTCTTGTTGCCCAGGCTGGAGTGCAGTGGCGCAATCTCGGCTCACTGCAACCTCCGCCTCCTGGGTTCAAGCAAGTCTCCTGCCTCAGCCTCCCCAGTAGCTGGGATTACAGGTACTCACCACCACACCCAGCTAATTTTGTATTTTTAGTAGAGATGGGTTTCTCCATGTTGGTCAGGCTGGTCTTGAACTCCCGGCCTCAGGTGGTCCACCCACCTCGGCCTACCAAAGTGCTGGGATTACAGGCGTGAGCCACTGAGCCCGGCCGTCTCTGGCTTTTAAGACCCAGAGATATCTTCAAGTTTTGGACTTCATACCATTTGAAATGTAAATACTTCAGGAGATAGCACTCCAACCTTCCTGGCACTTTAGGGTTTTAACCTAGCTACCTAATCCTGGCTGTAACTATTTGGGCCTCTTGAGGAGGTAAGAGAAATTTTATTACTCTTTCAGATCAAAACAATTCACTAGACACCTAGAGAGATGGCCACACATTCATTTCTCATTGCATAGTTCCAAGGGCAGTGAAGACAGATATTATCTGTATAATATATATGTTTCTGTGTCTCAAAAAGCTAGGGCATTGATAATAAGCCAGTATGAAAATATTAATAGAAGTCTTAGGCAATGCAAAAAAGATAAAAATTATGAAAATACGTAAGATATTTTTTAAAAAGAGGCAAACCTGCTATCATCAGGAGTCTAAACAAAGTGTACAGAACATTCCGAGTTCATACAAATAAATTGTTAAGACTAATAAAAAAATTCAGCAAGCTTTTTGAATGCAAGATTCATATATAAAACTTGGCAGAATTCTTATGCAATAACTAATTAAAAATGAAATGGTAAGATAAAATCTTTTTCATAATAGTGCCAAAACTATAAATTGGGGAAAAAATGTATAGAAATTGTACAAGTTCATCATGTTGAAAATTATTATATGAAAAAATATAAAGAAGACTAAAAAAGGAGGTGGTGGGGTATACAACCTGTTCCTGGAGGAGAAATCAGTACTGTAAAATCTGTTTTTCTCAAATCTATGAACTCAGTGCATTTCTGATTCAGATCCCTTGGGAGTTTTTGGCAATTTGAAAAGTTGATTCCAAACATTATATGAAAAATGAAGGTTCAAGGAATTGAGGAAAATTTTAAGGCAAGGAAAAACTTGCTCTATTAGAAATCAGGAAGTGATACAAAGTTGAATCTTTGGGACAGTGTAGTGTTGGTGATTAGAAAAACATATACTAATAACGGCTGTACTAGGTTCTTCAGAGAAATAGAACCAATAGTGTGTGTGTGTGTGTGTGTGTATGTGTGTGTGTGTGTAAAGATTTATTATAAGAAATTAGCTTACATGATTGTGGAGACTGAGAAGTCCCAGGATCTGCAGTCTGCCAGGCAGAGACCCAGGAGAGTCAATGGTACAAACCCAGTCTGTGTACAAAGGCCTGAGAACAAGGAGAGCTGATGGAGTAAGTTCCAGTTTGAGCACAGGAGGGGATTGATGTCCCAGTTAAAACAGGCAGAAGGAGTTCCCTCTTAGTAAGCCTGTTCTATTTAGATTTTTAATTGATTGGATTGAGGCCACCCACATTAGGGAGGACAATCTGCTTACCAATTAAATGTTGATCTTGTCCAAAAACAGCTTCACAGACATACCCTGTCAAACAGAATAATGTTTGACCAAATGCCTGGGCACCCTGTTGTCCAATCAAATTAACACATAAATACATAAAAGTAACCATCAGAAAAACTAACTCGTATGTTTTACTTACTATATATCAGGCACTATTCCAAGCACTTTGTGTATGTTAGTGTGTTTAATTCTCACAGCATCCTATGAAATAGGTATGATTTTATCTCCAATTTATAAATAAAATGAAGCCACAGTGAAATTAAGAACTTAAACGTCTATAGTAGTATAGAACAGAGAATCCAGAAAGATACGCACACATACATGGGATCTTGGAATGTGATAAAAATAGCATTGCCAGTCAGTAGGGGATAAAGTGGTGTTGGGACAATTGCTTATCCATATTAAAAGTCAGTGTTTTACCTCATAGCACACACCAAAATAAATTCCAGATGAATTAAAGATCTCAAAGTGAAAAGCAAAAGTTCAAAAGTTAACAAAAGAAAAATAAAATGTAGAAGAATATCTTTATAACATCACAGCATGGAAGGAATTCTTTAAAACAAGATGAAAAAATAAAAAATTGATAATTTGGCTTCATCAAAATATAAAATATTTGTAGCTACCACACCTTAAATGTTTATTAGGCTCCTGTTCCCTGCCAAGCATTGCTAATCACTTCGACATATCAAGTCAGTTAATCCTCACAAAACAAGCTGAAGATGTGCATACCTTGTTACCCAGCCATTCTGCTTCTAGGTAGATACGTTAGAGAAATGCTTGCATATCTGCACTGCTCTTGTGCTTACAATAACCAAAAATAGAAAGCAACCTAAATTTACCAACAGGAATCAAATTAATGAGTAGATAAATAAGGGGATCTGCATATAATGGAATATTATACATATTTAAAATTACTAAATAATCTACCTGACTCAGCGTAGATATAGCCCCCAAAATAATGAGTTAAAGAAAGCAAGTTGTAGAGCCATATATAGGGTGTAATGCCATTTATTTACATTCATAAGCACAAAAACTAGTATATTGTTTATGAATATGTACATTTTTAAAAGGGTAGGAATATGAAAGAACATTTTAAACAATATATAGTATCTACATAGAACCCACTGTATTCTGTATCTACAATATATGGTATCTATTGTATCTTTAGTATATTGTTTTCTAAATGAGACTAAACATTAAATTTTAATGTTTGTGAATTCTGGATTATGTGTGCATGGATTTAAAAAATATATCAGTATGTTATTTCACTTATAGTTTGAAGTGTTTAATAATAATTGAAATAAGAGAAAAACATTTGTACCGAAGACCAAGAGTGGAATAGCTATGGTACTTCTAAATGCTTGTAGTGATTTTTATTAGATATTGATTGGGGAACGGTTATAGGTTAAGAAGCTGTAATTCTTTATAGCTCCCTTCGACACTCTTGGAACCTAAGGTTATTGACTCTCAAAGTGGACTATTAGACTATTTTTAGGATGAGATTACAAAGCTGAGAACACAGTCCTTGTGAGATTACAGAATGGAGTAGAAATGCTCAAATACATCCATGGTGATGATCCTTGATTCTTTGAGTATGAATATGTCAAAACATAGATGTAAAGAACTTAGAATACCGGCCACACTATAAATTGTATGAATTATTTGTAAATGTGAACTTTATTTTTCACTGGTGTATATAAGGTATAAAGTTTTCATAAGCTTTTGAAGATCAAAAGTGAGAAGCATTTAGAAACTACTGTTAGAGATGTTTTACCTTTCTGCCTGCAGCAATCTGTTGTTTCAGAGGCATTTATTCTTTCACCCAGAGCATTCCCATATCTTATTTATGCTTCAGTGTCTGCCTGCAATAACTGAAGAACCTAAGCACCTAAAAATAAAAAATTATTTATGTAACTCTTCTCTGATGCCCTCCTGTTGCAACTCTGTAGTTTTTGACAAGAGCCATTCACAAGTAAGAGGTCTCCTTGCAACCAGAAGGAAGCTTGTATGTAGCATAAGGCATGTGGGAAGAAGTGGTTCGTTTAAGTAATAAAAAAATTATAATTTAAGTCATAAACATTTACAAATCAAACAGAGATGGGGCTATGGATGATCTGTGTTTAGCATTGGGCCAGTACAGCAGTCATAGCACTGGAATGTTAGTTCCAGATCCCAAGCTACAAGGTAAACCACACTGGACATGCTGCTAACTAAGAATGGTAAGGGATTAGGCATTGTGATAGAAAGACCATATTATGTGAATTTAGTGGGGATAATTTTGGCCTTGGAACCCTGCATTTCCATTTGAAAAAGGCAGACAATGTATTTCCCTGGAAAAGCTATCTGGATGGGTCACCAGAAGCTTCCTTTGAGCCATTCACCATGACCCAGAAGCTGGCCTTAGGAAGTCCAGGCTGAGAAACCAAATTGGTTTATTAATGTGGTAAGAATGGATCTCCCTTTCAGGAACAGACTCACATTTAACTAAGTTCACAGAGACTAATGAGTACAATCCAGAATGTAGGCTATTGATTGACCAGCATAGAGGCTCATGGAGAAAAGTTTACTAGCCAAACAAATCATAATGCTCTGTCTACTTAGCCAAGATGTGCATTTTTAGGACATTGTTCTAATGGACATTGCCAGCTTTTCTTTTTGAATTGATTTATTGAGGCTTCCATTTTTGACAAATTCTATTATATTGACATTACTAAATGATACTCACATTCCGTGTCTACCTCCTTGAGGGCTTACCCACATCACGTGACTTTTAATGTTTTGGCTGCTCTCTTATGCTTCAGTGACACATGATGAGCTGTCTCTTGTTTTACTTCTCCAAATGATAAATCACAGTGACTTAGAGTTTGCTAGTAGAACTCTGAGTACATCGAACCTTATTTCCAAGTACTTAGGGACTATTCACTCCCTATGTATGTATGGATAACATTAGCTTTTCCTTTCTTTTTTCTTGTTATTGTTTGAGAGCTTCAGCTGGCAATGGAAGTACTACTTCTCTTCTGTTTCTCTGAGGAAGATTTCTTGGGGTAGCTGGATTAAAGATGCCTCAGGGTCATCAAGAATATGAATGTAAGACCTTATGCTTCTGAGAGGTTCACCAAAAAGTATCATCTTCGGGAGTCCCTGAAAGGAGAAGGTTCTTGTAGCTACTGTGCACGGTCATATGTCGACCTGGAAATAATCTTTGTATGGCTCAGGGAGGTCCTTGAATGCTTATATCATGAGCCATGAAATGTAAAGAACTCAAATCCTATATTCTTCCCATAGTAGATATGTATTTTTAGTGGTTGTTTTATCTGAAGCTACGAACTGAGCTACAAAATCCTCTAAGCTTCTGCTGTGGGCTGTTCTACTCTTTGCCCCCAGCCTTCCTCTTCATGTCTTCTGTCTCAATCCCCATTTCTTAGAAAATCTCTCTTCACATCTCTTTTTATTGCCAACTGATTGTCCAGATGTTTTATTAACTAACTGTGCCCATTGGATTAGAGTTGCCATATTTAGCAAATATAAACACAAAAAGGCTACAAATTTAGCAAATAAAAATACGTCCCTGAAATATTTGGGACATACTTATACTAGTAAAATATGTTTGTTGTTTATCTGAAATTCAAATTTAGCTGCATATCTTGTCTTTATCTAGCGACCCTATTTTGGATCCTTCCCCCTTCATCCAGCTCTTCAAATGTCTCCCCTGCATGACTGAGTTTTCTGAGATTCTGTGCTTCAACTCAGCTCAGCGTCTGGCCTTTTGATTTCCTGGATGGGGAACTGGACTCGTTTTACTCCAGTCATGCTTTATGTTGTGCTCTAACATGAATTGTCTCTGGGCAAATAGAAACAGATTATACAGAACATATTCTGAGTACTGAGGCTGAAACACTCAGTGCCTGTGCTCAATCCTTACTGTTTCCTCTTGCTCCAAAGTCCTCAACGCACACCTCTCCTCAGAGTGAGAGCCCAAGCCTTCAGACAGATAATAGTGTTCCAACATAACAAGGCAATCCTTTAGTTAGTGCTATTCAGATTCTTCTCAACTCACTCTGGATGAATAAAGGAGTTACATAATGCAGGTTCAGATTCTTCTAAACCAAAGCTGTAACCAAGGAAGTTTCTTCAGAAATTTGTGTCATTGATTTTTGTTTTTGTCTACAGTGAAGGAAAATGAGCTTATTCTATTAAAGTTTGCACACATCAGTTCCTAAATGTTGAAAACCTAATTCCCTTTCTAGCATCAGAACTTTCTGTTTCAGATCTGCCCCTACCCTAGAATTCAAGCTCTAGAAACTTAGAAATAAGAGAAGAGATCTTGTTTTAAGGAGTGAGTGCAGCATGTAAGTGTGTGTTTTTATTTTCTTTTAAAAATTTTAAACAGCTCTATTGAGATATAATTCACATGCTGTACAATTTACCCATTTAATGTGAAAATTCAGTGTTTTTAATTATATCCATAAGATTGTGTAACCATCACCACAATATAATTTTAGAGCATTTTCATCTTGACTGAAATAAACCTGAATCCATTAGCAGTCACTCCTCATATCTCCCCTTCATCCTATTCATCACTTCATCTGTTGATAGTCACTTAGGTTTTTTCTACTTTTTAGTTTGTATGAATAATATTACATACAATATTATTCATAGTACAATAATACTATGAGGATTCATGCATGAGTTTTTGTGTAGACATATGTTTGCATTTCTCTTGGCTTGATATCTAGTGGTGAAATGGCTGAGTTTTATAGTAACTATTTGTTTAATCGTTTGAAGAAATGCTAAACTGTTGCCCAAAATGAATGCATCATTTTACATTCCCACCAGCAATGTATAAAGTTTCCAATTTCTCCACATTTTGCCTACCCTTAATGTTGTCTGTCTTTTTTATTATAGCCATCCTAGTGGAGTGAAGTGGTAACTCATTGAAATTTTGATTTGCATTTCTCTGATGGCTAATGATGTTGAACATCATTTTGTGTGCTTAATGCATATTTGTGTATCTTTTTTGGAGAAATGTCTATTCAGATTCTTTGCCTATTTTTAAATTGGATTATTTGTCTTTTTATTATTGAGTGGTAAGGGTTTGTTACGTATTCTGAATGTAAGTCCTTTAGCACAAATATTCTTTGAAAATGTTTTCTTCTATTCAGTAGATTGTCTTTTCAATTTATTGATGTTATTATTTGCAGCATAAACATTTTTAATTTTGATGTTTTTTTCTTGTCACTTGTGCTTTTAGTGTCACATCTAAGAAATCATTGCCTAAACAACTGTATTGTAGATTTACTCCTGTGAGTCTTCTAAGAGTTTTATAATTTTAGCTCTTACATTTAGGTCTAGGATCAATTTTGAATTAATTTGGGGGTATGGCATGAGAAAGGGCCTTGATTTAATTTTTTTTTTTTTTTTGCATGTGGCTCTCTGATTCTCCCAGTGCCATCTGTTGAGAAGACTATTGTTTCCCCATTCAATTGTCTTGGCACCATTGTGCAAAATTAATGGACTATAGTGTAAAGGTTTTGTTGTGGATTCTTAATTCTGTTTCATTGATCTATAAGTCTATCCTTGTGCCAGTGCCACACTGTATTAATTACTGTAGCTGAGTAGTAAATTTTGAAATAAAAAAGTGTGAGTCTTCCAACTTTGTTCTTGTTTTTAAAGATTGTTTTGGCTCTTCACAGTTGCATTTACGTATGAATTTTAAGATCAGTGTGATTTCTGCCGAAAAAAAAAAGCCAGCTAGAATTTTAATAGAGATTGATTGACTTTGTAAATCGATTTGAGTAGTATTGCCAACTGAACAATATTTTATTTTCTGAACCATGGATGTGAAATGTCTTTCAATTTATTTGGATTTTCTTTAATTTCTTTTAACAATATTTGTAGTTTTAAGGCTGTGTCTTAAACATTCTTTATAAGATGTGTATACCTAAATATTTTACTCCTTTTGATGTTATTGTAAATGAAATTTTCTTAATTTTCAGATTTTCCATTGCTAGTGTATAGAAATTCAATAGATTTTTGTATATTTATCTTTTATCCTTGAACTTTGCTGAACTTTTTAATTCATTCTAATAGTCTTTTATTTATATTACTTAGGATTTTCTATATACAAAATTATGTCACCTATGAAGAGAGATAGTTTTACTTTTTCATTTTCAATCTGGATGCCTTTTATATCTTTTTATTGGCTAATTACTATGTCTTGCACCTCCAGTAAAAGGATGAATTGTCACAGTGAGAGCAGACATCCTTGTCTTGTTCCTAATTTTAGAAGACAAGCAACCATTCATTAAATTTTTCACCATTAAATATGATATTAGCCGTAGGTTTTTTGTAGATGCCTTATATCAGATTAAGTTTCTTCCTGTTCCTGGTTTCTTGAGAGGTTTATCATGAGTGAGTATTGGATTTTATGAAATGCCTTTTGGCTCTTATATTTAGGTCTGTTGTCAATTTTGAATTAGTTTTTTGATATGGTGTGAGAGAGGTCCTTAATTTAATTTTTCTGCATGTGGGTATGGAGTTCTCTCAGTACCATTTGTTGAAAAGACTATTCTTTCCCAATTCAATTGTCTTGGCACCCTTGTGAAAAATCAGTTGAATATAAATATAAGCCTTTATTGTGATCATAGTTTTTGCCCTCTATTCTATTAATATAATATATTACATTAATTGACTTCCAGATGTTAAACCACTGTTGCATTCCTGAGATAATTCCCACTTGGAAATGGTGTATACTGGTTTTTTTAATGTGTGTTTCTGGATTCACTTTGTTAGTATTTTGTTTCAAATTTTAACATCTGTGTTCATAAGGGATATTGTTCTATACTTTTTATTTCTTGTGATATCTTTTATATCAGGATAATACCAACATCATAGAATAATTTGGGAAGTGTTCCCATCTTCTGTTTTTTGGAAGAGTTTGTAAAGGATTGGTATTAATTCTTTTTTGAATATTTAGTGAAATTCACCAACAGGCCAAATGGGCCTGGACTTTTCTTTGTGGGAAGTTTTAAATTTACTAATTCTTTTTATCCATTTTTGGCTTGTTGAGATTTTCTCTTTTTTCTTGAGTTAGATTGGGTAATTTGTTTCTTTCTAGGAATTTGTTCATTTCATCTAAGTTATCTAATTTGTTGGTATATAGTTATTCATAGTATTTCCTTATAATCCTTCCTGTTTCTATAAGGTTGTTAGCAATATTCTGATTTTAGCAACTTACATCTACTTTGTTTTTTTCTTTATCATTTCATCAAAATATTTGTCCAGTTTGTTGATCTTTTCAAAGTACTAACTTTTGGTTTTATTGGTGTTCTCTATTGCATTTTTATTTGCTATTTTATTTATTTCTGTTGTATTCTGTATTATTTCCTTCTTTCTGCTTGCTTTATGTTTATTTTGTTCTTGTTTTTCTAGTTTCTTAAGATAAAAGGTGAGGTTATTGATTGAGATCTTTCTCAATTTCTAATAGAAGCATTTACAGTTATAAATTTCACTTTAAGCACAGACTTAGCTGTACCCCATAGTTTTGTTTCATTGTGTTTTCATTTTCATTCATTCTGAAATATCTTCTAATATCCCTTATGATTCCTTCTTTGACCAGTTGGGTAAGTTTGCTTATTTTCAGGTATTTGTCTATTCCAAAATTTCCTTCAGTCGTTAATACCTAATTTAATTCTGATGTGGTTTGATAGCATACTTTCTATTATTCTAATTATTTTAAATTATTGAGGCTTGTTTTATGGCTTAGCATATTGGCTTTCCTGAGAATGTTCCTTGTGTGCTTGAGAAGAATGTGTATTCTGTTGTTTAATGGGATGTTCTAGACATATTTGTTAGTTCTAGTTGGTTTATAGAATTGTTCAAGTCTTCTCTCTCCTTGTTAGTTTTCTGTCAAGTTGTTCTTCCCATTTTTGCAAGTGGAGTATTGAAGTCTCCAATGATCATTGTTGAATTGCCCAGTTCTGCCTTCTTCAGTTTTGCTTCTTCTCACCTTGCACCTCTCATTGTGGAAATTGTGTCCAATGAGTTAGTGGGGACAGGGGTAATCAGGGCCCCAGTATTCTCAGCTTGCAGCTTCTGGGGTAGAGCTTCCTCCTTACAAATGGCAGTGGGTGACTACAAAGGCAGTCTTTTTGGTCTCACCTGCCTGGAATAAGAGTGGCTGCAACATGAGGCTGGGAGGCAGAATAGGGGTGGGAATGAGAAATGCCAGCAGCCTGCTCCTCCTAGGATGAAACCATAGTTTCAAACGGGCTGCTGAAGGAAAAAGGAGCTCCTACCTTCTTGACTGAACATGTTTCAGGAATAGCTTCCCAGGAACTGGGAAGTGGATGTAATGGGCCAGGTCATGGCTCAAATGCCACAGATTCTTACTTTTCTTACTGATATTTAATAGGTTTCCTTGAATGAATGTTGTTACATTTGCTGTATGCATTTAGGACAATTTCCAGGGAATATGAATGATTAATGATCTTTTAAGATAATTTTTGTGAATTAAATTGTTGTTTTGTTGGGGAGAGGCTGTGCCGAGCTCCTTATTTCTTCGTTCTCAAAGTCCTGCTCCTCCCCCCACTTTTTAAGATTCTAAAATACTATGAATTTTTTTAAATAAATAGTTTATTCTCTGTAGGATCTATATCTGCCATTTGTTAGTCCGTTAACACAGATGGTTTCATTCAGATTTATGTTGAGTCTGATAAATATCTTAGATAACACTTTAACCTGCTCTGGCTCCTATATAATATTTATGGCTGAGTAGTATTCCATTATATATATATATATGTTAAAAATAATGGCAAATACTAGAATTACTTTTGCACCAACCTCATATATATATATATATACGTGTATATATACATAGGTGTGTATATATACATATATACATATATATGTGTATGTGTATATATATCCATACATATACGTATATATGTGTATATATATATGTGTTTACATATATATACATATACACACACACACACACACACACATTTTCTTTATTCAGTCCTCCTTTGATACACATTTAAGTTAATTCTGTATCTTTGCTATTGTGAATAGTGCTGTGATACACATACGTGTATAGGTATCATTTAAATACATGATTTCTTTCCCTCTGGGTACATACCCAGTAGTTGGAATGCTGAATCGAGTAGTATTGCTTTTTTAAGATTTTTTTAATTTTAATTTTTGTTTTTAGTTTTTAAATACATGCTGTTTAATTTCCATGTATTTGTATAGTCTTGGGAGTTCCTCTTGGTATTTATTTCTAGCTTTTTTCCACTGTGGTCTGAGAAGATACTTGATATGATTTTGATTTATTAAAATGTGTTAAGACTTGTTTTGTAGCCTAACGTGTGGTCTGTCTTGAAAAATGTTCCATGTGCTTATGAAAACAGTGCATATTCTGTAATTATTGCATAGAATGTTCTGTAAATGTCTGTTAAGTCCATTTGGTCTAAAATCCAATGTAAGTTCAATGTTTCTTTGTTAATTTTTTGTCTTGATGATCTGTCTAGTGCTATGAGTGGGGTATTAAAGTCCCCTATTATTATTGTATTGCTGTCTATTTCTTTAGGTCTAGTAGTATTTGTTTCATGAATTTGGATGCTTTGATATTGGGTGCATATATATATAGGATTGTTATATTCACTTGCTGAATCTATCCTTTATCATTGCATAATGACCTTTGTCATTTTTACTATTTTTGACTTAAAGTTTGATTTGTCTGATATAACTAGAGTGACTCTTGATCACTTTGGTGTTCCATTTGAGTGTAATGTCTTTTTCTATCCATGTACTTTCCATCTATATGTGTCTTTATGGATAAGGTAAGTTTCTTGAAGCAGCATATAATTGATTGATGTTTTTATCCATGCTGCCAATCTGTATCTTTTAAGTGAAGCATTTAATCCATTTACCTTCAAGGTTAATATTGATATATGAGGCTTTGTTCCTGTCATATTATTGATTGTTTTCAAGTTGTTTCATAAATTATTTGTTTCCATCTTTTTCATTGTCTTTTTGTTTTGTGATTTGATGAAAATTCTGTCATGTCCCCATTTGATTTCTTTCTCATCCTCGTTGTGTGATTGTTTTATATGAATTTTGGGTTTTATATTTTTTTTTATGTGGCTTTTATTGTAAATATTGACCTTTCATTCCCATGTTTGAGACTCCTTTAGACATTTCCTGTAGGACCAGTTTTCTGGTGACAAAATCCCCCAGCATTTTCTTGTCTGGGAAGGACTTTATTTCTCCATTATTATGAAGTTTATTCTGGCAGTATACAAAATTCTTGGCAGATAATTTTTTTCTATTAGCACTTTGAAAGTGCCATCTCATTCTCTTTGAGACTGTAAAGTTTCTGCTGAAAGTTTCCTGTTAGTCTAACTAACAGGGTTTTCTTTATAGGTGACTAGATGTTTTTCTCTTGCTAATTTTCAAATTCTTTCTTTCACTTTGACTTTAGATATTCTGAACTCTATATGCTGTGGTGAGGACCTTTTTACAATGTGTTTGTCTGAAAATTGCTGTGCCTCCTCTATCTTGATGTCTAACTCTCTTGATAGACAGGGAATTTTCATTGATTATTTTTTTAGATATATATTCTAAACTATTTGATCTCTTTCTTTCTCCTTGGAATGTAAGTTTGGTCACTTTATGTAGTCCCAGATGTCACAAAGGATTTGTTCATTTTTTAAAATACTTTTTTTTTATTTTTGTCTTGCTGGATTGTGTCAAAAGACCTGTCTTCTTCAAGTTCTGAGATTGTTTCTTCCACTTGGTCTAGTATATTGTTGAAGCTGTCAAATGTATTTTGTATTTCCCTCAATGAATTTTTTACTTTCAGAATTTCTGCTTTTTTTTTTCTTTTCTCTAAGATATCTGTCTCTTTGGTAAGTTTCTCATTCGCATCCTGGATTGATTTTCCTAATTTCTTTATATCGTTTTTCTGATTTCTCTTGCATCTCACTGAGCTTCTTTAAAATCACTATTATGAGTTTTTTACCTGGCATTTTGTGGAATACTTTTTGACTGGAATCTGTTGCTGGACAATTGTTGTGGTCCTTTGATGGTATCATATTTCCTTGCTTTTTCATGTTTCTGTGAACTTATGTTGATATTTGTACATCTGGTATAGCTGTCACTCGTTCCATTTTTTTTTTCAAATTGCTTTAGTAGGGATAATTTTTTTCCTGAGGATGTATATATCTGTTGTTGAGTAAGACACTTTGGCCTTGATTTTGGATAGTTGCCGTAGTGTGATATTTGCGTGAGTTCTTTGGCAGTGGTCAGTGGTCTCTGTGATTTCCTTGGTGGTTTAGAAAATGGTTATTAGTTCAGGTTGTGGTGAAATTCAGCTGGGGACTTCGATGTCAAGTGAGCCAGTCTTTGGGCTCCAGTGGTGGCAGTAGTGGTGCGAGTATGCCTGTTTTTAGGCTCAGAGGAGCTTACACTGCCTCCCATGTTAGTGGGTACTAGATAGCTAATTCCTGACCCTCCAGGTGACTTGCTTAGGAGCTTGTAGTGGGAGTGGTGGACCCTGTGTGTGAGTGGGTTCTTAGGCTCCTGGACAGCTGATGTGGTGTGGGTGGGTGATGGCTGTAGCAGCTGTGGAGCAATGCACTGGGACCCAAGCAGTCTGGGTTGGTGGTGTTAGAAGCTGCAATGAATTCGTGGGCTAATCCTAAGTCCCACAGCTGCCCATAGTAGGTGGCAGGTATTGTTCTAAGTGTGCTTAGGAGGGCTTGGTCTCCTTTATCCCTCCACTAACCCACTAATAATATGTGGGTTATTAATAATAATAATAATAATGATAATAACTATAAGAGGGTAGTGGCTGCAGCTGCCTCATCTCAAACATGGTCCAAGAGTGGGGCATAGCCCAGTGTTAAGCTCTCAAAATGGTGACAGCTGTGGGTTTTGTAATCAGAATGGGTGAGGCCCATCTCAGGTGCACAGCATGAGGAAGAAGCTGTGGCAAGAAACTGTGGAGAGTGCAATCCACTCAAGTGTTGGTTTCCTAGCAACCTAGAGCAGGGAGGTGAATATTGTACTAGGTATGCTTAGGAGAATGTGGCTGCCCTGTCCCTCCTTGACCAAGCAATGGCTGTGGCCATGTCAAGTTGAATTCATCATGAGGGCACAGTGCAGCCCAGTGTTAAACTCTCAAAATGGCAACTTGGGCCTGGCACCAGAGAAGGCGGGGTCCCTCTCAGGCAAGCAGCATGGCCAAGAAGCTGTGGGGAGTGTGGTCTGGTTGCATCTCAGTCTCATGGCAGCCTGTTGCATGGCTGTGGGTCTTGTCCTAGATATGCATAGGATAGCCTGGTTTCCCTGTCTGTCCTTGGCTGTGTGACAGCTGCAGCCTTGTCAGCCCAATCTCAGACTGAGGTCAAGGCACCACTCAGCATTGAACTCTCAAAATTTTGCCTTGGGTATGTTACCAGAAAGGGCAGGTCCCTCCCAGGCAAGCAGCATGGGCAAGAAGCTGTGGGGAGTGTGATGCTCATGTCTCAGTCTCAACGACAGCCTGGAGCAGGGTGGCAGGGACCATCCGAGGGATGTGTGGGGGCACCTGTTCTCTTCCTGCCTCCGTGGAGGAATGCAGCAGCTGCAGCCCTGTCTGTAGACTCCCTAGTAGCTGGGCTGTCAAAGTGGTGCCCAGCTGCGGCTGCTCCAGGGTTGGATGCCTGTGGGATTCTGTGTGGGTTCCCTTTCTGGAGCAACATCTCTGTGCAATCTTTAGGCAGCTCTGTATGCCAGGCATAAGGATCTAGTGGGCTGAGGGTTTCTCTCACAGCCGAGATCATTAAAACCCATTTTTAATTTTAATCATTTTCAACATAAGACTTTACCTATATTTACTTTCCTTTTTATTGTGAGAGTTCTATAAAATTACCTTGTCTCTGTGAATTCTTGGTATTTCATGATATTCAGTTTTAACCCCAAAACACTGAAGAATCCTGGTTTTGTTAAATACCATAGCACTTCATGCCTAATATATATATATATATATATAGCCTAATGTATATATGCCTAGTATATACATGCCTAATATATATGTGTGTGTATATATATATATATATATTTTTTTTTTTTTTTTCCCGAGACAGAGTCTCGCTCTGTTGCCCAGGCTGGAGTGCAGTGGCGCGATCTCGGCTCACTGCAAGCTCCTCCTCCCGGGTTCACGCCATTCTCCTGCCTCAGCCTCCTGAGTAGCTGGGACTACAGGCGCCTGCCACCACGCCTGGCTAATTTTTTGTATTTTTAGTAGAGATGGGGTTTCACCGTGTTAGCCAGGATGGTCTCGGTCTCCTGACCTCGTGATCTGCCTGCCTTGGCCTTCCAAAGTTCTGGGATTACAGGCGTGAGCCACCGCACCCAGCTGCTTCATGCCTAATATTAAAGCACAAATATCAGATGTTGTATATCAAATAAGAAAGAGACATTATTTACCTTTCTTATTTATTTTCAGAGAGCTCTAATAGGGTCCAAACTCTAGAATCATCCTTATTTAACAAAGAAATTCCAATTTTGGCTGTGAAGGAAAGCCATTACACATTTGCCCTGCCATTCAAGGTTATTTTGCTAGTGAAAGATGCTGTGGAGCAGTGAATAGAGGATGGAGGAAAGTTTGAAAGGTTTTAATTTTTTGGCTCTTTTGGATTTAATTCTGTTTTATTATTAGGTCTCTAATATTAAATATCTAATTGTATTTTAATATTATGTCTCTTTTGCTGATTATGGTGATTCAATTCTTATAATACATTGAAAGTTACCATTTAAAGTCCACTGTGATAGGACAAGTCTAAAGTCTAAAGTTCTTATGTGACAGGACAAGATTCTAATGTCCTGATGTTCCTTGCGGGATGCTCACAATCTCATCTAAATTTCTCATTTTACTCAAAGAAAATCTTCATTTTTTTTAGATTTACTTAGGGAATTTGAATTTTCATCAGTGCAAATATAAATTTATCCTTCTCTGAGGCTAATTGGTACCATATTTTCCCTTTGTGTCTTGTCACTCTGCCACATCCCATCTCATCCTGACCTTTGAGTCAAGGACCTAGTGAACTGACTTTCTAGTTCTAGAAGTTCTGCTGCAAGGCCAGGAAAGCTTGAGAAAGATATTGTGGAAGAAGCAAAGGTGGACCTCATCCCTGGGCCTATGAATGATGACAGCATCTGACATTCTGCACCAGCTACATCTGCCTCAATGGCAGAGAAAAGGCCATAAGAACAGTGGAGGAAGAGCATGGACTCAGACTTCAAGGAAGAAGTGATTTTCCCAGTGCTTCCTTCTGTACCTCACCACACCCTAGTTACATATAACTCCATTGAACAGCATCTATTCAGAAACTATACCGAATAAAGACTGGTGGAACGGATCACATGGGTAGCAACTATGAAACATAAATAGGACACACAGTTACAAACATTATCTCCTTTAGTTCTGCAGAAAATGAATCCCTGATTTCATTCATTTCAAGCTTAAAAGCTCAGCCATATTACTCTAGTGCCTACCAAACTACTTTAGAAAGTCATTTCCATTTTGTGATATGTAGAAGTACAGACTTCAGGAAGTTCACCTTTAACTTTAGCATTCTAGATGAAGTTTCCGGACTCAGTGCTTTTGCATAAGGAACTAGAAAAAATAAAAGTGGTAAGGAAAATCAGAGATGCTAACATCCTCCCCCATCCCAACTGCACCTTAAAATATGCATGTCACCTTCAAGGTTTTAAAATTGCACTGTTTATGTCCACATTAAAATTAATGCTACATTTAAGGAAAATAAAATTGTTTGCTTCTATGTAATTCCTGTCATTCTGCAGGAAATTCACTTTTCCAGCTACTGAAGAGAATGTTTAACAACCTCAATAAAAAATAAAAAATAAAAAAATAAATTTCTCATTTTGCGTATTCAGACCCGGAAAAGCCAAGTGACTTGTCCAGAATCAGATCTCTTGCCTTGAAGTTTAGAGACCTTTTTAGCTCACAGTGCTGCCTCCTAGAAGTAACTTCTTCTGATGTAAACACAGTACTTGGTGGTTACCACTTCTTTTCCTCTTCCTGGATTTCCTAGACTCCCATGACAAACAAATAGAAGTGAAAATGAGTATGAAAGTTCTTCATGTTTCACCTTTCTTTACACAGCATACTCAGTAGCCACTTTTAGTTTTTGGAAATGGCCGTGTCACATTATGGTGACACCACCATTATGGTGGAGCCTCTAAAAGCCCATGTGGCTTTGTGGAGTAGAGATGTAAATTGGCCTGACTGATTTTAGACATGTAAGTTGGGAAAAATATACTTTGTTTTGTTAATCCACTGAGATTTGGGGTTCAATTTGTTACCATAGCATAATATAACATGTCCTTATTAATACAATTTCCAAAACGTAGTAAAGGTCACATCAAGACATTATAGCATAAGAGACTCACTTTTCAAACAATATGCTGAATATGTGAATAATGAGGAGAGCTAAGAGAACATAGCATCTATTCAGCCAGCTGAATGAAAAGCAAGAAGCAAGCTTAAATGAAGGCAAAAGCTTTGGGAGGAATCTTCAGTTTTTCTTTGTCTTTTTTTTTTTCTAATTCAATAAGTCACTCCTGTGTTTTGGTCAAACACTGTCTGTCTTTGTGTATAGGCAGAATTGACTAAATTCTAGTTGCTGTGCAACACAAACTGCTAATAGGACATACGTTTAAACTTGAGGTTCCATCTTATAAAAAATATTTTCAAACGCATTTGTGAATAGTCTGGTAAAATCACACAGTGTGAAAGACACTGAGGATATTAAGTTTACTGGGCTACTTTACAGTGGATTCTAATGGCACTAAAGTATTTATCAGTAATCTGATTTTTTAATATGCTGCCTAGTCATTTTTGTGTTACATTAAGTTTATTTTGTCTTTTTTGGATCATTCCCATGCCACTTAGAGTGCACTGGGTTGTGGCCTAATTGCCTTATTATGCAGTATTAAATAACCTATAAAACAGAATAGAAGTGCGAATTAAAAAGAATGAGCTTTCATCACTGTAGGTGGTATAGAAGAGCAAAACAATAGAATTAGGACAAATGTAAATGAAATATTAAGCAGAACATGTCACTAGTATAAAGAGCTTTCAGAAGACTTTTTTCTCCCCAGAAGGAAACCAAAAAATGGGCCTTCGGGAGCTTATTTAAACCCAAATGCAGTGAATAATTAAATATGTTTTCACCTAAGGCTACAACATCTTTATTTAGCAGACAATACTTCTTTCTCAGTATTTTACTGACTTAAAATGTTCAGACTCTGCTGTCTTTAGCATATTAAAAACCATAAGTGATGAAATCTTTTTTAAGATTACTTAAGTCATTTCTTTTCAAAGGAATAGAATAGATGGCAGACGGCATGAAAAGGACAGATTTATCCTGTTACTTTTTGAAAATAGGATAGTTATTGTGCTAAATGGTACCAAATAATAATTTTCTACTCTAGATGTTCTTTACATTCCATTCAAGGAAAGACTTCAAGTCCAAAGTTCATAAAAATTGATGTAGTTCTAAATGCTAGTTAGCAGGATTTTATTTTTCCCGTCTTTGATTGTGTGTGTGTTCTTTAATTTGGTTGTTAGTTTTTATTTTTGTTTTTACAAAGTAAAATATGTCTAAAAGACTACTTAAATTCAATATGAAATAGGAATATTCTTTATATATTTGCTAGCCTGGCTAACCAAGCTACCTGTTACTGTGACTTCAGCTATCATTTCCAAATACATTAAGTCCTACATAGTATCTAGAGCTCTTAAACATTTCCTTCTTCTTCTGGGATTACCTCCTAATCTCCAGCCCCATCTCAGAGTGTTTCCATTTGCTAGTTAAGACGCACCTAAATTCCACATATCCCAAATTCCTCCAGCAGAAGCTCCTGAATCCATGATTTCTGTTAGCGACATCATCTTCTCTATCTCAGCTCTGCATCTCCAAATCCTCCTTTTCCTTTATTTCTCTTTCTCCTCATATTTTTTTCAGCATGAAATCCAGGTCATTTTTTTTCCCCTGTGAATTTCTCTCAAATACCTCTTTTCTCTTCCCATGATCACTCTCGTTAGCCTTTCCAGACCCTCAGAATAGCTCACCAACACTGTGGTGGTGTCACCTTTACTGGTCTCCTTTTCTTTCTCCCCTGACTCCAGTTCATCATCCACACAGTCAGAGCAGCCTTCCTGAAATACCCATCTCGTCATGGTTTATGCCTGTGGAATACCCTGGTACTTCTTTTTTTTTTTGTCCAGGGAGTAGATTAAAATGGTCACAGTCTCAGACTCAAGTATTTACAAAGGTCTAGCCCCACTCTGTGTTTTCAGTTGCACCTGTGTTACTTCTCAACAAGTCATTCCTCCCCAGCCAAGCTAATCGATTGACTAGCCTGCAAAATCATATTTCCTCTTTCTCATGTTGAGCCTTTTCTCCGTATTTCTCAGACTTAGAATTCCCTATTCTGTGCCCCCTACAAAGGACTTAGTGTATATTTAGAACACTCTTTCTTTTTATAGACTCTTTATTCAACATGTATGTAGTGTGCATCTACAGTGGATCGTATCTCTGAAGCTGTTATCGATGGGAGCTGAGGGAAGTGTCTTTGTGATGAACTCCCTAATGACTAGTTCTTGTTTTGGGGTGTATTAGAACACTGGACCGTCAAACACCCTCTCACAATAACTGCTCTCTGAGCATATAGAAAACTTCATGTTGTTCATTTTATTCTCCCCTGACAGTGTCTCTAGAGAAAATAGGTTCCCAGTGCATTTTTGTTGATGAATAAACTGTACCTTGGACAAAATCTTATCCTTCTGAGATGCAGTCTCCTCATTTGTGAAAGGAAGAATAGAAAATGGTATATCGCTGAGCAAATGCCATTGTTCAGGTCATCGCACACATGTATTTTCTTTGTCCATACCTGGTTGGCTAACTTTTAATACCCATACCTAGTATATTACATGATCTTTGCAGAAAGACCTGTAAATTTTCAGTAGATGTGTGTAACTTGATTTTCAGCATCTTAAGCATTTTTATTATAGATCTTATTTGGGCAAATTATTGTCTTCCATTCTCCCTTTTAAATCATTGTAGGAATTTTTTTCTTGTCCTTGAAAGAAAGGCAATCGAGACCATTTCTAATACACTGCATCTGTCTCAGAATTACTTTCAGGAGCATTAAGTTAACTTACTTGCACCTCTTGAGGGCAGTTTTAGGAAAGAAAACATTAGACTCTTTCTTAAATGATATTCATCTCTCCAGTAATACCTAGTACACCAAAGTTGTCCAGCCCTTTACATGCCGAGAGACATGTTGGCACAGAGTAGGGTTGTCTTATCACAGAGAATTAAAGTGATAGCAAATACAGTCAATAAAGTAAAAGTCCCATCTCCGTCACAGTGACTTAAATATGTGTAAAACTCAGAAGAGGCTGTTGTGGCAGTGCACTTCAGAACTAAATGCCACAGTGGGAACACAGTAGGTAGGTTGTGACTGGCACTGGGTTCTAGGCATTTTTATGCCAGATATTGAGTCTCTGCATATTAGCATTACCATGAGCTCAGGAATTAAAACACAAGAATGAATTCACAATTATGTTGGTAAGCTAAAACATATTCATTTCTCTCATACATGACAGAAAGTCAAGCATATATACAAATCAGTGCCTCTACAAATTCAAGATTTCTAACTTCATTTGGATCCTGAAATTGAACGGAGTGTAATTGTGGCTACTTTATCTCCCACTCTTAGCGGTAATCAGTCCAGACTGTCATCCCTTGCCTGTTTCCCTCTATTTCTCACTCTCAGCAGATGATTTTATTTTTAACTTCACAGAGGGAATAGAGGCCACTATGTGGGGTGATTCTGTTAAATTCCAACTTTCCCTCCACTCTATGCTAATGCTGACATCTTTCATTCCTGTTTAAGGGGATGAGGGTGGTGCCCAATTCCAGGTTGGCTACTTGGCTCTGTAGTGTATCTATCAACCCATCTGTCTTTAGAACAGTAGATCTCAACTCAGGCTGTGCATTAGGATAACCTGGGATGCTTTTATACGAAGCTGACACTGAGACCCCACCTTTGGCTAATGAAATCAGAATCTCTGGGGTGAAGCTCAGGTATATGATTCTATGAAAAATGAGGCTTTACAAACCAGTCCTCAGCCTAAAAAATCCACTAGGGTAAGCATCTTGTTTGTGTGTTCAAAACCGTTCCACTTAATACGCTGCAGGGCACCTGACTCAGAGTCAATGCTTGATGTGTATTTTTATCTCACTCTATCACCAACCTCTTCTCATCCACTGGCTCCTTATCCTCAGGAGACTTACATGACCTCTCAACAACATCTTCTCTCAACTACTATGTTCTCTCTCTTTCCTTCACAGTCTCTCCCAGTCATTATTTCAGTTTTGAAAACTGGCTTCTACTCTCACTTCTCCACTAATACTGCTTTCATCTGAGGCCTCCATGATCACATTCACTCCTTATCTTTCTTAGCCTTTTGCTTCTCTTGATACACTGTTGGTGACTTCTGCCTTTTTTTTTTTTGAGACAGGGTCTCGCTCTGTTGCCCAGGCTGGAGTGCAGTGGCACAATCCTGGCTCACTGCAGCCTCACACTCCTGGCCTCAAGGGATCCTCCCGCCTCAGCCTCCTGAATAGCTGACTGCAGGCATGCACCACCACACCTGGCTAATTTTTAATTTTTGCCTTTTAAGACTCTCCTGCTCCCTTGTCTCCAGGGTCATCATTAGATTTGCTTCTTCCTCATGTCTCCCTTACTAGTTCCCCTTCCTCTGCTTGCTCCTTAAATGTCACTATTCCTTTAAATTCCATTTCCTTTTCTTCTTACTCTTCATCTCCTTTTTAAAGCATTTTCATTGGTTTTGGAGCTTCTTTGAAAATATTGTGAAATCCGTGGACCCTTTCTCCAGGAAAATAAAATTTGGATATAAACCAAAAAGTTGGCACCTGATTTCAGTAGGTTTGTGGACTGCTGTTGTATTTCATGTGTATCAACAGGACACATGTAATTAAACCTAAGAAAACTGGAAAAAATTATAGGATCAATGGCAAAAGTTCCTGAGGAATGAGGATGTGGGTTTATAAAAAGTCTTGACATCATAATTGTATGAAGACATTATACTTATCAAGTTAAATATAGAAACTTTATATCCAGGATTCCAAAAAAGCTAACTGCTAAAATCTCTGTTCAGCTTTCTTTCTCCTAAAATTATAAGATTTCCCTATAAACCCAGATGCGTATTGCTGAAATATGAAATGTCACATCTAATTTCTGATCTCATGTGGACTCATTCTCTAACTTAAATACATTCATTCCTCATTATTCACAGATTCCTTATTTGTGAATTCACCTACTCACTAAAATTTTTATTATCCTAAAATCATTTTATTTTCAGTGCTTTCATTATTGTTCATAGACAGGTGGAGAGCAGCAAAAAATTTGAGTTGCCTCATGTGCGTGTTCCTAGCTGGGGTCAAACAAGGTGAGGTTTTGCTTCTTTTTTCAGCTTTTATACTGTAAACAAGTAGTCTTTTCACAGGATGGTTAGTAGCATAGTTTTTGCATTTTTGTGCTTTTTGTTGGTGATTTTGCTGTCTAAACTGGCTCCCAAGCCTAGTGTTCCTAAGGGCTAGAAGGCTGTGATATGCCTTATGGAGAAAATATTTGTGTTGGATAAGCTTCATTCAGGCATGAGTTCTAGTGCTATTTTCTTGAGTTTAATGTTAATGAATCAATAATGTATATTACATAAAGATTCTTTAAGCAGAATCACACATAATACATGGTATGTATTGAGCTGTCAAGGAAAATGTTGCAACTGGAGGCTGGTAGGAACCTAACCCTGTATTTCCCCTAGAAGCAGTGCTTCAGTAGTCACAAATTCAGTATTCATGGAGAGTTTATGAAATATAGCTGCTGCAAATAATGAGAATTCACTGTGTATACAAGCTTGTAAAAGTAGTCTTTATGGCAAGCCAACCTTGACATAAGTAATAATCACAGAAAAATATTTCTTTTCATGTATATACCATTGTGATTATATGTGAGTGAATTTTGCTATATATAAAACCAAAGTGTGAAAATTAATCTATAAATGCTATAGTAATTTTTAAATTTAAATTTGAGAGGCATCTAAATACTCATCAAGCCAAATTGTAGTTATTAACGACGATAGGAAGCACAAAGAGGTGAATAGTTTATGCCTCAATTATTAGAAATGAAATGTTCACTGTTTTATTAGTATATACTTGACCTCAAGGGTTTAAACTATTTCTTATCTAGAAACGTAGCAGCTCATAGCTTTGTTCACTGAATGTGAGGGCCCTTCACTCTGGCAAAACTGGAATGTTTAAGGTGTTACAGAACAGACACTTTTCAAGAGACATATGTGTGGCCAACAAGCATATAAAAAAAGCTCAATATCACTGATCATTAGAGAAATGCAAATCAAAACAACAAGATACCATTTCACACCAGTCAGAATGGCATTATTAAAAAGTTAAAAAAAAACAGATGGTTGCAAGGTTGTGGAGAAAAGTGGACACTTATTCACTGTTGGTGGGAGTGTAAATTAGTTCAACCATTGTGGAAAGTAGTGTGGCGATTTCTCAGAGAGATAAAAACAGAAATACCATTTGATCCAGCAATCCCGTTACTGAGTATGTACCCAAAGGAATATAAATTGTTCTGTCATAAAAACACATGCACAAGTATGTTCACTGCAGCAATATTTACAATAGCAAAGACATGGAACCAACCTAAATGCCCATTAATGGTGGACTGGATAAAGAAAATATGGTACATATACACCATGAAACGCTATGCAGCCATAAAAAAGAATGAGATCATGACCTTTGCAGAAACATGGATGGAGCTGGAGGCCATTATTCTCAGCAAACTAACACAGAAACAGAAAACCAAATACCATATGTTCTCACTTAATAGTGGGAGCTAATTGGTGAGAATTCATGGACACAAAGAGGGGAACAACAGACTCTGGGACCTACCTGAGGGAGGAGGGTGGGAGAAGGAAGATCAAAAAGATAACTGTTGGGTAGTAGGCTTAGTACCTGGGTGATGAAATAATCTATATACCAAAACCGATGGCACGAGTTTACCTATATAACAAACCTGTGCATGTACCCTGTATCTAAAAGTTAAAAAGATGTTACAGTAATTGACACATTAAAAGATGACTTTAATGAGAGTGCTATTTTCTATATAGACAGAAAAAGGTTGCATATACCTTATTTCTATCCTTACTACTTGTAGAAATGTTCAGACTTTTATTTGGGCTCACTACTCCTCCATATTAGTAACTCCATTTGTGGTTGGTTTCATGAATTACCTATATTTTAATTCAATTAAAATTTATATTAAAATAAGTATTAAAATATTTCCTTTATATTAAAGTATAGCAACACTTTATACTATTAAAATATTATATATTTTATTATATGAGCATGTACTTATTACATTTATTAAATATATGTTAAGTGTATATCTTATACTTAATTCGATAACTATGTCAGTCATAATGCCAATGAAGAAGAAACATTTGGTGAAACCACTTAAAAATTTTTTGTCAGCTCTTATTTTCATTCAAATATTAATCTTGTTTTCTTTATTCTAAATCTATAGTGAAATATTATTTGGCCATAAAGGAAATCAGTTACTGATTGATACATACAGTAGTACTGCTAAACCTTGAAAACATTGTGTTAAGTGAAAGCACCTAGTCCAAAGGATTGCATGGTGCATAATTCCCTTGGTGTGGCATGCTGATGATAGGCAAATCTATAGAGATAAAGTAAATTAGTGGTTGCCTAGGGGTTGGGTGGAAATGTGTAGTGATGATAGTAGGGGTAGTTTCTTTCAGTGGTAATGAAAATGTTCTAAAATTGTGGCGATGGTTAAACAATCTTGTGAATGTACTAAAAACTAATTAATTGTGTAATTTAAATGAGTGAATGAATTATATATCAATAAAGCTGTTATAAAAAGTTTTTAATAAAAAGAAAATATGAATCACATTTTTCTTCACTCTGCCTAAACTTCAAGTCTAAAGTAAAAAAAAATGCTTTCATAAGCTCTTCGTGCAAAATCTACTAGACAATGGGCTTCTGAAGACCAAAATGACTGGAAGGACATCCGTGTAAGAACAGGTGATAAACATGAAATATATATTTACCTTTAGTAGTAAGACTGAGTGATTTTTATAAATAAGATGATCATATATCCAATTTGCCATTAGAGTCCAGATTATAGGTCTTGTCTTGGCCTAATTAGTAGTGGCCTCTTTCAGCCTCAAAACTTTTCTGATTTATACGATAAATTATGTGAATGTTTTTATAGTAGCATGCGTAAAGCTATATCTTCTTACAATGTAGATATAATGCAATTAATTAAGAGAGGGAGAATTGCCTTTGGAGTACTTCTGGGAATAAATGGATACCCCTGTAAATGAGATGCTGGGGGAAAGAAAAGGAGGGAGAAGAAGAGATTACAAACTAATTTGAGACCACGAAACCAATGGAAAATTGATCAAAGTTTTGGTCCTCTAGCTCTCAAGGCCATTAGAAATTCCTTTGTCTCCATAGTTGATAATATTCAGGTCTTGCTGTTCCAGTGGTTCTTTCCCTGAACTCATATTTCATGATGTTGGGGCATACACTGTCACAAAGTTTTGTTATAGATATTGCCCATGAGTTTTTGTTTAATTTATCCTATTTGCTGTTTCAATTTGGGGAATTCAAAGAGATTTAAAAATCTATAAAATCTACACTGCAATTCTCATCTTCTTCCCAGATCTCTCCAGATAACACATCTCCCTCTTCCTTGGTTTCTCTTTTTTTTTTTCTGTTTCAGTTTCTTCTTCTTCTTTTTTTAATTCAGTACATCCTCCAATAAATTGTCAAGAAAGAGTTTATGAGTGGTTTTTGTTTTGTTTTTGTGATTTTATAATTTGCATTCCTGAAATGTCTTTATGTTACCCTCACATTTAGTTGATAGTTTGGCTAAGTAGAGAATTCTGGTAAAAAATCTATTTCCTTCAAACTATTGAAAGCATTTTTTTTCTTTCTTTTTCATTCCCAGCAATGGCTAAGTCTGTTGTTATGATCTTCAGTCCATTGCATGCAATTTGTCTTATTATTGCCGTTGGTCTTGCTGTCTTTGAAAGTTTTAAGGATTTCTCTTTGTCTCCATGGTAGCTTTCATTATTCCTGTTATAGGGAGAAGAAAGGAAAAGTAGAACAGTTGCTTAAGACAGCACAAGTAGTAACCTCTACTATATGAATTGAACCCAAGTTCAAAGCTCTTGTTCTCTGTACTGAACTGCTTCACAAGAAAGAGTTCGAATAGATAGCTTCAAATGAGACATCAAGTCCCCACAACACTAACATTTATTGAGTGTTTACCCAGCCCTGAGCTAAGTGCTTCACATACATTACCTAATTTCATCCTCACAAGAATCCTAGGAGACAGGTTCTAGCCCCAATTTATAGATGAGAAAGCTTAGAGAAAGTCCTAAATACATAATGTCAGGATTCTAGACCAGGGGTCAGCAAACTTTTCCTTAAAAGGGTAATTAGTAAATAGTTTCATATGCCATAGCTTCATATGCCATTAGTAAATAGCTTCGTATGCCATACAGTCTCTGTTGAAATTACTCAGATATGTCATTGTAGCATGAAGACAGCTATAGACGATGTATAGAGAATGAGCATGGTTGTGATGCAATAAAACTTTGTTTACACAAGTAGATGACGGGCTTGATTTGGCCTGTGGGCTATCGTTTGTCCACCCATGACTTAGATGATGATAATTTTTTTATTTTTAAAAAAGCAGAAATAATGAACACCTGGTAATGAAGCTAAATTCTGCTCCAGCCAGATTGATTATTACATTCTTGGTACTAGGCAAACACTCAACTAAAGCATGGGCATTTCAAAGCCCCAGAGGAAATAGCTAGGTATCGAAAATTGACTAAGAGGAAAAAGTTGACAAAGGTAAGGGTAGATTCTAGTAGCACTGGTGCTTGAAGAAGAGGTGGAGGACTCCCCACAATTCCTGAGGTTTTTTCCTGTGTTCATTGCTGTGTTCTTTTGGGTTCCCCATATGGCTCAGATGCCTTCTTTCAAAGAATGAAATAATGAAAATGGATTAATGGGACCATAATCAATATTTATAATTTGGCCAAGATGAAACTACAACCTGAGTGCCTTTCAGTCATCCAAGACCTAAATAAAACAAACAACAAAAAACAACTTTCCCTGAGCGAAAATTTTAAAAGCAACCTCAATGTTAATCGAAAAGAGTAATTTAGTAAAGCCATCAATGAATAACTTTTAGGTTATACTCATGTGGTTTTGGTAAGAAGAAACAGGTAGTATCATTGGTTCCAAATGAGTAATATAGTCTGGTATTATTTATTTGGAACCAAGATCAGAGGAATTGTTTACTTGTTACCTCCACAAAACCACAGGCTTAGGAGGGAGGAGGAGTGTACTGATTTGGTGACAAGAATGTTTTGCTTTGTCAAGAATATAACTTGAATAGGCTTAATGAAATATTTTCATTTGTCAAAAGGACTTGGTTCACAGTTCGTATTTGTATTGTATAGGAAGCCAGCAAGATAGCAGTCATTTAAGATTTTATTCCTACTAGAATATAGAGTTGTCAGCTGTAACCAGGATCCAAAGCTCAGGATAGAAGCCATAATCACTTTTATCTTTTCTGCCACAGTGAATAATAAGAAAATTTCTAAATGGTGAATTTAAAGCAGAAAATTTGCTTTATAGTAAGCTGGGAGTAAGAAACCAGTAGCTAGATAAAGAATAACAAAGGAGAGTTACTTTTTTTCATTGTGAAACATATTCCTTATACTTGGTGACACAGAACCCTTTGAGCTTGTTTGTGGACTAACACTCTAAGGCAGGAAGGGATCATGCTTGACTCCAGGCTTTGAAAAACAGTTGTCTCCTTGCTATAGTTAAATCAATAAATCAGGGTAGAACCCAAGACATAAAATTATGCTACAAATCGGACACCCCTTTTGCATTCCCTCCTTGAGCCACTCTCTGCACATCGAAATTTTCACTGTGTGTTTCTGCATTGATTACTCCCTGGACACCTGCCTCTGGGAAGAGACAAGATGGCAATAATCGACTGTTTTCTTATAACTAAATGAACATCACCTGTAGCCTCCACATTATTTGGAAAATAGTTCTGTAAATAATTTTTTGAAGCTCCTTTTGCACCTTTATGTTAGAAAGTAGGTATAAATTTTCTGTCTGGGCCAAAATTTGTCAGCAGTTTTTAGTACCTAGAATAAGACTAAGAGATAAATACATTCTAGTTCTCTACCACATTGAATTAAAAGCATTTTAATGAACTAGCCGATTACCCAAAGTATCCTCAGGGACAAATGAGTATTTGGTTTCTTAAAAAATTATAATATAGAACTCAACATATTTTGTGTAAAAGAATGTTAGCTTTCATCTGGTAAATTTACTTCAACTGGAATTCTCCTTTCTATGGTTTCCAAAGGTTTTTAATTTAATAACTCACTTTTCTTAATCAGTGATTTTCTGTTTCTCTCATCAGTCCAACATTACTACACCAAGAAATGAAAACAGTTTGGAATTTCAACAACATGAGAAACAATGAAAAACAAAGTAAATTATTTCCTCATTTTTTTGTCTGAGAAACATATGTGTGGTATTTACATTGGACTAACGTAGAAGATAATTGACATTAACATATGGCTCTGCAATCAGTGACAGCTATGGATGCTTAATTGATTTGAATCAGTTGTTAACACTTTGGGAAAATGTAGGTTGGTGGGTCTCAAAAGTGTAATCCCTGAAACCATTATGTATACCCATGAATATTATGAGGCATCTCACAATGTTGTCATTGGACCATGTGAATCTGAAGTTCTTATGTAAAGGTAAATTTATGAGCTTCACTCAAGATATTTTTAAGTAAAATCATTAGAATTTATCAATAGATACAGAAAAAGCATTTGATAAAATCCAATATAAACACTCTCAGCAAACTGGTAATAGAGAGGAACATCCTTAAATTGGTAGAGAATATATACGAAAACCCACCAGCTACCAACATACTCAAAACTTCCCCACTAAGATCAGAAACAAAGCAAGAATGTCCCTTCTCACCACTTCTTTTCATTGTTGCACTGGATGTTCTAGCTAATGCAATAAGACAAGAAAGGCAGTAAAAAGTATAGAGATTGAGAAGACAGAAATAATACTGTCTTTGTTCACAGATGACGTGATTATCTATGCAGAAAAAAATTTTTAAAAACCTTCCTGGGACTAATAAGCAATTATAGCAAGGTTGCAGGATACAAGGTAAATACACAAAAGTCAATTGCTTTCCTATATACCAGCAATGAACATGTGGAATGTGAAATTTAAAATGCAGTACCATTTACATTAGCATCAAAAAATAAAATAATTAGGTATAAATCTATCAAAATATGTATAAGACTTGTATGAGGAAAGCTACAAAACTTTGATGAAAGAAATCAAATAACTAAATAAATGGAGAGATATTCCATGTTCATGAATGGGAAAACTCAATATCATCAATACATCATTCAACTTGATCTAGAGATTCAATGCAATCCCAATTAAAATCCTACTAAGTTATTTTGTGGATATCAATAAACTAATTCTAAAGTTTATATGAAAGAATCAAAAGACCCACAACAGCCAACACAATACCGAAGAAAAACAAAGTTGGAAGACTGACACCACCTAACTTCAAGACTTTAAATCTACAGTAATCAAGATAATCAAGTATTTGCAAAAAATAGACAAATACATCAATGGAACATACCAGAATGTCCAGGGGAAAAAAATCGCCACATAAATGTAGTCAACTAAGCAAATATAGTCAAGGAGGAAAGACAATAGAATGGAGTGAAGATAGCCTTTCAACAAGTGGTGCTGTAGCAACTGGACATTCACATACAAAAAAAAGGAATCTAGACACAGACTTTATATGGTTTACCTAAATTAACTTAAAATGAATCACCTGTCTAAATGTTAACACGAAAGTATAAAACTTGTAGGAGATGACATAGGACAAATCTTTTATGACCTTGGGTGTGGTCATGGCTTTTTAGGTACAACACTAAAGGCGTGATCCATGAAAGAAAGAATTGATAAGCTGGACTTCATTAAAATTAAAAATTTCTGCTCTGAAAATGACACTGTCAAAAGAAGAAAAAGAGAAGCCCAGACTGGAAAAAACATTTTTAAAAGACACATCTGATAAAGGCCTGTTATCCAAAACATACAAAGAACTTAAAATTCAACAATAAGAAAATGACCAAATTAAAAAAATGGGCAAAAGATCTGAACATTACTTCACCAATGAAGATACAGATGGCAAATTAGCATTTAAAAAGATTCTTCATATCATGTATCATAAGGGAAATGCAAATTAAAGCAACAATGACATACCACTACACAAGTACTGAAATTGTTAAAATCCAGAATGCTGACAATACCAAATGCTGACAAGGATATGGAGCAACATTCATTGCTAGTGGGAATACAAAATGGTACAGCTGCTTTGGAAGACAGTTTACTGGCTTCTTACAAAACTAAACATAGTCTTCCTATATTACATAGTAGTTGTGCTTCTTGATATTTACCCAAAGGAATAGAAAAGTTCTGTTCACACAAAAACCTGCACATGGATGTTTATAGCAGCTTTATTCGTTCATAATTGCCCAAACTTGGAAGCAACAAAGATATCCTTCAGCAGGTGAATGGATAAATAAACTATGGTATATCCAGACAATGGAATATTATTCAGTACCACAAAGAAATGAGCTATCAAGCCATGAAAGGAGGTGGAGAAAACTTAAAATGCATATTACTAAACTGAAGAATCCATCTTCAAAGGCTACATACTGTATGATTCTAGCTATGTGACATTATGGAAAAGGTAAAATTATGTAGACAGCAAAAAGGTCAGTGATTTTCAGGGTTGGCACAAGGGACAGATGAATAGTTAGAGCACAGGGGATTTTCAGGGCAGTGAATTACTCTGTTTAATGGTGGGCATATGTCATTATACGTTTGTTCAAAACCATAGAATGTACATACCAAGAGTAAATACTAATGTAAACTATGGACTTCGGGTGATAATGATGTTTCAGTGTGGGCTCATCAATTGTAACTAATATACCACTCTTGTGTGGGATGCTGAAATCGGGGAGGCTATGCACATGTGGGGCTAGGTGTACATGGGAAGTCTCAGTACCTTTGAAGCACGATATTTCTCTGACACCTTCATGGGACTTGTGGCATGGTACCTTGTTCACTCAGCCTACCACTCTCAACTCCTCATGGGAAGGAGCATGTGAGCAAAGAAGTGCAGGAACCAGAGCAAGCACTTTTGGGAACTGGCAGGAACAAACTCCATTTACTTGGCTCACCACACTCAACTCCTTGTGGGAGGGAGCAAGTAGGTAAGCGAGTATGGGATTCAGCCAGCTGCTTTTGGGCACCAGCGGGAGTGAACTCTTTGCAGGCCCTGCAGCAGCATCCAGGCAGGGGTGCCTGTGACTCTTGAAGCCCCAGAGGGCATGTGTTACAGTGCTATTTTAGCTCTGCCATCCATGGCTGACTTAAATGTTAAAAGCTTAGTAGGCTGTTTGCCTTTTTGTGTGAGGTGGCTGCCCTCCGCCAGCAAGGACAAAGGGTCAGTGTGACAGCCTTTTGTATCTGCACTCATGGCTCCCAAGCTCTTGTCTGGTATCCAGGAAAAATGAGGTCACCCAAACAAATTGAAGGACGGTAAATGTGGGGGATTTTATTGCCAATGAAAGTGGCTCTCCGCAGGAAGGGGAGCTGAAAAGGGTACGGGGTGGGTAGGTAATCCTCACCTGAAGTCCACCTGTCTCTGGCCAGATTCTTCTTTGAAGTTAAACTGTCAAGGTGTCCCTCTGAAGTCAGGTTGCTTCTCTCCAATGTCCAGCTGTAATCTCATCTACCAGCTGAGTCTGGGGTTTTTATAGGCACAGGATGGGGCAGGGAGGGGCCATATGTGCTTTAGGAAGATGTAACATTCAAGCAGGAAATCAGGGATATAAGTTCTCACTTCGGGCTGTGGTTGCAGGTTTTTTGGCTTGAGGGTGGGGTTTTGCCAGGGATCTGCCCTTTTCTGCCTAGAATTTCTCTGCCCTTGTCCCTATCACCTTCCTATCAGTTTTACTGCAAATCTAAAATTAATCTTTAAAGTCTATCAAAAATAATCAAAAAATAAAAATAATTGGGATAGCATCTATAGATAAACTGTATGTTAAGCATCAGCATACTTTTTCTGTGAGGGCCAGACAGTAAAAGTTTTAGGCTTTGTGGGTCAAAAATTGTCTTTGTTGCATATTATTCTATATTTCTTAAGCAATCATTAAAAAATTTAGAAATAATTTTTAGTTTACAGACCTTAAGAAAAAAACAGGTAGCAGGTTGGATTAGGCCTACAGGTCATATAGTTGGCTACTCTTCGGACTGTGTAATTAGAAAAACTGGCCGTGTAAAACAAAGTTCTGAATGCTAATGTTGCAAGCCAAACCTATAACATATCTTAGGACCTCTTCTTGGCTTAACAAATAATACATTAGAAATGTGTATTTCAAACTTCTAATTAAAATGGTATTGCCAATTGATATATTAATAAACACCTCCTTCAACACTTTCAAGATAGCAATGCTGGAAAAAATATTTAAAAACATATATTTAAAGTATCTAAATGCTACTTTACCATGGTAGTGGGCAGGAGAGAGGAAAAAATCTAACCCAAGAAGATTAAAGCCAAATTTTATGAAATAGGGCCAATAAACTCAATAATCAAGTAAATTATCCAAAGAAATACAAATACTAAAGCAGTTTTTCAAAAACTATTTGTAAAATAAGTATTTTTAAAATTCTGAAAGGGATACAGAAATGTTTTTTAAAAAAAGAGAAAGGAATTATGAAATACAAACAGACAAATGAGACTTAATACGAGGATTAGCAGAAAAGGAGCCAATTAGAAATCCTGGCATTGAAAATTATGGTCATTTTAAAATTAACAAGTGAACATGGCTAAAGAGATAATAAATAGCAAGACACAGAGCAAAACACTGAGGCTGAGGCAGGAGAATTGCTTGAACCCAGGAGGTGGAGGTTGCAGTCAGCTGAGATCGTGCCACTGCACTCTAGCCTGCCTGACAGAGCTAGACTCCATCTCAAAAAAAAAAAAAAAAAAAAGTTAAAGTCAAGTTAAAGACTCAGATCAGAAGATAGGTCGAAAAGTTCCAACATATTCCTGGTATATGTTCAAATAAGAAATGTAACAATGGAAAGAGGCAAGATTTGAAGAATTAATGAGAATTTCTTCTGAATTGAAGGAAGACAGTTCTCATACAGTGACCCAAGTAGTAAATATGCTAGTAAAAATAAATTCAACTCTGTATGCATTATAATATCACCACTATCCTATATGACACGTTTATGTGAGACAGAAAACAGTGCCCTCTGGCAGATGCTGTTCTTTAATTTCATGACTTGAGTGAGTGTCCCATGGCCTGGTTTTCAGCCCCCACTTGCTTGCTTAGCTGTATTCCTTTGTACAGGGCAAGAATTACACAAGTGCACATGGATAGGCCCTAGGTGCAAAGTGATAGAATCTAGGAATTGTTTTAAAGATTTTCTACAAAATAGCAATAATTAAGCTGACTGTAGATGTTTTTATTACTGACAATATATGCTAGGAGGTAATAGAATAAAATTTTTAAATGCCAAGGAAAAAACTCAACCTCAGATTATACAATACAAAGCTATTATTTAAAAGAGAGAATGAAACAAATTTTGAACAAAGACTAATAGAATTTACCTCTTACAGATTCTTGCTGAGAGAACTACAAAAGGATGGACTCCAGCAAGAGGAAAAATGAATCTAAGGAATGGAGTGGGATATAAGCAATAACAGTGAGTAAAAATAGTAGTAAAATATGTACATTTAGTTCTAATATAAATAAGTGATTTTATTGAAAACAAAAGTTAGGTCAGCTGAATTTATTTCAACTAAACTATCTGCCTATAGTTTAAACTATTTTCAATTTAGTGATTCATTCTTTTTTATGTATTACCTGCCTATTTCTCTCACTAGCCCACCACCACTGCATTAAGAAAACATAATAGGCACACAAAAATATTTCTCCAGTAAACAAATGTATTTTCATTTGAATTTTAAGAATAGTTTTTGATGAGAGATAGCATTTTGGTGAGATTAAGTATCAGAAAATATGCTGTAGTTTTAGCTCTACTTTTAATTAATCTTTGTTCTGGAACAAAATACTATAGCTTCTTTCGACCCTGTTTTCTCATTGAAACTGAGGATGATGAAATACACCTTACTAATTCACCAAGAAGTTGAGGTTAAAACAAGTTAAAGTGCATGGCTAGATAATATGTTTGAGATTTATTTTTCTTTTACTTATATGCCTCATTGTCTAGTTGCCAGATAAACATTTAATGCTTCAGTGAAAGTATATCCAAAGCAGAATGCAAAAATAGTTTGCAAGGTCTCCTGTAGTTCCTTTCAAAAAATTAAGCAAGGAATAAAAAGGGGAGTAAATGAGGGGGATCAGAGAAAATCTAAGAACGTAAGCAGGGTCCTCTCAGCAGGAAGCTGTAAGACCCTAGTAAACAATATTTGCATGGTATCGTTAGGCACACCATACCAAAGGCAGCCTCAAAGATATTTTTTTGATATGACTGTTGCCTAGAACTACCATACCAGAAAGGGCTACATGGACAGGCAATGAATATCAAAAAATTGAACTAAGTATTTGAGGGCCTTCCCCAAAATACTTTAGGGCTATATTTGATTCTGAGACCATGAAGTCATTAGGGGATTGATATGTGAATGACAGTGCTCAAGAATGGCAAACTGCATTTTTCATGTATCTCAGTGTGCAAATAAGTTGATTTGAAAATTTGCGAACTGTACTATATTATCGGATGGGAATGTCAATTCTTCCTCAATTAAGCTGTGGGTATGGCACAATTTCAGCGCAGGGAATCATATCCCTTGTTTGTTTTTACCATAAGACAGTGATTAAAAAAAAGAAGCTGAATGAGACATTAATGTTAAAAGTTAGACTTTTGGTGAAAGGTGATCTTGGTCTCAAAATAGGCCTTCACTTGGTACTTCCTAATAAGTCAGCTGTTTAAAAAGTCCAGGTTCTGTGTATGCTGTGTTACCTTTTCATCTGCAGTCTTTGATTATTGAAACTGGTGGTGTGACTACTTGCTGTGAGTGAGCTGCCACAGAATGTATTTGTTTATATTTAAACGCTTAATCTTAGGGCAGCAGATGAATGCCATCTCTCATAATCTCTATTGAGGTCTCTTCTGCTTTCATGCTGTCCATCTTTCTGACTACTAACAGTCAGTAGCATTCATTGATTTTCTACAAGACAAAATGTAAACCTAATAAATATTTTTTTGTGTTCTTGCACTACATGTTTAAAAGAAGATATATAATTTAGGTCAAGAGTTAAAGAAATATCAATACCTGGGCACAAATACATGTCAATTGATAGCATCCATCGTTTGACACTAACAGTTTTGAAGGTCTGCATGGAAAAGTAACCCATAATTAATTAGTCTACTGGAATGAAATGATTTCCAAAGACATACAGTGAGGATTCTGATTCTTCGCAGCTTCAGAAAAACTTGTTTGGAGAAAAATCTTTTGGAAATGCTTATTTTCCCTTTCAAAGTCATCTTGAACTGCTTTGAGATTATGACCAAGAAGGAGACCCATATCTGTTTTTCTTTAGCCATATTTGAAAACATTTCAGTAAAATATATAAATAATATATGATGATCATTTTCACATTTAATAAAATTAATGGTTTTGAAATTAAGACAGGAGTCTCCTTGGACATGCACAGACAGCCAAAATAGACAGGGAAGTGTATTTTTCAGAGTCCAGTTAGGCGATAGAAATCACAGCAATTGTTTTTACAAGAGAATTTAATACAAAGAATTGTCAGCCAGGAATTGACAACCTGAAAAAAGACAACACTACATTTTTCACAGAGCATCTATAAGGCTGGGGAATAAAAGGATGAGGCTAGGGTTGGTTTTTAAAGTTTAGAAGCTTGGATGAAGGACTCAATGAACTAAGACGAACTTCTGAGGAAGGGGTGTTGCTGAGTTGTGATGCTGCCTCAGGAATGCAACAGAAGGGCTGTGTGGGGCTAGGACCCAAACCTTTGAAGAAGGGGGCCCCATTTGGCAGCACCTGGGGCCTGTGAGGGGGCAGAACAATGTTGGTTCTATGGTTGTTGAAAAAAATGCAAACTAGAATCAGTTGTACTATTGGAACAACTAGCTACTACCAGGGTGAAACAGTGTTCAGTGATGCTGAGAACAGGAAACAAAACAGGAACAGGAAACAGCCTAGAGGGAAAGTATTCTTTCTCTCTCTTCTAGCATTTTAATATCTCTCTCTGGTGCCCCCTTTTGGTAGAGCCTAATAGTAATTCAGCTGACCACAGAACTGTGGTTTTCAGAGTCCCAGCCCAAAAGGTAAAATAAGGAAAAATGGATTTGAATCTAAGAGACGATAGCTTAACAATGAATATGGGGAAAAACAAAATAAAACTTACTTGTTTTGCTTGCCTTCTCTATTATTATTTCATCAGAGATATGTTCAATACTTTTGGTTTTCCATATTTTAGATAAAAGTAACCATTTTTTAGAAAATATTTTTTCTTGCTGAATTAATGGAGTGTGAAAAGAAAGTAGTTGAATAAAGGTTGATAGCTAAACATATGCATGTATTTTCCACAAGTCTTTTAAGATAGCTTAAATATATTTTTTAGATTCTAAATCTTAATTATGTAATGAAAACTAATTCATGACAGGAATAATTAGGGAAAAGAACATGGATTTGCTTCATGCAGAAGAACACTATAGAAAAGGCAGAGCACAAAAGAAAACAGAATCCCGCTGGAGGTGTGGGAGTGATCTCTGGAGAGCTCTAAGCCCAAAGTCAATGAATTCAAGGCAGGTGAGGTTTCTGGAACATTGGGCTCAGTAGTAGTGTAATTATTTTCTGAGCCTGAGAACCAGTCAGCCTCCCCTTTCTTCTCCGGTTGTGCTGAGCCATGGGCTGTTACAGCTTGCCATCAAGATAAAGTGAAGAGTGTAGGCTTTGAGTCCTGATGAGTTAGCTCCTTAGAATGCTGTGACATCCAGGGTGTCTGTTCATGTCTTTCGCCCATTTTTTGATGGGGTTGTTTTTTGCTTGTTCAATTGTTTGAGTTTCTTATAGATTCTAGATAGTAAAACTTTCTAATTCTAGATAGTAAAACAGTGATGCAGGAACAGAAAGATGACCAGACAAGCAAGAATTGCCTGAGAAAATCTATCCCTATAAGGAACAGTAATCAAATTCAACAAATAGAAGACTTTATACCTGAAAAGGTTATTTGACTAAATACAAAGTATTTTAAAAGCTTTAATTGATATCAAAGAAAGGATGTAGTATCTATAAAAAGTAAGGCATTATGTGAAGAATGTAGGTAACTTTGTAATTTAAATATGGTGGTAGAAATTTAAAGATCTCATTAATTAATTTAAAGATCTAATTAATTCTCTTAAATCCAAAAATAGACACAACTGATGAGTAGCAAGTCAAAGGTTTCTCCATTATGGAGACTAAGACAGATATTAAAAATGACGGAAAATTTATATTATATAGAAGAAGCATCAAGAAGGTGCAGTGTGTCTGTTTTCTAAGCATTCTAAGCACATAGAACAGAAAAGGTGGAATAGAAGAAATAATCACAGCAATTATTTATAAAATATTTTCAGAGTGAAACACCAATTACAAGTCACCAGTGGATTAAGTAACAAAAGACACATATATTTGTTTGTTGTGTTCAATGATATATCTCTAGCACACAGAACAGTGCTTGATACATAGTAGGTGCTCAATAAATATTTATCAAATGAATGAATGAGTCTAAGCATAAAAAGGCAAATTTTGAGAACACCAAGGATAAAGAAAAAAATCCAAGTTATCTACAAAGAAAAAAAAAGAAAATCAAATTTTTATAAGACTTACCAAAAAGAGATTCTAAAAGGGACAAAATTTCAGATTCTGAGGGAATTGATTTTGAACCTAAATCCTTATAGCCAGCTACATTAGCATTTAAGTATGAATATAGAGTAAGACTTAACAAACATGCCAAAATTCAGAAAGATAATCATCCACGTATTCTGTAAAATGAATATTTAAGCTTGTCCTTTGGCAAAACAAAATGAATTGAAGAGGGACATAGATTAGTGAGCAAATAAATCAATAAAGCATGTAGTGAAATTCATACAACTGTGGTTTATTGAAAACAAAGAACTATCCGGGACTAAAATCCCCAAAGATCTCACAGAAGAAACAGTGAGTCAGGGATTAGAAGAAGAGCAGAGTGGGAAATACCAGGTCGAAAGAAGAGAAAGCATTCCTGTTTTCTTGTAGGTTAGTATACAAATACATTTAATTAAAAAAAATACATTTTAACCTAAAGGAAACCTTAGATTAAATGTTCTTAAAATGCAGAGTACATATACTCCTTTAGAGTGTTTTATTTTTTTCAATATTGAATCACATTATATGAGCATTTTTAGAATTGATAGATACTGGCAAATTCTCTGCAGTACAGTATATCGATTTATATTCTAACAACAGTTCTTTAAAAGTGATTATTTCCTATACCTTCACAACATTTGATATAATTGTTTTTCCTCAATTCTATCATATTATGCATATGATTTTGCAACTTGCCATTTATTTTAACAATGTGTCATAACCATCACTTGAGGTCAGTAAAAAGAGAGATCTAATTCATTTTTTAAAATAGGTGCATAATGTTTTATAGTAGCTGTATTTATTCTGATTATGCCAATTTTATTGTTGCCACTATTGTTAATAATAAAAGTTATTAAGCAACTGTCATGTAAAGAAATATTGGCTGGATGCAGTAGCTCATGCCTGTAATCCCAGCAATTTGGGAGGATGAGGCAGGCGGATCACAAGGTCAGGAGATCGAGACCATCCTGGCTAACACGGTGAATCCCATCTCTACTAAAAATACAAAAAATCAACCGGGCATGGTGGCGGGCACCTGTAGTCCCAGCTACTTGGGAGGCTGAGGCAGGAGAATCCCTTGAACCCAGGAGGTGGAGCTTGCAGTGAGCTGAGATTGCGCCACTGCACTCCAGCCTGGGCAACACAGCGAGACTCCGTCTCAAAAAAAAAAAAAAAAAAAAAGAAATATTGATAGGTCAAATAACAAATGAGTATCTAATTTTTGTGGATTACCCTTTGATTTTTTTCATGTAGTGGATTAAATAGCAAAATACTTCTGTGTCTTTTGATTAAGCTGTTTATTTTCTTGACCACTCAGTCCAAAAGACTATTTTAATTCACTCGTAATTCTTATTACTGTCTGAAAAGTTTTAATCATTTATGTTTTTCTAGTATCTTACTTGGTTCACCTCTAAAATGTACACTCTTTTAGGCAGGGACTTTGACCAACTTGCTCTATGCCTGATATTTATAACAGTTAATGAGCGAATGAAAGAATGAAGGAATGAGTGAGTGCCAGTGTTTTCCTATCTACTTACTTTTGTTTTTGCTGTTCTCGCTACTAAAAATATAACCTGTCAAGTTGTATTTACTCTTCAACACCTAGTTCAAATTCCTTTTTATTCATAAAGCATCCCTAGATCCGCTTGCTTAAAGAAGTGACTTTCTCCTTTACTCATGCCCTAAAGTACCCCGTACTGTTGTACTCTTACTCTTACCCCCTTCTGGCTTCCACCTTAAAAACATCATTAGTTGCCCATACAACTTGTTTTCTCAGTAGATTATAAATTCCTTGAAGACAGAGCCTATGTCTGTTCATTTTTCTGTCCTCCAGAGCACCATCATTGTGCCTTGCACTTGACAGAATTTTTAATTGAATTGAGTAATTACCATAAGTACCTTAATGCTTTTCGTAGCAGGCTTAGTGGAAAAGTAATAAAATTTGAAATCAGAAAAAAAGTATGAAACCTAGTTCTTTCACTCTTAGCTGTATGATATTATTTCTGAATTAAGCCCATGTACCCTTTCCTTACCTGTAAAGAAGGATTATAATTCCTAAATAGCAAGGTTGCAGTGAAGAGTAAACATTAAACATATACATGTAAGGTAAACATGAAGAGTATATATGAGTGTATATATATATAGTAGGTGAATATATGTTGGAACATAGAAGGTGAATATATGTTGATTCATTCCTTCATTCAGTAAACATTTGAGTGCCTACTGTGTGCCAAACAATGATTGATGATGATGACGATGATGATGATGATGATGATGATGATGATGATGATGAAAGAAGAAGGAGATGATGATAAAGTTCCAAGCTTTAATTGAATTCCCATTGATGAATGCTTATAATTTGGTGAATTATGAAAAACAATGACATAGATTTGGTGTTCAGGTATTAAGGAACAATAAAATTTCAGTCTTGAGATGTCATTTCAATTATTAGAATCAAATTCTCTTTCAACTGAAAAAGTAGTAAATATAGACTCCCTTTTTAATATAAGTCTCAAAAGTGAAGAATATCTCATTTACTTTTGAGGTTCTGTTACATGAAGTAAACAATAGATTTATGTAACAGCATGTAGAGTAGAAAAGAAAGTCTTGAATATTACATTTATGAAAATAATAAAAGGAAACTAAGTTTCACAACTGCATTTCAAATTTAAAAATATTGTCAACCAAACAGATTTTAAAAGCAGACAGTTTAAAATGTATAACTTTTAACCATCTATCTAATTTTTTGAAATAAAATAGTTTTATTATGATGTAGTCTGCTTCTGGGAAAAATGCAGTAATATCAGTAACTGGGAAAAGTTGGAAAATTTTTATTGAAACACAGAACTAAAATTGTGCCTGAAATTGCAGTTACACTAATATGCTTTATGTTTCTCCATTTCTGATATATAAGTTGAGCTTTCTCACTCAGCCCCTTACTTGGAAAGTATGTATTCATGATTTTCAGATTATGACTTCTTCATAATTTTATTAGAAGTTGAGAAAGTTCAGAATGTTGTCAATCACATACATGATTTTTTAATAGTGGCTTTTGGATTCTTATGATGTAAGGTTTGTATCATGTTTTTCTTTTACACATAAAATTTGTCATTTATATTTTCTCTTTAAAAGCGTTTTGCTTTCAAAAATAAAAGACAATTATAGCAATAAATTATTACTTTCATGGCATATTATCTAATGATTCTACTATTTTAAAAACATTAGATTGTTTCTGAATTTAACAGTAAAATAGTTCAAAGAGAAATTAACTTAATTTGCTTATTTAAATAATTGTGTTGATTAATTAGTTAGGTTAAATTAAAGGATGGAAGCAGTAAAGCTATAAAATTTATGATTGTACTAAAAATTAAAACAAATTTGATTACTTTTCAGAACTTTAGGCAAAGATATTTTCCATTATGTTACTCAGTGTTCAGTTTCATAGAGAGTCATATGATAATGATTTCTTCTGGAATTTTAATTTCTGGAAAATGTGTCTATCTCCTGAATTACTAGCTTATTCTCTTTTATTATCTACTAAGATCCCTGCTTTTTTTTTTTAACATTTTCTTTTTTGCTTTTATTATCTAGGAGCTCTCAGTTTTTAACTTAGTATTCAGATACAATAATTATATCTCCCCTGGCCTGGTTATTTTCTCCTTATTCCTAAAAGACTCTTACTTTTATCTTTATATTAACTATCTTGCATGTTCTTGTTTTTCATACATAAGTTCCTGAAATTCTTTCAAATGTGTGAAAATTCTAAAAGTTTTTCCTTAAAAAATTCTGTTTGTGATTATTTGATTTAGGACATATCAGAGTACCAGGTTCATATGTATTTGCTTTGTTTAAAAAATTAGATGTAAATATTAGTATGTATTTAAAATATATGTGTATTATAGATGTTAATATATTTCAAATACATATTAAAATTTACGTACAATTTTTTAAAGAAAACAAAGGAAACCTTATTTTGTTCAGGTTTAATTATTGGGAAAAGTCTAATTACTGTTGTGGTACTAATAAGAAAAACAAGCAACTGGACCTTTGAAAATATGGCAATGTGGTGAAAATGGGACAAAGAGAAATAAGTCTCCAGTTTAGAGCCAGAAACAAGAGTATGGAAGGAGAGGCTGAAACAGAAACAAACCCTAGAAATGGACTTAAGCCTGCACTAGATGCATTGTACAGCTGGAACACACGTAACAGAAGCCTTTCTTTTTTTGCTTGGTTTGAATGCCAGGTCTATTAGATAAATACTCCAAACTGTTAAAACGAATAGACCTAAAGGTGAGAAATGGCTCAAACACACAATAGAAGTTAAGGAGCTTGACCTACAACTAAGAGATTGTATTATTTCTTTTGAGATATATTAGTAATTAATTTTGTCCTTTAAATGTATTTATTTATAACACAGGATTATAAAGGATAAGTTTAGATTAAGGATAAGTATTAGATTATAAAGGATAAGCAGGATTCTTCATTTCTGAGATACTGACAATGATAGACCCAAGGGGTAGTGATATTCTTTTTTTTTTTCTTTCTTTCTTTTTTTTATTATACTTTAAGTTTTAGGGTACATGTGCACATTGTGCAGGTTAGTTACATATGTATACATGTGCCATGCTGGTGCACTGCACCCACTAACTCGTCATCTAGCCTTAGGTATATCTCCCAATGCTATCCCTCCCCGCTCCCCCCACCCCACCACAGTCCCCAGAGTGTGATATTCCCCTTCATGTGTCCATGTGATCTCATTGTTCAATTCCCACCTATGAGTGAGAATATGCGGTGTTTGGTTTTTTGTTCTTGCGATAGTTTACTGAGAATGATGATTTCTAATTTCATCCATGTCCCTACAAAGGACATGAACTCATCATTTTTTATGGCTGCATAGTATTCCATGGTGTATATGTGCCACATTTTCTTAATCCAGTCTATCATTGTTGGACATTTGGGTTGGTTCCAAGTCTTTGCTATTGTGAATACTGCCGCAATAAACATACGTGTGCATGTGTCTTTATAGCAGCATGATTTATAGTCATTTGGGTATATACCCAGTAATGGGATGGCTGGGTCAAATGGTATTTCCAGTTCTAGATCCCTGAGGAATTGCCACACTGACTTCCACAATGGTTGAACTAGTTTACAGTCCCACCAACAGTGTAAAAGTGTTCCTATTTCTCCACGTCCTCTCCAGCACCTGTTGTTTCCTGACTTCTTAATGATTGCCATTCTAACTGGTGTGAGATGATATCTCATAGTGGTTTTGATTTGCATTTCTCTGATGGCCAGTGATGATGAGCATTTTTTCATGTGTTTTTTGGCTGCATAAATGTCTTCTTTTGAGAAGTGTCTGTTCATGTCCTTCGCCCACTTTTTGATGGGGTTGTTTGTTTTTTTCTTGTAAATTTGTTTGAGTTCATTGTAGATTCTGGATATTAGCCCTTTGTCAGATGAGTAGGTTGCGAAAATTTTCTCCCATGTTGTAGGTTGCCTGTTCACTCTGATGGTAGTTTCTTTTGCTGTGCAGAAGCTCTTTAGTTTAATTAGATCCCATTTGTCAATTTTGGCTTTTGTTGCCATTGCTTTTGGTGTTTTGGACATGAAGTCCTTGCCCATGCCTATGTCCTGAATGGTAATGCCTAGGTTTTCTTCTAGGGTTTTTATGGTTTTAGGTCTAACGTTTAAGTCTTTAATCCATCTTGAATTGATTTTTGTATAAGGTGTAAGGAAGGGATCCAGTTTCAGCTTTCTACATATGGCTAGCCAGTTTTCTTATTTTAAAGTTCCTGGGAAAAATTTTGTTCTTTGATTTTAAGTGTGTTTACATGATGGTAGATGATACTGTGATCATTTATGCTGATAGTGATCACCATGGCCACATTTACTTATCTTTTACTTCTAAGATTTTTCTAACCCAAGTGTAAATTAAGTTTGCCAGTGACAGTATGAAAACTATGACAGCCAATTAAGGGAAAATTTAGGCTGTGCTGGGTGGCTGAATTTTATGTAATTAGGAAAGGTAAATCCTCCAAAACTATGTCCATCACTAGATGACTTAATCACTTCTATCCTTTTCTTCAATTTCTGTCTTCCCATAAAATGCCTTGTTTTTTTTTTCTGTTAAAACCTTCTACTTGGCATTAGGCTGTTACAGGTAGACAGATCTGTGGGATAATTGGATTGGAGGCTATTAGCATCTGACTTGGCAAAAATCAGTTTAAATGAATTGAATTCAAAGCGTTGAATTCATTTTAAAAATATACTTTTAATCTACTGATTTTTTTAACTTTTGAGGCCAGTATTGATATTCTCAAGATAACTAATATTGCAAAAATTATGGGAATCCCAGTGTCCCTGTCCCACTGTTTGGGCCTGAGAATCTGTGACTTGGCTTCACTTTGATTGTTTCGAGTTGAAATAGAATGTGGCACATAGGAGTAAATTATTCAGGCAAGAGGCGTCATTGAATAGAGGATTAATGGTCTCGTCTGAATTAGAAATAGGATGAGAACAGGTCATGAGTCCTATTTACTCCACAATTTATAACATTAAATTTAATTCTAAATTAGTGTTATAAAATGTATAAAAATTAATGGTCCATCTTAAATCATATAGTACTTTCTTCTCTACCTTTCTAAATTATAAACATAACATTAAAAAATAAAAACTAAATAATCACTGGTAACCATCAGTAATATTTTAAGGTTTGCGTTTTGCCTTCCAGTCTGTCCACATGTACTCCAGGCTTATAACTTCCTCTTTACAAGCGGGTCTTTTTATGTATGTATGAGAACATATACCTGTGTCCACGATAATGAGTACTTCGCAATATATCAGGCTTAACCAAAAGTTTTTCCAAATCTTTCCTATTGTCATCTTTTGATGATCTCTTTTTTTAAACTTTTAAATAAATAATCCCCATTGAATTGTCTTCTCTAGCTTAAAAAGTATTGTTCTTTAACTTTGCGGTGTCAAAAAGTTTTATCTCAAAGTCCAATTCCAATTTATTGATAATGATGGCATGGAACACTATACTCAGAATTCTGGGTTTTCCTAAGATGTCAGCAGTAAAGAGGTCCGTGATTGATTAGTGGTGCTGATCATGGAAGCAGGAGGGTGGTTTTGAGAGAAATAATGCTTATTACTGATTTTCAGAGGTAATTTTTTATATTGTTTCTTGTTTTTTTTTTTTTGAGACGGAGTCTCGCTCTGTCGCCCAGGCTGGAGTGCAGTGGCGGGATCTCGGCTCACTGCAAGCTCCGCCTCCCGGGTTCACGCCATTCTCCTGCCTCAGCCTCCCAAGTAGCTGGGACTACAGGCGCCCGCCACTACGCCCGGCTAATTTTTTGTATTTTTAGTAGAGACGGGGTTTCACCGTTTTAGCCGGGATGGTCTCGATCTCCTGACCTCGTGATCCGCCCGCCTCGGCCTCCCAAAGTGCTGGGATTACAGGCGTGAGCCACCGCGCCCGGCCTATTGTTTCTTGTTTTAACAGATACAAAAATAATTTAGTCTCTTGGATTTTAAAACTGGTTTTACTGCTTGCAACACTCCTTTTATTAAGGTGATAGGCAACTTTGCGTATTTGATTATGTTTTACATCTTGGTCAACTGGATACCTCTTCAGGTATATTAACATACAAATAACATATTCTGATCACTCATATATATCTAAGGATGTATTTTGCCTTGATTCACAAAAAAGACAGCTTTTGTTTTTTGTTTTTCAATAGGACCATAACACTCTCTCCTGATCATTTACATGTTTCTCCCTTGACTCTGTTTTATAATATGGTGAAAAAAGTCTGAAGCCAACTTAGTTTTGGTCTTTTGTGGGAAACCGCTTTCTTTTTCCTGAACAGATATATACAGTATTGTTTTGCACTTTTATTCTTATAGTGAAAAAAAATCAGAATTTTCTCCATTGTTATAGTTTAAAATTTTACCAATGGGCATATTTTAATCAATTAAGATTAACCACAATGAGAACACAATGAGACTTTGCAATTTGCTCCAAAAATATTGAGTGTGCTTTATCTTTGATTGCTTTTGTTCTAATTCTTCTTATCTTTAAGAAAACTACTTGTTTCCATTTTTCTTCTCTGTTCCCTATCCTCTGTATCAGTCATCTTCTCTTGCATTATTTTAGTTTTGTCCCATTCTTTTGAGTTCTGAGATGACACTTGAGCTTTTCTTTTATATATACTTCATTCATTTACCATTCCTTAGAATCAACACTTCTTGCTGTAGCCTTCAACATGAATTTTAACTTGGCTCTAGCTTTTTTTTTTTGGTTAGCAATTCATCCTTATATCATTCATTTGATTTTTTCCTCACCTAGTTATTTATAACAGTCTCCTTTTATTTCATAGCAACCATATTGTTTGAACTTTATTGAGGATACCAAACTGTTCCTGGAAGTTTTCTTCTGAATCCTACTCTAGATTATTTTCAGACATATCATTTATCTTCTGAATCTTAACCTTATTTGACAATGTTTTTCATAAGTCATATGTATTTTTTTCTGTCTCTCATCCTCAAACCATGTAAGATCAGAATTTCCAATAAACAGAGAAGACTGACCTTGTGCGATGTGCGATGGTAAATTTTTCTTCTCAGATGCAGGTTGGACTGAGACAGACATGCACAGTTTCCTTTTAACTTTACGATTCTGTTAGGATTTCATGTAGTATATTCTTCTTTGCTCATGTGCCATTTTTCTTTGTTCTCAAGGGCCTTGTTATCCCATTATATTGAACTAATGCAGTATATCAAGCAAAACATATTCCAAATGAATTGGGGTATTTCTTTGTTCATAGATCCTTCACCCAATAAGACACTGTTTGGAAGGACATTGTTCCAAAAATACACTGTGCTGCTTCCTTCACGGTTGTTGAGAATCTGCATACTCAGGTATATGTGTGTAAACGGGAGGTGGAGAGTGGAGAAGAGGGGAGTGAGGCAGAGTAGCTAGTGACAGGATTCTGCTTACTCTCGGGGAAACATTTAGGGAGCAGAGCAGGATGGCTGCCAACTAGAGAGTTGTGGGCCTCCCTGGAACTGACTTAGGGAGCAAAACCTGATCAAAGGGAATGGCCTCTTTAAATCCTTTTGAAGATACTCTTCATTTGGTTAAGCAAGTTCAGTATGTGTTATGAGTTAGAGCTCAGAGAGGATTTTCTGTATCTATCTCCTTTAGTACTCAGTAAATTAAACATATTTATGTCCTGTTTTGGGGGCTATGGGAAACTGCTTTAACAGTTTCACAGTTATCCTTTCTGTGAACATGAATATTCTTTTGAAAGTTTTGTTTTCTCATCTCCCATATGAGAGCAAAGGAAGACATCTAGGAGGACATCATTTCAAAGTCACCTCTCTGAGCACCTCTGTGGCCTGAGGAAATTGTGCTTTCTCTTTCATAAACACATGATTAACCTAACTACCATTTGAGGCAAAGTAGCACAGTCACTGTCCTGAGCATGTTTATAAAATATGCAAATCCAACTTGTCCTTTGCTTCATTATTGCATCCATTATTTAGTTTCATTATAAAACATTTGAGGGTGAGAAAGGACAATTAATGCAATTAAGTTTCCATGGTTTAAAAATTCCCTAATTTTAGTAAATGTTTTAATGGAACTTTAGCGTTAAAAATGATGAAATTCATCACCTTAATTATAACAGTGTCAAATAAAACAAAACAATTATTCTGAAAACTCAGATATTCTATAAATGAACACTGATTCATAAATGGAAAGCCTACTGTATAGTTTATACATTGGAAACCTATTTGTATAGTTTAGAACTATACATTAGCATTTGTTTAGAAACTATCCATTTATATTACCAACGTGTATACATGTGCTTTTGCTATGTTTCTGGGTGAACAGGTTTAAGAAAGGAGATAGGAGTGAGGCTAAACTGTTCGTTTTTTAAAGGGCTTAAATCTCTAGTACACAATGTAGCTTGCTTAAAACATCACTGAAGATACATCACAAAAGTCTTCTTTTCCTTACTATCTACTTTGAGATTAAAATTTAATCAACATTTTCCAAGAAGCAATTAAGTCTCAGACCCTGTACTAATACTTTGATTTGTTTCCTAACACTCACAGCTGATGAGGAAACTGAGTATGAAAACGGCTGGATGATTTGCTGAAGATTACTCAGCTGGTTGGGGGAGAAAACTAATCAGTATAAGTGTGCTGTGCTAGTATTGAGGCTATGCAGCGATCAGTGAGAAGCATTTGAAGGCTGCCTACTTTAAACCATTCTGGTTCCATTTTATCTTCCTCCTTGGGTGAGGGGTATGTGAGTATATGTATTGTATATGTATATTTTAACAGCCATAATTGAGTGTGTCATATATACTTTTCTCCTCTTTAGGTTTTGGTAGTCCATTGTTATTCTTAAATTAGGCATCATTTACCATTTGCAGTCTTAGTTCTCCTAGAATAGTTCTTTGTCTTTCCAAAAGCTACCAATGGTGGCAGATAATGGCTAGATTTCTCTTCAATATCCAAACCAAACGTAGCTAAGTGTGTAGTTGGTGTACTTATAGAAGGAAAAGAAAATAAATTTTTCCTTCATTTTTTGTCCTAAAATTTGTTTGGGTTTTTAAAGATTATGTTTTTTTCTTTAGACTTTAGGCTTATAATTCAATTACAGTTAGAATTGTGTTACAATTCTAGGTTCAGATCATATGCTCATTGTTGATCCACATATAGCTACTAAAATAATGAGTACTCATGAATCCAGAATCTAAAGTAAAAGCTATACTCTGGTTTCTCTTCAGATCATATAAATCTTTTGCCTTTTACTAAAGTAAAAGCTGAGATCTTGGAAATAATGACTGACATTAGGCCATATGTATGCCCTTCATCTGATTTTGCTGCCCCCCTTCATCCAGGCCAATATCATCCCGACTCCTGTGTTTATCATTAATGTGTTTTTCTTTCTATTTGTGTAATATATATTCATTGCTTGGATATATGTGAAATGTGAAATATTTTTTCATTGCTTGTATAAGTATTATGTATATTACCTGTGTACATGTACACACATATATATACACATACTTGCTTTATTTGGTGTTTATGGAAAAGGATACTATGCTATACGTAATATTTTGGGACTTAATTTTTCATAGTACTTAGCTAAGATTCATCATATTTTGCATGTTACTAGTTTATTCAATGTAACTTTCGGTAAAATATACCACATCATAGTCATCAAGCCTCCCAAGGAAAAACACTGTTCACAATAGGTTCACTCTGTGGTGAACAGTGCTGCTAAAATAGTCTTGAACATAAGTCTTGCTATACATGTGCAAGGGATTCTCTTGGGGATATATTTCTAAGAATGGAATATCTGGATCACAGGAGCTATGTGATTGTTCAGCTCTTGAAAATAAGACCAAACTGATTTCCAGTACGACAAGCAATTGTTGCAACACTCTCTCTCAAAAACTTCACCATTCAAACTTCCATCTCCTGATGTGGGTTGTCAAAATTCACACACACACACACACACACACACACACACACACTCACACACACACTCACACACCCCACAGAAAAAAAAAATGCCCTGGTTTTGCTTTCTATGTGTGAAAAAGAACCTACCTAGGCAAGACATGTAAGCCCCTAGAACTTCCAGAAATTGAGGGAGCTGACCTAGATTAGTATCTTTCAAGCCATGTCCTGCAAGTGGCTTTGCTGTGTGTACCTATGCAGTTGTGGACATTGGAGACTATTTGGTACCTGAAGGTGGAGATAAGGTAGGAGGGAGAGAGAAGGCTGGGGCTTTAGTAGATCCCCCGCCATGACTAAGAAAGCAGCTTCACTTTTATCTCTAAATTTTTTTTTTATTTTACCTGATGAAAATCTTCCTTTGAAAAACACAATCTAAAGTTTGAAACACACTGGCACAGGCAATTTCTCAGGTCCCTTACTGCCCTAATGTTTTATGATTATGCATTGTATTATTTATGGTAATTAATGCTAGCTGCAAGTGATTAAAGCCCCAAATCTCAGTAACTTAGTCAACAGAAATTTATTTCTAACTCATATATAGCCTTCTACGGGTTGGGAGAGGCTTTACTCCACGAGGTGACTCAGGGAACTGAATCTTGTGATGCTCAGCTCTTGCCCCGTGGCCTTTTAGGTTGCAGCAGCATAGGAAGAGATGGATGGAGGAAGCATACCAGCTTCTGACTTACTTAGCTCAGAAGTGACACTTGAGCTCACAGCCCATTCATCAAACCAAGTCACGTGGCTTCAATTTCACCGCAAAGGAAGCTTAGTCATGTAGAGGAACACATTGAATATCTGGACTCAGTAAGTCTCTCTAGCATTTGTACCAAGTGCAGGAAACATAATTCACATGCAGAAGGGCAGAGTGATCACAGTAAAGGTGAGATATAGTTAAATACTAGAGACTTCTTGAGAAATACTTTGCTATCCTCTTGTAGGTTACTCTTTTCAAAAGATTTCCATTGTGGTCTTTTTGTTTATTTTCTAGAAAATATACACTATTTCCATGAAGACCTCTAATTCTCTTTTTTTAGACTTAAAGGATAAATTACAAAAATTGGATTATTGTTGGGTGCAGTGGCTCACGCCTGTAATCCTAGCACTTTGGGAGGCCGAGGCGGGTGGATTGTCTGAGCTCAGGAGTTCAAGACCAGCCTGGCCAACATGGTGAAACCCCGTCTCTACTAAAATACAAAAAATTAGCTGGGCGTGGCAGCAGGCACTTGTAGTCCCAGCTACTCGGGGGACTGAGGCAGGAGAATCGCTTGAACCCAGGAGGCAGAGGTTGCAGTGAGCCAAGATCGCGGCACTGCACTCCAGTCTGGGTGACAGAGTGAGACTCCGTCTCCAAAAAAAAAAAAAAGGATTATTGTTCTCTACTGTATTGAAATTTAATTTTCTAAAAAACAATTTATTGGATTCCACCATAGGGAGCTGGCATGGCAATTTATGTTAATTTAGAATGTAATTCCACTAACCTATGTCCTATCAGCCTGAGCAGTCTATCTCTTTTAACATAGATCAAAATGCAAAGGCCCTTTTCTCATGAAGCATGGACCTATTTTTTTTATGGTGTGCTGAGATGAAGGAGAACAGGGTACAGTGTTCCTGATAATCTTTGATGTGATTTAATTGTATTTTTGAGCTTGATGATAATGTCTTTATCATCTAGTTACTGTTCTACATCTCATCTCCTGGTGGTACAGCATGCTCAATGTGGTTTACTTTCTGAAACAACAACAGATTTAGTTTTTATGTTGATGAGGATAGGAAGAGGCCCAAAGATTGCATCAGAAGCAATTAAATCATTTTGGGAAGAGTTAGTATGCTCTTTGGAGGGTAATTCTGGTGACTCAAAGTAACTGTAAGTGCATAATGGAAAGAAGCCCATGCCTGGTGTGGGTGTGTAGCTTAATGGAGAATTGGGAAAATAGTCAGCTAGAGAAGCAAAGATAAAATTATAAACCCAGTGATGTGGGAAATAACTGACATCAGGGGATATATTTCAGCTGACTGATAAAAAAGCCACCAAAGACTTTGAGAAGGAAAAGAGGAAAAGTTAACCGGTGTGAGGAATAGAGGACAGAGAGGAGATGCTTATTGAAAAATTTACAGAAATATATTTAGGAGCTAAATACTGGCATGAGATATTTTTTAAAAATATTGCTCCTGCAAAGGAAAGTACTATTTTATTTCCTGACCTTGTTTTAAAATGAAGCCTAACTGGGGCAAAGCAGATTTAGGGACAAAAAAAATGGGATAGGACCATTTTGATTCACCCTATCTTTATCAGTTGGAGGAACACTTGAGAAGAGACAAATTAAGGTCGTTTTTTGTTTTCAACTATTTGGATCCTTTAGTATTTTTTGTCTTGTTGCTTCCAGTGGTTACTCACATTCATGTTTGAAAAGTGGTTCTTTGCAGTGTGAGCTAATGAAGTAACTCTCTAACAGTGGTTTCCCTGTGGGACTTAGCCCTTCCTTCTCCTTTATTTTACCAATTTTCTTGAGGAAACCTCCTGAGATCTTCATTTGATGTCATAGGTGTTAAAGCCTTTGAACTATCAGTTGAAAGCACCAAATAACAAATAACCAAAAGATATATTAGAAAGGCAATTAGAATCTAAAAATTTTGAAGTATTAGATTGAGATTATTTTGTAACTGCATTCTAAGCATTAAAAAGGTAATTCGTATATTATTGAAATAATCCAAGGAATAGAAAAAATTGAGACCTTCCCAGTTCATTTTAAGAAACCGCCATAAGTTTAACATGAAAACTGTCTACAGTATCCTCAAGAAAAGTAAGGATCATTTTCAAGTATGAATATAGATATTAAAATTAAATAAAATGTTGGCTAATCCATGTTTTAAAATGATAGTAACTTGTGATTAGGGGAAACTTACTCAGTTTACATGGTTTAACACTAGTAAATCACATATAAAATGTATTATACCAAAAAAATTTGAATTATAATTATTTAATTATATTGTAAGATGTTAGACAAGAATTGGTGAAATTCATTTATTCCTCATAAAAGCTTATAAAATAAGAATAGATGGAAATTGCTTAGACATGATAGAAAAACATATAAAAATCTACTGTTAATATTATATTTTAAAAAGAAAGCTCAAATTATATTTTTCTTTCTCTTTTTTTTTTTTTTTTTTTTTGAGACAAAGTCTCACTCTTTTACCCAGGCTGGAGTTCAGTGGCATGATCTCGACTCACTTCAACCTCCACTTTCCCAGTTTCAAACAATTCTTGTGTCTTAGCCTCCTGAGTAGCTGGGCTCACAGGTGCACGTCACCATGCCCGTCTAATTTTTGTATTTTTAGTAAAGACGGGTTTCGCCATGTTGCCCAGGCTGGTCTTGAACTCCTTGCCTCAAGCAATCCACTGCCTCATCCTCCCAAAGTGCTGGGATTACAGGCATGAGTCACTGTGCCCGGCCTCAAATTATTTTCAATAATGTAAGAAGTAATACAGAGATAGCTGCTTATCACTGCTATTACTCAAGTAGTATTTTGAAGATTTTAGTTAACATAATGAGGCAAAAATATTTTTATAGATCTTTGAAAAATTAGTATAAATATGTGAAAAGAATTTAAAAAATTATCTGCTAATAATGAAATTACACAAGAGGATTTATTAACTCTCAGGCAGATTAAGGAAATTGGTAAGATTGCTGAATTAAAAATATATAAAAATTAATAGCTTTTGTGCTAACTAGCAATATCTAGTTAGTAAAGATTATTTGGAGTAAAAAACATTTGTATATGTGTCTATATGTATCCTGATCCAAAGAAAAATAAATTATAAACCACTTAGATATAAGTACTTGATTATAAAAGGAAGTTATGAAATATAACAAACATATTTAAAGAAGACTCAAACAGTAAATGTCTGGATAAAATAACTCTAATGTCACAAAAATAGCAATAATTCTGAGAACATTATGTAATTTAATGTAATTCCACTCAGCATTTCAATAGATTTCAATAGATTTGGAATAGGTAAAATTCATTTTAGATAACGAATATAGTAGGATAAATTTTGGAGAAGAGCCAAAACATTTTGAATAAAATAGTGAAGATAGTTATGCCTTAACAAAAATTAAAATGTATACCAAGTTGCTATAATCAAAACATCATTCTGTCTTCAGGAGAATCTAAATAAATGGACTGGTGAAAACTAAAATATACCAAAATGGAGTCAGGTATTAATACGTATAGGAAGTTACTACATGGTAAGGATAAAATTTAATTCACCTTTTAAAGGACAATTTATTTAATAAAGATTGCTGTCATGTGGAAAAGAAAAAGCTAAGAACCTTGTCTTTCACAATAGGCAAAAACGTAATCTATGTTAAATATTTAAGTGTAAAAAATAAAAATGTTAGAATAAAATTTACGAGAATATATATGTGGATATATATATATATACGTATATATATACATATATACGTATATATATGTATATATATACGTATATATATACATATATACGTATATATATGTATATATATACGTATATATATATATGTGTGTATATATATATATATATATATGGAGTGTGAAGGACCACCAAAATTAGACAGATCCCTGGAAGATTTAAAGATATACATATTGGACTATTAATCTTTTAAAGCATGTACAGCTATATAGAACCATGAAGTATGGAGATTTTATTCATTTTTCAGGCTAAAGGGCCTCCCACAATTTCATGGATCAGTGTGTTCTTGTGCCTGTTTCTTGAGCCCCAGTTCCCACACGGTGAAATGGAGAGTGTCAGGTAACACATGCAAACACAGTGGGTTACAGAAGAGATATCCTGAGCTTAGGGACCCTAAAATTTTTATAATGGACAATAAGCATGCCTGCTTATTATTATTTAGAGGGAGGTATGATCTCTGCTTTCCATGGCTGCTCTCTATGCAAACATCCTTGTAAAGAGTGCAGAACAAAGGCAGTCAGTGCCTCTGCTCAGTAGACATATGAAAGCCAAGACCCATGGAGAGTTGTCTTCAACAATAGCATAAACAAAATAAAAGGTAAAATAATGAACCTCATAAAAATACTTGCAGCTCATATAATAGACAATGAGTTTGCATAGTTTTGACCCAGAAATCCTGTGTTGATAACATATCTAACAGGCATTAATCCAGTTCTCTATAACTATTTATTTACAAGGATATTTATATAAGCATTGTTTATAGTGACACCAGTTGAGACACAACCTGAATGTCTACCAAAAGAATGATTATATTAATTCAACTATTTCTCTACTTAGTCCTTGGGAAGACCAGTGTTCTATGTATTTATTTTGAACTCGCGAATAGGAAAAAAGCAACTTCAGAGTAAATGTTAGAAAGAGCAAGAAGGACAGAAGGAAGGAAGGAAGCAAATCGATCTCTAGGTATTGGTATACATTTTTGTGAACATAGAGAAAGGAATAGAAAAGTATATTACTATTGGATTCCTTAGGGAGAATGCAATATAGGGAAGATAGATTATTAACTTTCTAAAAATGTGGTTCATCTTTGTATTGCTTCCCCTATTACAAATTAATAAAACACAAAAAATAAAAATAAATTGGCCATTCTTTTGGCAGTAAATGAGGCCCAACATGCCTTGTTTGGGACTCATTCATTCATCTATTTATTAAACAAATATTACTGAGTGTTTTCTCAGTGTCAAATACTGATTAGACAGGGAAAACACCAGTGAGCAAAAGAAATATTCTCTGCCATTGTGGAACTTATATTCTAGTGGGGATGTCAGAAAATATAAAAATAAACATATAATATGTCTTCATACAAAATTATTGTTACATAGTATATTTTATACTGCATAAAAAGCCCTCTAAATCTAAGTTATTTAGATTGTGGCTTAGAAGAAAGCCATTTTAAGTTCTCAGAGTTAAGAGGAAAGAAAAAGATGAATAAGAACCTACAATGACATTTGATCTCAACTAACCTGTGTAACATAGCAACTCACACATATGTTTACGGTAGTCTCCCCTTTTCCTCAGTTTTGCTTTCTGTAGTTTCAGTTACTCGTGGCCAGCTGAGGTCTGAAAATGTGAAATGAAAATTTCCAGAAGTAAACAATTCATAAGTTTTAAATTGCATGTAATCCTGAGTAGCGTGATGAAATCTCGCAGTGTCTGGCCCCATCTTGCCCCGTACCTGAACCACCCCTTTGTCCAGCGTATCCACACATCTATGCTACTGGCCCATTAATCACTTAGTAGCTCAGTTATCAGATTAACTGTCATGGCTTGTGTTCAAGTCAACTTTATTTAAGTTAATAATGGCCCCAAAATGCAAGAGTAGTGTTGCTGGCATATTGTTATCATTCTTGTATTTCGTTATCAGTGATTGTTGTTAATGTCTTACTGTGCCTAATTTATAAGTTGAACTTTATCATAGGTATGTATAGGAAAAACATAGTATATACAAGGTTTGGTATGTGGTTTTAGTCATCCACTAGGGATTTTGGAATGTGTTTCCCCCAGGATAAAGGGTGACTACTGTACTTATGTTACAGAACACCAAAGCAGGTTTCACTTTGGGTAAGAATAAACAGGAGATGAGCAATCTTCCATCCAGAGTCCTTTTTTGGTATGAAAACATTCTTAAACCCTGTCTTAAACTACTGCGGATTGCAAGTACTGGATCCCAAAAGGAAGGATTCACTGAGGGTAACTGTAAGACAACTACAGTAAATGTTAACCCTAAGAGAAACCTGGCAGACCTAATCTCAGCAACTGGTTTACTGATATATGAATGCATGTGAGAATGCTTCTGAATGATGTGGTTCCTCAAATCCAGAACTGAAAGGCAGCTGTTAAATGAGCTTCACTCATATCTAGTTAGGGCAGTCTCTAAATTCTAGAACTTTCTGAAAATAAGAAGAGGAAGTTAGTGTAAATGTGGCTTTCCTGTTGGAGCACGCAGTAAACAGACTCCTAAGAGTAGCAAGAGTAGAATTTTTGGACCTAAGAGCAAGATGGAATTTTTTTGCTTGTTTATTTAAAAAAAAAGAGGCTGGGCATGGCGGCTCATTGCCACTTGGGGAGGCTGAGATGGGTGGATCACCTGAGGTCAGGAGTTCAAGACCAACCTGGCCAATATAGTGAAACCTTGTCTCTGCTAAAAATACAAAAAAATAGCCGGGCGTGGTGGCGGGCACCTGTGATCCCAGCTACTTGGGAGGCTGAGGCAGGAGAATTGCTTGAACCCGGGAGGCGGAGGTTACAGCGAGCCGAGATCGCGCCATTGCACTCCAGCCTGGGCAATAAGAGCAAAACTCTGGGGCGGGCATGGGGGGTTATTGGGGGGAGTGTGGAGGGGAGAGACAGAGAGAGAGAGAGAGAGAAAGAGAGAAAGAAAAAGGTCTGTGGGCTTCTTTAGACAGTAGTCCATCTGTGTTGTGTTGGTGAAGTTTGTGAGGACAGTAGCAGCTTCCTGGCTTGGTGTTTATGTCAATTAACGGTGGTATCTGAAGCTTTACTCATTGAAGCTAACATGCAGGTTATGGGGCTCTAAAGTCACAAATACAAATTCATTTTCTTAGTGGGTTTGCTTATCATTTAATAGGGTGCTTCTCTTTTGGAGCTTCTAGAACTGCTGGGTTATTCTGTAACTTAATGATAACAATGCAGGTGAAACTCTTCCACAAAATAAAGCAAAAAATATTAATGGCTGTCAAATTACTCAGCATAAAAGCCAAGAAATAATAGTTGTACAAGGCAGTGGCTGTTTAAAAAGAATTGTCAATTAAAGTGTTTAGCCATTTGCAAACAAATTCATCAGACAAAAGCAGGTACTGGTAAAATATTTAAATCCTTAAAATAATAAAAGAAGATTAAGGTGTCAAAGTTGATGAAAACAAATATCCCATAGTAAAAGCAGGAATATTTTCTTTCTAAATCAAAAACTCTAGTGCTGCTGTCACTGCAGTTGTATTCGTATGTGGGTGAGAGAGGTAGAGAGGTATTTGGGTGTCTGGTTAGACTTGAAGTGGTCTGAATGTTAGCAGGATTATTGATAAACGTGATATCTCTTCATGCACATAACAAATCACCTTGCATTTGTGTAGCATTTTATACTTCACCAAATGCTTTCACATATATTATTTCACTTAATCTTTTCAAGACTGTTGTTACTAACAAAGAAACTGAATTTCAAAGAGGGAAAGTGAATTGCCCAAATTCACACAGCATCTATATCAAAAGTAAAGTTTCTTATTTCTCACACAGCTCACTGCAGCCACACTATAGCTGCCTTTTGGTTTATAGTGTAGTGGATGAATTGCTTGCCTGTCTGTTCTAGAATGATTTATCTGACTGTGAAATAACAATATAAGTATTTTTTGGCAAATTCCAATATTCTTTGTCAAAAAACCCCTAAAAACAAAACAAAACAAAAAAACATAGAGCTGTCTTAGATTATCTAGCTCAAACTCTTCCTTTCACAGTTGAGGAAAGGAAGGCTGAAAAATTTACCCAAGGGCCTTTAGCAAGTTGGAGAACAGTCAGGAACAGGTGGACATATCTTATGTGCTAAGCCACTGAGGACTCTTTTCTGCTCTCCTGTGCTGCCTCTACCTTATCACCCAACTTGTTCTCAGCATATCTACTAAAACTCACAGAATTCACACAGAAGGCCAGATATATTGATGTGGCCTCAAACCCTCAGGGATATTAGACATATAAACAGATTTTCTAGGATAGAAGTTTTTTCTTGGAGGATCAGGGTGGTCTTCAAGCTTCAGTACAGTACCATGACTTTGATCTCTGATTTCCACTGATCTGTTAGGTGAATTGTCCCTGAGTTTATTTCCTATTTTCGTGAATGTAATTTTCTCTATAAAATTGCCTTGATAAATACATAAGTACTTGTTGTAGATATAAATATATATGATACTAAAGAGGCCAAGAAATACTGATTTGTGCTTCATTTTGTTTATTTGTACTCATAAAAATACCTAATAACTATAATGTGGGATGATTATGCATCTTATTGGGTAAAATTATTTGCGATGCTCTAGGCAGCAAGAGCAGTCTTCACTTTTATGTAGAGAAACCATTATGTTGTTGAAATTTTAGAAGATAAACAATGCGTAGGTCATTTTTCATGGTTATGAATACTTATCTACCTATTACAATGATATATTTGGTCTATGAACTTTATTGTTTATAGAGTAGAATTACTAAATCACTAAAACTCAGAAAGGCTATAAAATGATTAATAATTATACCAAGTTAAATTGACATTACCATTATATAAAAGTAAAAAAACTAACATTGGTATCGTACTTTTAGAGCTACTGTACCTTTATTTAAGGCCAACTAAACAGGTATTTGTGATAGTCATAATCCCAAGGATATGTCCATAGTTGGTTGGTTTTTAACTTTCAAATGAATAACACAATATTCAAATGAATAACACAATATTCAAATGAATAAGACAATATTATTCTTATTCAATTGTTACTAATATGGAATATTAGTTAATATATATTAGTTAATATTCTTATTCCATTTGTTAATAATGCCTTTATTAGCTAACATAATTTAATATTTCTAAAACCTAAGTTAATGAATTATTCGAATGTTTTTAATTGAGAAGGTAGAAGGAAACGAAGGAAACAACACTGTTGTTGTAATATAATTTCTCTGATTTGTTACCTGGAAATGGTTAGATTATATCACTTGCTGATGAGTAGGATCAAAGAGTGACCTGGGGCCGGGCACTCACGCCTGTAATCCCAGCACTTTGGGAGGCCGAGGCGGGCAGATCACTTGAGGTTGGGAGCTCGAGATCAGCGTGACCAACATGGTGAAACTCTGTCTCTACTAGAAAAATAATAATAATAATAATAATACAAAAATTAGCCAGGCATGGTACCATATGTCTCCAAAAAAAAAAAAAAAAAAAAAGAAAAGAAAAGAAAGAGTGACCTGGCTAAATGAATAAGAGATATCTGTGCTGACTCTTCTGTAACAGACAGTTTTCTACACATGCTGGCTCCTTATTTGTCACTTGAAGATGATTCTTGGTCACTGTCTGTCCATAAATGTTCATGAAGTTTCCTTTAGATTAAAATGTATCAACAATGCATTATTAAATTTTATTATTTAGATTTTGAACTCTTGTTTCATTACTGGCAAGTCCCCAAAGGTCAGCAAAGTGCTGAAAATGTGTCCCACTGTGTCATGTTGAATAATTTCTAAAGACTTTTTAAATGAAAGGACCAGGATTGAAAGTAGATTAAGTATCCACTTTCAACTTACTTATCAAATATTAGATCAACTATAAAGAATAGTTAACTTGCCTAATGTTTTTAGTAGCCTGAACTTGCTAAGAGCATGCTCACGTACCCCGTTCCATGATGGGATTTGTCAGACTACCTTAAGTAGTAGCTTAGATTTAATGAAACAAGAGTAAATGATTTAATCCATGGAAATTGCTGGCAACTATGTCTGACACACAGCAAGTACCCAAAAGGGTAGCCATTGTTGACATAGTAGTTTTTTTTTTCAGAGGAAGGATTATGTCTTAGGTGGGTTTCTGGATTTGCTAATATTATTTCTTTCAAGTTTAATTGGAAGCCCTCCTTGTGCATCTCAGTATAATTATCTTCAGAATTCTATCTTAATTGTTTTTGTGTTTTCCACCTGAGACTTTGGACTTCCCTTTTCTTTGCTTTCCGTCCTGACTTAGAACAGAACTCTAGACTCTTCTTACAGGTGGATGACTGCTGTGAGCAAGAATGTTCAACATGTTGCCTTCCTTATTCGAATCAGGTCATGTCGACCTACTTGAAGTCTCAGTCCAATGCCTTCTTGTATAGTAATGCTCCTTGTTTCCCCCAGATTTTTACATGGACAGGAAAGAGGGAAGTGTATATTAGGGGGTTAGGATGATTCAAATACGCATTATTTCAGCTTGAGAGTTGGTGTCATCCTCTTAATGATATTATGGAAATTCATCATGTTTGGAACATTAAATGGTACCTATAGTACATCTTTTAATTTGCCTCAATTAGAACTGACAAGGTTAATGAGAAGTTTAGTTATTTGGGGGGAAGTTACACAATGTAAAATGTATATTGACCAACATTGAAAAGAACATGTAGGTAGATGATAGTGAAAGGTAAGATATATATGGATCAAAGAGCACAGAACATATCTGAAAGAGGCAGAGAGGATAATAGATGTTTCCAGCTACTAAATACTTCTTTTTTTATAAGTTTGCATTACTTTTGCAAGAAGTTAGGCTTTATTTCCTGGCAGTCAAAGCAAAAAATAAGTGTACATGGTTTTGTAGTCTCATTTACCCACTAGAAAATTATTTCAAATTTATTTACAGAGAAGAAAACATAATCTTTGAAATTAAACTCAAGCAACTATTTATCATAGTGATTTCTGACCATAGAGAGACACAATGTACATTATTTAAAGCAAGCATTTCCAAGTACTTTTTCTGACTTCCATTATACTGAGCATAATATTAACAAATTTTTTTAAGTTGCCCCTATTAATCCATAAGTTATAGAGAGCTGTGAAGAAGAGGGTCACAGCATATAGTGTAGTAACCGTTTAATGAATCATTCAAACTGGAACTCTTGAGGGTGTGAAAGGGGCACTGTTGGCAATTATGCCATGACAGCAGGTGAAAACCAGATTGTCCTGGTAAAAACTGCAATGAATGATCACCCTAGTACAGGGTGTTACCATATTGTCCCTTTCAGATTTAAGTGTTAGGAAATTTTCAGGAGTAAATTTCTACAAAGACAAAGTTTCTGCATAAAATAAAACATGAGAAGAGAATAGACAATCAAAATAGCAAGACATTCTCTAAGTTCTGCTGATGATTCAATGGAGATTAACATTTCTTTTTTTTTAGACATGAACTTAAAGTTCTGTAGACCACATTTGTGAAGAACGTAAACATGGTATCACGAAAGTTCTCAGTATATTTCTTTTTCTTTCTTTCTTTCTTTCTTTTTTTTAATGAGAGGGAATCTGGCTCTGTCACCTAGGCTGGGTGGAGTGCAGTTGTGTGATTGTGGCTCACTACAACCTCCACCTCTCGGGTTCAAGCCATCTCCTGCCTCAGCCTCCCAAGTAGCTGGGATTACAGGTGCGTGCCACTACACCCAGCTAATTTTTGTATTTTTACTAGAGATGAGGTTTCACCATGTTGGCCAGGCTGATCTCGAATTCCTGACCCCAAGTGATCTGCCTGCCTCGGCCTCCCAAAGTGCTGGGGTTACAGGCATGAGCCACTGTGCCTGGCCCTCAGTACATTTCTAAAAAGAATTTTTTCTCTGACAATATTATGATAGATTCAAATATACAAAAATAAATCCAAACTATTAAAATTAGGCATAAATTGGAATTAGTCTGAATGAATAAGAACCTAAACAGTTCGGAATTAAAAAAAAACCCTAGCTTCAAAAAAAAAAAAAAAAAAGAATGGGCAGCATTTTATTTTGTTTTTCAACAAGAGGTATGCAAGGCTGATTTCTTGCAAAAATATCATCGATCTGAATATGAAGAGAAGAAGACTTGCAGGTAAGGATAAATATGCTGAAATTTAGTACCCCATGTTATGTTTAGTTACATGTTATGAGAGTGGCTTAGTATCTTGGCAACATATGATACGTATAACATTCTTTTTATGAGAGCTTTTAAAATTACTCACATATGCTTGCCTAGATTGTCTGGTTCCTTATGGTTTCCATTGTGCTATATAAACAAAGTTAAGGATGTGCATTCCTAGTAAGAGCCTGCTAAGAGCCTAGGAAAATGGGAAGAAATCTTTTAATGATAGTGTGTATTTTCATTTTTCTGTAGCCTTATAAAGAACCAGGAAATACCATGTCTAGCATGAGCAGTTTGGATAAGCCTTTTAAAAAAAGGAATGTTATATTATAAACAAGCTACATTGTTCCTTAACTGATGTGTATCCCCAAAGTCAGCATGATTCTCTGTTATCTTAACAGGTTTGGGTCTAGAACTGGGGAACTTGACAGAGCTTCTTCATTATAATGGGAATCTGAGTGAGTTTCTAAGCCCACTCAGATAGGGTCTCTGGAGAATTGGAAGTGTCCCTTTTATTGAGGAGTAGAGAGTGCTCGCCTAGTGTTGAGCTCATTTTCAAAGGTTCTCTGAGACCAGAGGTTTAGAAATGAAAGGCTGCTGTATCTGCTTTGATGTGTCAGAACAACATTAGAGACATTTCCAGTAGTTGGATGGAAATGTCAGCTGATAATATGAAAAGGTAGAGTGCACAGGGCACATCTCAGGAAGTTTGATAAAAATGGCATTCAGGAGATAGCTCGTAATTGGGTCCTATAAGTGATGTAATGAAGTCTATGGCCCCTGAAGGAATGCAGGCAAGAGTCTGTGAAATGCACAAGCAAGATTCAGAGTGAGCCGTCTATGGTCTATTTTGGGCCACACTTAGAGCCACATTGGTCTCACTGAGTTGTCTCTACTGCCTGATTCTGAGCCTCTTACTAATGGAAAGGAATTTAATATTTCTCTCCGGCCATCCATAGACCATTCATTGCCCACCCATAGTGATGAGTAGATTGTGCCTCCATAACCAGCAGGCTGACTCTGGTGTTTTAAGAACATATCTAGGACAGATGATGTTTAGGATGCTTATGTGGTTTGATTGGCAAGCTGTATTTATACCAATATATAAAAACAGAATATTTCCATGAAGATATGGATTTCTAATTTCTCCAAATAATGGAAAATTCCTCTAATAACAGATCCTGGTAATGCGGTACATTGCATCCTGGTAACAGTCAGGTGGAGCTGAGTATCATGGGCCCTTTGTAAAGGGGTGCAAGTGTTTTCCGGTTGGCCACAGGCCTTTTGCCAGTGCTGAATTGTGTTGCCTATTGCAATTACAACCAGCCTGCTTCTCCCATTGTTATCGCCTACATAGCCTTTCTAAACATTTACTTTTGTAATCCTGATCTGGACTAATGGAAAGTCACTTGTTTAATCAAAGATTCAAAGGCTTTCAAAGTAGAGCTTGGTTTGAATCCTCCTATGCTATCTATTAAATATATAACTTTGAACAAATTACTTAACTTTTCTGAGTCTCAGTTTACTTATTGATGAAATGAGAGTAGTACTACCTTCTTTGCAAAGTTGTTTTAAGGATTCAGGAAAATATATAGTATGGTCCCTGGCACAAAGCAGTACTAAATAAATGCTAGTTATTATTGTTGTTCTTATTTGGTTCTTTCCAAATGCTGTTCAATAGAATAAAGGACTTCATTTAGTCTTTTCTTTGTTACATTCAGTAAGTTCTTGACTTTGAAATAAAGGAACTATGCACTAGATGTGGTCACGTGTGCATTCCACCTGAACTGTTATATTTTGCATCTTCTCACAATTACATTGTACTTTGTTGGTTGCTTTCTTTTTATTTTCCTCAGATAGTGTAGATTCTTTTAATTCTTCTGGACCCTGAGTATATTTTTTATATTTAACTGGAAAAATAGAATAATATTGTAATATAGTTTGTTTGTGGTTTATATGGTTTTTCTGTTTTTTCTTTTTCTTTTTCTTTTTTTTTTTTTTTTGAGACAGGATCTCGCTCTGTCGCCCAGGCTGAAGTGTAGTGGTGTGATCTTGGCTCACTGCAACCTCTGCCTCCCAGGTTCAAGCAATTCTCCCACCTCAGCCTCCCGAGCAGCTGGGATTATAGGCATGCCCCACCAAGCCCGGCTAATTTTGTATTTTTAGTAGAGACGTGGTTTCACCATGTTGGCCAGGCTCGTCTTGAACTCCTGACCTCAAGTGATCCTCCTGCCTCAGCCTCCCAAAGTGCTGGGATTACAGGCATGAGCTACCATGGCCTGGCCTAGTTTTTCTGTTTCTTATGTAATTAAAAAATGTTTTTTCTATTAACCTTTATATCTTTCTGCCCTATGTACTTAAAGTTATCAAACAAATGTAACAAAAATCAATATAATAAAAATATAGTAAAGTAATAGAATACAGAGAAACTTATATGAAGAGACTCCCTCAGATGAGATAGAGCCTTGAGATGACAGTTTCCTTCTGCATTTTTCCACATCTGAGGCAATAGGGAACTTTACTGGGAGAGGGAATACCTACCACATTCCAGAAACCAGGATGCATAGTTCTGCATTTGTACAGATATGTTCCCTCTCTGTTTTCTCTCTCAACAGTAAATGTTATTATATAAGATGGAGCTTGCAGTGGAGGGGAAAGAGCAATGAGGCCCTTAGTTTTATCCCATTTGAGAATTTCTTTTCTATTTAGTTAGGAGAGCAGAACTAAACTGTGAAAATCAGTAGTTTATGGAAGTAAGAATCCTTCCCCCCAACCCCCACCCCCCAACCTCTGCCATTTTCTCTGTTTCTATAATAACTTGATAGCCAGGACAAGCTCATTCTGAGAAAGTTTGGTGTTTTCATGGCACTCTGTGTAGCATGTGTGTGTGTGTGTGAGAGAGAGAGAGAGAGAGAGAAAGGGTGACAAGATGACATGTGGATGGCCACACAAGGAGAGACGAGGACTGAAAAGAGAAATGGCAGTCAATGCTGTCATTTTTGCTAATATTTCCCTGACCCTCCCCACCATTTCAACAAGCAGCTTTGCTGTCACACCCATCTCTTTTATAAGCATGCTCTTTCCCCTGACTTGGTAAAACTGCTTTCATTTAAAGAGCTCTGCTCTGCTTCTCCTTGGGGGGTAGTACCTCTTGAACAGCCTTTCTGTACATCTAAAGTTGTCAAAAAGATCCTTTCCATTTTTGCTCTTAGTAGAGGTTTCTTTTTTTTCTTGCTTTCTTTTTTTTTTTTTCCTGCCCTGAGCAAAACCTGGTGACGGTCTTTCCATTCCATCTGGAATTATGGGGCAATGGACCTAGATATTTCTCCTAGTGCCTTCAACCCCTAAATAAAACAGAACTAGAATTAATAATCTGAAGGGAGAGGAGGCTACCTTATGGAAATGCAGGTCAAATGGGAGGAGCAGAGTACCTGGAGAAGTTCACAGTGAGACTGGAATTTAGCTTTCTACCTGGGTAGACAGAAGCAGAGAAAAGTAAAACAGGTAAGTGAAAGATTTTGTCTGGACTCACGTAAAGTTCCCAGAAATAAGTACTAACAATGCTATTTTCCTCATTTGTTAGGAAACTTTTGGAAATGATACTTTAAGGGAAGGAGGAGGACGTGAGAGTTATCTGGCTGCCGCTCCACTGAGTGCCAGGGTTGATTCAGCTGATCTGGCTGGCTAGGCGGGTGTCCCCTTCCTCTCTCACTGCTCCATGTGCATCTCTCCTGAAGCTGTGTGCTTGGTTGAAGAGGACGACCTTGTCCCCAGTCCAGGGTATATGAGTAGCTGCGTTCCCCTGCTGGAACCTCCAAATAAGCTCTCAAGGGCAGGAGGAGATCTTATTTACATTATTGTCTCTTCTCATTGTATTTGTTCCATTTCTACCTTTTTTACACCATAGGCTTTTTACAGATTATGAATCTTTTATAATTATTTTTCGAAATAGTTTCATGGTTGTATTAGATTGTTAGATGTATATTAAATCTTTATTGAGTCCTTATGATGCAATTAATCTGTGACTCTTGTTTGCATTCTGCATCAAGGACCTTTATTTCATAAACAATTGCATGCCAAGTATACTTTATCAACATGATCATTAAAGGAGGGCTAAATATGCTCAGCAAGATAAACTTGACAGCACAAGTATTTTTTTACTTAAAACAGCTTATAGGCCTTTTATTCTGAGATTCACTGACAAAAAACATTTTGATCTGATAAAAATATTTCTGGCAAAGAAATAACCCTTTGAAATATATTGCAATGTTTTGCTGTAGACTATTTAGAAGAGGCTCTGTATTAATGAAAAACAATACGAAAAGATAGAAAATATAAAAATACACTCAGCATTTCTATTTTTTTTAAAAAAATAAGCAAATGTATTATAAACACCTTTAAACATCTCCACAAGAAGAGGAAAAATCTTCCAAAGTACAATGTCTGAATCCTGTATATGCACAGATTAGAAATGTTTATTTTACTTATCTTGAGATTGTAGAGAGCAGATACCAGCTTTTCTGAAATGACAAATAGTTTTCATTTCTTTAAAACTGATATTCAGGCAGATACATTTAAAATACACCTGAGTATAGGTCATCTAATTTCTGCAGAAAGGTCTTCAAAAACTCTTTGGTAGAGCAGAATGGTTGAGCTGAAGCAGTCCCAGTATCTGCAGAATAGGACTTATAAAAAAGTTATCACAGTAAATATTTCAGAAAAAAAGTAATCCTAGTAAGTATATTTTAGCTTATAGTGTGCTTTTCTGTATTTTAATAGAGCTTTTGGATTAAGCCTTTTCTTTATCATATCTGTTCCTTAGAACAGTTTTTCTCTTTCTTATAAAAATATTGCCTATGCTTATTCTTATATTCCTTAATCTCCTGAAGCTGTAACTTAAAAACAAGCAAACAAATGTTTAAATGAAATCTGTTCATTCACTTAAAGAAAAATGATTGGTAATGTTTTCAATTAACTCTAGAAAACCTGTACATAATTACATTGAATGATCTGAGGCTTGTATTTACCAAAAAAACAATCTTAAGTAATCTGATTAATTTATAAAGTTGGATTTCTGCTAACTCAGTAAGAATTCATTGGCCTCATCATTTTTTGATGCACCAAAAATGGAATGGCTCTATTGAGAGGTACAGAGTTCACAGTCTGTAAAGGCATAGGTATTTATGCAGAGAAAAGATGACTGCTTGATGACAGTTACTATTTTGATCATTTAATATGTATAAGTTACGGTGAAAGGCACATGGGTATACAAAGAGAAAAATGCCAGATGTCTTCCCTCAAGGAGTTTATCACCCGAGACAGAGAGACATATGTGAACAAAATCTTACACGTGCATTGTAGTGTTGTAGTAGAGCTATATGTAAGTATATACAAGATACAGTGGCAACAAAAACTTAGCTGAAGGAGATAGGGTTTGGGGAAACTCATTTGACTCTTAGCAGAAAAAGGAGGAATTTTCCAGACGGATGAGGTGCTAAGGAGGGCATTCTAATTAAGATAGCAATGTAAACACAGCATGGGGTATTCTGGGAATTGTAAAGATCTTGCTAGGCCTTATCAAAGGATGTAGAGAGGTAGCGGTGAGAGAGAAACACATGATGAGAGATGAAAGCCTGGGAGGTAGGCAGGAGCCAGATAAGGCAGGGCCTTGTAGGCTGCTATAAGGATTTTGAATTTTATCTTATAGGTAGAGAGGAAGGAACCATCGTATACAAGGATCAGATTTTTGTTATGAAATGATGGCCACAATAGTAGGAGAAGAGTTGTAGAAGGGTGAGGTTGGAGGCAGTTTGGAGTAATTTTCACAGCCAGATCAGAGATGATAGAGGCATAAACTGGAGGATTTGTAGGGCATGGGAATACATAGAATTTAGGAGGTAGTAAAATCAGGTCTTAAGGTGGCCACTTCCTCTGTGATTCAACAGTTGTTCAAAGTTTTTTATTATTTGTATTTTTATCAATTTAGGGTACAATTACAGTTTTGTTACATGGATATATTCTCTAGTGGTGACGTCTGGGTTTTTAGGGGAACTATCCCCTATATAGTGTATATTGTACCCTAATTTCTCATCTCCCATCCCCCTCCTACTCTCTCACCTTTCTGAGTCTCCAGTGTCTATTATTCCACACTCTATGTTCATGGGTACACATTATTTAGCTCCCAGTTACAAGTGGAATGTGCAGTATTTGGCTTTCTGTTTCTGAGTATTTTACTTAAGATAATCATCTACAGTTCCATCCATGTTGTTAAAAAAGATGTGACTTCGTTATTTTTCATGGCTGAGTAGGATTCCATGGTATGGGTGTGTGTGTATATATATATATCTACACATATACATACACATTTTCTTTATCCAGTCATCCACTGATGGACACTTAGATTGATCCCATAGCTTGGCTATTAGGAAGAGTACTACAATCAACATATGAGTGCAAGTATATTTTTGGTATAATGATTGCTTTTTCTTTGTGTGGACACCCAGTAGTGGAATTGCTGGATTGAATGGTAGCTCTATTTTTAGTTCTTTGAGAAATCTCCATACTGTTGTCCATAGATGTTGTACTAATTTACATTTCCATCAGTGTTGTATGTGTTTCCTTTTCTCTGCATCCTTGCCAACATCTTTTGTTTTTTGACTTTGTAATCATAACCTTTCTGACTGGTACGAGATGGTATTTCTTGGTTTTCATTGCATTTCTGTAAGGATTAGTGATGTTGGGCATTTTTTCATATGATTTTTTACCATTTGTATGTCTTCCTTGAAAAGTGTCTGTTCATATACTTTGCCCACTTATTAATGGGATTATTTGTTGGTTTTTCTTGTTGAGTTGTTTCAGTTCTTTGGAGATTCTGGATATTAGTCCTTTGTCAGATGCATATTTTCACCCATTCTGTAAGTCATTTGTGCACTCTGTTTATTATTTCTTTTGCTGTGCAGAAGCTTTAGTTTAATTAAGTCCCATTTGTCTATTTTTGGTTTTGTTGCATTTGCTTTAGAAGTCTTAATAATGAATTCTTTTCCTAGGACAATGTCCCAAAGAGATTTTCCTAAGTTTTCTTCTAGGACTTTAATAGTTTTAGGTCATACATTTAAATCTAATCCATCTTGAGTTAATTTCTGTATATGGTGAGATAGAGGTCCACTTTCATTCTTCTGCATATAACTATTTAATATTCCCAGCACCATTTATTCAGTAGGGTGTCCTTTCCCTAGTGTATATTTTTATCAACTTTGTCAAAGATCAGTTAGCTGTAGGTATATGGCTTTATTTCTGGGTTCCCTTTTCTACTCCATTGAGCTATGTGTCTACTTTTATACCAGGACCATGCTGTTTTGGTTACTACACCCTGTAGTATAATTTGAAGTCAGGTAATATGATACCTCCAGCTTTGTTCTTTTTCTTAGGATTGCTTTGGCTATTTGGGCTCTTTTTTGGTTTCATATGAATTTTAGGATTTTTTTTTTATTCTGTGAAAAATGAAGTTGGTATTTTGGTAGGAATCACGTTGAATTTTACATTGCTTTGGGCAGTATGGTCATTCTAAATATATTTATTATTCTAATTCATGAGCATGGGATGTTTTCCCATTTGTTTGTATTATCTATATGTCTTTCCTCAGTGTTTTGTAGTTTTCCTTGTAGAGATCTTTCACCTCATTGGATAAGTGTATTCCTTGATTTTTTATTTTGTAGCTATTGTAAATGGGATTGACTTCTTGATTTGGTTCTCAGCTTGATTGTTATAGGTATACAGAAATGGAACTCATTTTTGTACATTGATTTCATATCTTGAAACTTTACTGAATTCATTTATCAGATATAGAAGTTTTTTGGAGGAGTCTTGAGGGTTTTCTAGGTATAAGCTTATATCATCAGCAGAGATAATTTTACTTATTTTCCAATTTGGATGCCTTTTATTTCTTTCTGCTGCCTGATTGCTCTGGCTAGAACTTCTAGTACTCTGTTGAATAGGAGTGGTGAGTGTGGGATCCTTGCTTTATTCCAATTCTTATGGGGAATGCTTCCAGCTTTTCTCCATTCAGTATGATGTTGGTGGTGGGTTTGCATATATTGTTTTTATTATTTTGAATTATGTTTCTTTTATGCCTAGTTTGTTGAGGGTTTTTTAATCATGAAAAGAAGCTAAATTTTATCAAATGCTTTTTTTGCATCTATTGAGATGATTGTATGGTTTTTGTTTTTCATTCTGTTTATGTGATGAATCATATTTACTGATTTGCATATGTTGAACCATCTTCGCATCCCTGGAATAAAATTTAGTTGATCATGATGTATTAGCTTTTTGATGTGCTGTTCATTTAGGTTTGCTAGCATTTTGTTGAGGATTTGTGCAGCTATGTTCTTCAGTGATATTACTCTGTAGTTTTTTACTTTTTAGTGTGTTCTTACCTGGCTCTGGTATTAGGGTGACATTGGCTTCTAGAATGAGTTAGAAAGGATTCTATCCTCCTCAATTTGGGGGAACGATTTTGGTAGGAATGGTACCAGTTCTTCGTATGTCTGGGAGAATTTGGCTGTGAATCCAACTGGTTCTGGGCTTTTTTTTTCTTGGGAGATTTTTTATTACTGATTCAGTCTCACTACTCATTGTTGGTTTGCTCGAGATTTCTATTTCTTCCTGGTTCAATCTTGGGAGGTTGTATTTTTCCAGGAATTTATACATTTCTTCTAGGTTTTCTGGTTTGTGAGCATACAGATGCGCATACTATTGAACTCCATGGCCTGATCGGGCAGGAATGTGATCCATTTCCCTGTCATGCCCTCATCGTGGTGCTTGGGACACTCACATTGGTCAGACAATATCTCCAGGCTGCAGTGTAGCTGAGAGCTGTAAAAGACACAGTTGCCTCACTTTGTCAAAATTTCCCCTGTGCAGAACCTCCTCCCTCAGCCTAAAACACACAGCTTTTCAGCTTTTCTGCTCTCCACTGCAAGAACACTGATGCTCCATGTGGAGGATGGGGGTCTCACTTTTCATGACAGCCCAGCCTGGTGGGCACACCACCAGTGGGGCTGCAGCTGCCCCTTAAAGCGCTAGAAAAGCCATCCTCCAGCATACCTGTGCCAATTTCCTGTGGTAGCCACTATGGTTGTGTCTATAGCTGTCAGGGGCCCAGCACAGAAGCCACTTGGCTTCTGTGATAGAACTATATTCCTCCCTTGCAGAGCTGAGTACAGTGCCTTTGTCTCAGCTGGAAGAGATGCAGCCACTCAGAGCCCATAGGCAGGGAGTTTTCAGGCTAGGAAAGCACGTGTTCTGGTTTCCTTTCTCCCAACAGGAGCTCTCTTGGTATGCTGCACTCTCCCTTCCCTTAGGAACATCACTCCCCAAGAGCTGGACCACTCAGAACCCTCAGGTCCCCTGGGTCCAGCCAGCCCTGTACAGCTTCCATAGCCTGAGCAGGCACTGATGAATGTCTGCAGGGGATCTGGCGATTTGGAGACAAAAGGGCTGAGCAGGACAGAGGACTTTGATGGCTGTGCCTCAGTAGGGTGCCCTGCCACTGCCACTCGGGTCCAGGGGTTGGTGAGTGATCTGGCAGGAGTTGGTGATCTGGTGTACTGCCCTCAAGAAGTCCTCAAATCGACCAGTTAATGGGTGCAGCACACCAACATGGCACATGTATACATATGTAACTAACCTGCACGTTGTGCACATGTACCGTAAAACTTAAAGTATAATAATAATAAAAAAAAAAGTCCTCAAATCACAGCTTACACCAGTGTTTGGGTTCTGACAGTTCAGATACTGGTGGTCTGCTGTAGGGGTGAGGGGAGCCGAAACACTCCCACTCACCCTTCCAATGAAGTAACAAGTCCCTCTGGATTTCTAGCCCGTCTCTACCAGCCTCTTGTTTCCTTCTTTTGCTGTGCCCCAGCTTCTTCCCTGAGGTCTTCACTAGGTTCCAGCACTCACCCCTTGATAGGCTATTCAACTTATGATTATTCACTGTAACTTTCGTTCTTCTTTCTGAGGAGAATTGGCATCTGACATCTCTAGTCAGCCATCTTGAATCCCATGAAACTCAAGGTTTTAGAAGAAACAGAATACCTCAATGTCATCCTTGCTTCATCTTTTTCCCTCCCAGCCCTCGTCTGATTCATCAGTGAGTCTTTTCTGTTCTACCTCAAAAATTATCTTTACACCATCTCCACTTCTACCACCCTACTCCAAGATAACACTATCTTTTGTCTAAACTATGGAACAGCTCCTGACTGTCCTTTCTTCTGCTCTAGTTCCTCAATCATTCATTCTTTGTGCAGCAGCTGGAGTGATCTTTCTGAAAAGTAAATCAGACCATATCACTCCCCTCCTTATATTACCAACTTCACATCACACTTTGAATTAAATATCAGTGCCATTCCCTGGCCTATAAAGCAGTCTTTGCTTACCTCTGTGACCTCATCTTTAAATTGCTCTATACCTCAGCCTCATTGTATGTATCTCATTTCTTTTGTCTGGGATAGTTTTCCTCTAGACTTTTTCATATTTTTACTTCTTCTTATCAATCAGGTCCAAGTCAGTATCTACAGTTATTTGTTTGCGTGTATGTAAATTTACATGTGTAAACATATATTGTCTTTCCTCACTGTTGTGTAAAATCTTTTAGAGCAATGATCTCGAATATCTTGTCCCTGCTGTATCCCTGTACCTAGCACAGTGCAAATAGTGCATAAAACAATATGAATAAGTACTTTTTAGAATGAATGAATAAATAGAAGGGAAGAAAAGAACTCTGTTTTGGTTCCTTTAGCTCTCTTTTTCTGAGAACAATTTAGGGATATCCCTTTGTATTCCTTGTCTGGTTTACCTTTGTCTTAATAGTCTAAAGTCTTCCCATATAGCTAGGTGTCCATTGGGTGCAGGTGGCTTTCATTTGCATATGTAAAATGGGCAGTGCTCCCACCTTTCTGTGTTTAGAATGTTTGTCTGGAGTGAGGCAAGTCAAAAATCTGCTCTAAGCCTTACCAGGTGAGATTGGGGAGCAGAAGGAAGAGGAAAAAAGAAGATTGTTTGTCTTTAGGAACATGTGGCATAAGTCTACAACCACTGCAGTTCCCTGGACCATTTATTTTTCTGGTGTGGTTATATTATTTGTGATTTATTTTTAAACACTTCCATATAAACATGTGATAAATATATACTGTGTAAATTAATAGCACACTCTCAGGTGTTTTGTTAACATTTGAAGTGCCCACTCAAAGATCCACCCTCCAGAGATTTCTAGGAAAATGATTTCAATATCACTAATTAGCAGCAGAGAAGTAATTTTTCACTGGTGAAATCAGTAGTGTCAAGACATTCAGCTGGTTAGAAAGATTGCACAGTATGTCCTTTCATGATGAGTGCAAGGACTCTGAGTTTCTGTCCTTCCTTGAGCAACACATCCAGCAAACCCACAGCCCAACACAGCACCCCAGGTGAAGACCTCAGCTTTGCCCTATTCCTACCGCCTACTCACCCCTTAGTTCAGGCACTGGGCACAGGATTCAGTGAGAAGGAAGGCTGATTTTGCCATCAGAATATTTTTTACTGGCTTCCAAGTGAACCTTTCACACAAAGTGCTAATCAGGGTGTCCAAAAAGGCAGAGGGCCAGAACCTTACCACACTTAAGGGAACAGGATATATGTTTTTGAAACTTCCACCTAAGAAATGTTTGTACCTATGGGTAGAATTTTCTCTGAGAATTATTTTCCCTACAGTATACTATTAATCATGAGGTTGTGGGGTGAGCAGGCAGATAACTCCACCTATGTATTGCCAAAGGCTGTCTACATTTATGAAAGAATCTGCTCATTGTACTTGGAAAACTGACTTGGGTTAGTTCGCAGAAAGTTCTCAGCTCTCTCACATCATCCAGAGACTGGCAGGCTAAGGCTGGTCAGCTTTCAGTGAGGACCCACTGGGCAGGGCAGTTACCAATCAAGAGAGAGCCCAGGGAGAGCTGGGCACATGGTGATGATTGCCTTGGTTGGTCAATAATAAACTGAACAATCTGAAAACCTTGCTTGGGAAAACTAGGGGAGGCTAGTTCAAAACAAGCAAAGTGTGCTTTGTTATATATTGAAATCCTCAGGGTGGCATGGCCTTTATTAAGAGAAATCTGAGAGTAGGGCTTTAGTGATATATACCCCAAACCTAAAGAGACTCATGTGTCAATTTATATTTATTAGCATCAACAACTTGCTTGTGCCGATCTATATTTTCGAATTTGGCTTCGTTTCTATGTTTATCTCTAGTTTTCCTGAGTCAGCCTTTTCTCATTGCAGCAATTTAAAAAGTTATCTTTTCAAGAAAGCAGTCTTCTTCCATTAATGGCTTAACTTGTTTTTTTCATAGTGGATCCTGAAAAAGTACACCTTTCAGTAGTCTCAGACTCTGAAAAGAAAGAATTCTATCTACAGACCAGCAACTTAGCAAATTAATGTTTTGGTTCATTAAAGCAAATCGCAGTTAAAACACAAGAAGTTATATGACTTCTAAAGTTTATGTAAGCCTTACGAACCTTTTTCAAGAGAGTCAATTAAGCAGAGTAGTCATGAATGTGGGTTCCTGGGCCAGATTGCCTGGGAGTGAATCCTGGCTCTGGTTTTGGCTAACTGAATGATATTGGGAAATTCATTCAGCTGTGCGGCAATTGCCCTCCCTGTAAAAGTGCAATAGTAGCAGTAACTACTTCATAGAGTAATTTTAAATTAAATTCTTCATGGCATGAGAAGTGCTTAGAATAGCAGGTGAAACTTATGTTTTTAAAATTTTACTATTGCCAATGTTTTCATGGTCATTCTTAATCATACCTTCAGTAGATAGGATGCTTGTTGAGATGGACAGCGTGCCTGGATTCTCCCTGCAACTTAACTATCAACCAGCTGTATGACCTGGAAAAAAAATGACTTGACCTTCCTGGGCTTCAGTCCTCTTATTTATCAAAAGAGGGATTGGCCTAGATAATATCTAAATGTCCCAATAATACTAAAATGCGATGATCCTATTATATCATTCGCCAATTGTGAGTTTAGAGAAAATACTTTAAAAGGGAATATCAAAAAGACCTAATAAAAATAAATGAAAAGGAGAGATTGTGTTTAAATTTCTCTTGACTTGGAATCAGGACAACTGGATCGAGGCCTGGCTGCTTACTATCCTTCTTAACCCACCCCACCTTTCACTCTTGTTTTTCTTTTTGGCTCAGTATGGCTCTTGGTGAGCATGTTGGCAGAAAGCTGAAAAAGGAAAAAAAAAGCTTTGATTGAAAACAAGCAGTTTACAGATGGGTTGGATGTGTGCATGGGGTAGGGGTGCATGTAGTCACCATCTCGTCTCAAGAAACCTGAGAGACATTCCATGTTGAGAGAAGTCACATGAAGTGAAGCCAGTGGTCACATCTAAAAGGAGACCAACTCCTGCACGTTATAAGATTTGAACTCAGAAAGTTGTTATTTATATTCTTGTTTATTTCAAAATATGCAACACGTGCTAGATAAGCAGGTAGACTTATCCAGTGAATGCTGGATAAGCAGGTAGACTTATCACTTATCCAGTGAATGCTGAAGAGCTCTCTCTCCTTGCCACCCTATGGATCGGATTGCCCCCTTCAGCCTGAGTTCTTCCCTTCACCCGTTTTGAATCTGGCTCTTGCTCAGTGGGCAGTATGATCTAAAAGTAAGCCTCTCTGTCTCCCAACAAGGTAACTCTATTTCTGTTTGTAAAAAAATTTTTTATAAAATATAGAAAATTTGGTCTTCAGTCTTTATCATATATGGAAAACCTTCCCTTTTCTGAAGAGTGATTCCATTAGCTAAAATATTAAGTGATCGAATACTAAAACAACCAACTTGACTAACACCTTTTAGACTATTCACTCACCCCTGCCTCTCATAAGGGAGTTTGAAAATTTAGGGAGTTCCCCTTCAGCAAAGAGGCTATTGTCCAAATAGTGCATCATATGCACAGCTCCATGCAGGATGCTTATTAAGACACCCTTATTCATCCTGAGCTGACCCAAATGCAAGCAAGGCTCTCTGAGCTTCTTTCTCAAGGGCATAGTGAGAACATTCCCTACCACCCAGCTGTGTAGTGCAGTTTAATGAGGAAATGGATGTGAACCTGACTTTTAGACTAGAAAACATACTTCCAATTAGGTGATTATTTTAAGCTTCTAGCTAAAGATGGCTTAATGATCAATTCTGTCTTGTAGTTGGAAACATGAACTGTTTCCAACTCCCAAGAGCTTCCAGTTTTTCCATCCTTTCCATCATTTCTATGACTCTGTATGCATGTTCTTCATACATGAGATGTGATCATTAACAAAATTCATTCTGGTACCCTTTCTGTATATGAATTATAATCTACACTTTTATTATCATCCTTTCATGTTCCATAATTCCAGTATTTCCTAGCTTTCCTTCCATGGCATTCTGCTTGTACAAGTGGAAAAATCAGGTAAATTACAGAAATCAACTAGTCTCTTTATATAAAACAGAAAGTCATGAAATATAAATTAAAAATATACAATGCTTTTGTCATAAAACTACAAAGTATTCAATAACAGCAAGACAGAAAACAGGGAGGTTGCTTCTTCCCTATTGAGAGCACAGAGGAAGCCCCTCTCATGGTGTTGAGTTGTCTGTCTCCATCATGGTCACAGCCCTCTTGCTAAAACCAGAAAGATGCCTCTAGGTGGTGATTTTAAAACATTAAAGATTTTAAGAGTTGCCAACTGCAAAGAGTTGGCATTCTAAGCAAACTGTAAAGAATCCTGTAGGCCTGGAATTGAGACCTGAGCTAACTTGTTGCTGGTAGTCTCACCATGCTTGAATCCTCACGAATGCCCCCCCAGGGCAGCATGCCACCAGAGGCCCCCATCTTCTGCTTTGCTCCGTAGGTTATATGACCTTGCCTTCCAGTCCCAGGAAGCCTGCTGTCCTCCTGATGACAAAAGGTTCAAGTGCCCTCAGGGATATAAGCATAGAAGGTAAATTTTACCTATTGCCTGAAAACCTAACTCAGCATATGAGTCCTTTTTGTGTCTACCATTTAATTTTTTTGTTATGTTATATGAAAAACAAAACAGGACAAAGTGACTTTTAAATAGAGATTGCAGAGGGCTTGATTGGGATAAAGCACTTTCTGAGGCATCATCTCCTTTAACTCTTACACATCTTGGTGAGGAGGTAGTATTTTTACAATGAGCAAATTGAGATTCAGGGTAAGTAACTTTTCTATATCCCCAAACTAGCCAATCATTTGTAGATATATTCAGAAAACTGACCTCTTCTTCACTAACTCTAAAAATTGTCATATGTAGAAAATCCTGTTATAAAATTAACCAATTTTATACATGTTGTATTAGGGTTCTCCAGGGAAACAGAACCATCAAGAGGAGGTGTGTGTGTGTGTGTGTGTGTGTGTGTGTGTGTGTGTGTGCATAAAGAGATTTATTATGAGAAATTGACTCATGTGATTATGGAGCTTGAGAAGTCCCAAAAGCTGCAGTCAGCAAGCTGGAGGCCCAGGAAAACTGATAGTGTAAGTTCCTATCTGAAAGGTGACAGATTCAAGACCCAGGAAGAGCCAGTGTTTCAGTCAGAATCAAAAAGCCAAGAAAGACCAGTGTCCTAGCTCAACAGTCAGGCAGGAGGAGTTCCCTCTTACTCAGCCTTTGTATTCTTTGGTCTTTGATTGTTGGATGAGGCCCACCCACATAAGGAAAGTTAATCTACTTTGCTCCATCCGTGGCTTCAAATGCTAATCTTATCCCAAGTCACCCGCACAGACACAACCAGAATAATGTTTGGCTGAATGTCTGGGCACCCCATGACCCAGTCATATTGACATGTAAAATTAACCATCACATGTGTTATATAGTTCTTAGGCAGGGAACACTGGTGTTTGTTGACTACTCACCCTGTGCTCTTTGCCAGGCACTGGAAAAGATTTAATCAAAGCAAACATTATTGTATTTGCTTTGGAGAGATTGGAGAAGACAGGGCTGATCTCACCATCAATAGCCTCTAGAGTATCACTGTCCATTAGAGATAGAGGGCAGTTTACATACACAAGCCACATGCATAATGTTAGTAGCCACATTTAAAAATGTATTTTTAATACATTTTTAATAAATTCTATTTTTATTTTTTAATAAATTTTAAGTTTATTTAACCTAGTATGCCAAAATAGCATTACAACATGTAACCAACATGAAAATTATTAATGAGATACTTTACATTCTATTTTGTTTTTACCAAGTCTTTGATCAGTGTGTATTTTTTAGCTACAACACATTTCAGTTCAGTCCAGCCACATTTCAGGTGCTCAGCAGCCTCTGACTAATGCCTGCTGTAGTGGACAGGGAAGCCACAAGTGTCTGTTGTAGAATGCTCTATCTTATGTATCTTATTCTGGTGTGGGTTTTAGACCCAAGTTACTGAGGGTTTGGGAGAAAGAGCAACTGTTTGGAGGATTTGATATAACACCAGGAAAGTCTGAGTGGTATTAGACTTTGTCAGGACAAGCTGCTTGGGAAAATCAGACCTAGATGCTGGGTAGTTACTCTCCATCTAGAGATTGCCAGGACTGCATTGTTAGAAGGTTATCTGTTACCTCTGGACCAGAATAGGCTGGTTCTTGGGCAGCCCTGCTCCTAGCTACTACTTCCTGCTCTGCATTACTCACTGCCACTTCTCTCCCAAGCCACAGTTACTGTTCCCTGCTACAAGAAATCCTGGGACTGGGAGTGGGGAGGCTGGTCTACAAAAGATTGAGCCAAAGCACACTTTATAGAAGTTTCTTCGTTGCACACCATTTGAGGGGAACATACTCTAGCATCACAAGGTTTAGCTAATGTCCCCATCAAAAGTACATAATATTATGTATTCTGCTCACAGTTCCCACCAGCATCTCCTTGTAAAGTTTTGCAGTTTTTCCTAAGATGTCTTATATATGCCCACACTGTATTCATAAGATGATGTGAGAAGTCCATTTTCTAACAACCCTCTCTTAGTCCCATCTGGATTACTGATATTAAGATGCTTCACGAACACCCCTTCCCTCCTTTTTTTTTTTTTTTTTTTTTTGAGACGAAGTCTCCCTCTCTCTCCAGGCTAGAGTGCAGTGGCACAATCTCAGCTCACTGCAACCTCCGCCTCCCAGGTTCAAGCGATTCTCCTGCCTCAGCCTCCTGAGTAGCTGGGACTAAAGGCGTATGCCACAATGCCCAGCTAATTTTTGTGTTTGTAGTGAGACGGGGTTTCACCATATTGGCCAGGATGGTCTCGATCTCTTGACCTCGTGATCCACCCACCCCTCGGCCTCCCAAAGTGTTGGGATTACAGGCGTGAGCCACTGCGCCCGGCCCCACCTCTTTCTTAATGAAGCTTTCCTAGGCAGGCTTTTTCGTGTGAGCATCTCTGGATCTATTTGCTACCCACCCCATTCTTCATTGCCTGGGAGTCTCCTTATGCTCACAGAACTGCCCTTTACGCCTTGCTGGGGGAACTTTTGAGTATCAGTTTGAGGGTGGGCAATATCACTGATATTCTATATCAAGGGAAAAATAATTTCAACTCTCAGGAGGCCAGAGCCAGAGAACAGTAGTGGTTGACCCCTGAATTTGGAGATAAAATATATTTAGAATCCAGTCTTTATTGTTCTATAGTGGCATTTCCCTTGGAACAGAATTTTGCTTAATGAAGCAGAGAACAAGTTCTGTTTTATTTTTGAGTCCCCTTTGTCCTATTAAATAAAAAGTATTTTATTTTCCCAGAGGAAAATATAATAATCCCTGAATGGTGATTAAAGGGTTTTTCCCTGGAAGAGGAAAAATAATTTCATACCCTGCTAATATTTACAATATAGTCAGACTTAATTAAGTTATCTAAATTGCAGTTAATTCAGGCATTTGTTTCTAGATGCAGAAGCTTTGAGTCAGACTACTAGTTAAATTATTTCCTCTGGATGAGGGAAACCAGTGTTTCTCTCTCTCCCCTCAGATGCTTTTATGGCCATTGTTCCTTTCTGGGAGAATGTTATGTCCTTTGCAGGGAGCTCCCTCCCTGGCCGTGCCAAAACACCTTAAATGCCACTTCCTTCTGATCCCACCCTAGCACTTCCCACTTGATGCTTCCTAAATCGCGTCATTTGCTGCCCAAATTGCACACAGGGCACACTTGTGTGCACACTCACCAAAGCTCATGCATTCTGGTAAACCATCTAAGCCAAATTAGAGGACAACACAAAGAACTGATGAATAGAGAAAGGTGTCCAGTCCAATGCACCAACTCATTTATCATACATCAGCTTCCCTTTCTATTTACATTTTCCTGATCTCAGTCATCAGCCTTTAATACTAATACACAATTTTATGATTATTATCCTTTCAACACAAAAGTTCTAGAATTGGGCTCAAGTTCGCCATTTCCATGATTATCAAATGTTTTATATAAAATTTAAAAAACACAGCTTGCAAAGCTGCAAAGCTAATTATAATCGTGTCTCTCATGTTCTGCCTCACTAGACTTTTATTTCTGCAGTTTGCACTTTCATGGCTAATATGAAGCCTTTTTTGTGCAAATACCAACTGACTCCTTTTACTTTTCCATAGGAGGGGTCAGGGCTTTTGCAGATGATGCCTGAACCAAAAAGAGCAGAGAAAGAAGGTCATGATCAGAGGTGCCTCCTGGGGAGATGGAGACTTAGAAGGCAAGAACCACTCTCTAGAATCTAGACTGAAGTTCTGACACAGGTCTCCGGGTCATTTCTCTGCCCAGATAGAGCCATTTGATCTAGTTCTTATGAGATGCACCTTGGTGATGGTGCTGCCAAGTGAGACAATACTGGTTTATTTTATTTCATTTTCACTATCTTAGAGCTCAAGGTGAGAACTTCTAACTCACAAATGTAATTGAGTACCACAAAAAGAGCTATTTTGGTTGTCAGGCAGCAGGAACAAAACAAGAGAGACAAGTCACTATGCCTCAGGTCTCCCAGCCATCTGTCTCGGGGGTGGGGGGGTTCTCTGAGGATCCTGAGAGAATGGAAGGTGCACGGGTCCCTCCAATTGATAAGGCTTTCTTTCAAATCATGAGCTCATCCATAAGCCTTGAAAAAGTCCTTCTCCAAGCTATCATTACATGATACCACTTCACACACAGGGCGCCCTGTCCTTCTTAGGAGTGTTCTCTCTCTTCTTGCATTTAGAAAAGTCAAGTTTTTCTAAGCAGTTAGATGCTGTATTCTATAAGTGTACCAACTAGGTTTCAAATACACAGTTTCCTACTCATTGATTATTATTATTTTGAATTGTCTTTGACTGTTGGACCTAAAGCTAAGGCCTGCACATAACCACATAAGCTACCCTAAAGGCACTTGGCTTGATATAAGTTTCACTTAACTTTCCTAGTCCCCTTTCCTAACTTCCAAACTGATTCTTTGTTAGCAGCCTGATGCATGGCCTTTCCTGAAATGAACATAGGTAAAGGGGTTTCTCTAAAGTTCTTAGCTCAAACTCTACTTCCTATCTGATTAAGTCACAGGTTTTCTCCCAGTGGTTCTCACCTTTTTTTTTTTTTTTGGTGCTGGGTTGGGGGAATATCATAGACCGACTCTAGAACTGCTGAACACTGTAGACCTTCCTTTCAGATAATTGCACATGCAAACAAACTCCAACTAGTTGCAGATTATTTTAATACCCCGTAATGTTCATTCAGGAGCCCCAGGTTCATCTATGAACTCCAGAGGTAGGATCCGGTTGACTGTAAGAATGTCTTTCCTTTCAATAAAAATGAAAATCTGCTCACCAGATGCTGAAATAGAGACAAAGTTCATATTGCAAACTAATTTGATTGTTTCAGGTCTTATTTTAATACAGTGAAAATAGTAGTTCTAAATATTTGATCAGTTTGGATTCAGTATCCAGAGGAATGTCTGCATATTAATTTAATCAAGGAAAGGAAAAGAATGAAATGGAGGGTCACCACTAGACCGTTTCAGAATAGCATTTGCAAACGTTATTGTCCTGATTAGTGTGTTTTCCCCTTTCTGGGTAATTATAAGCTGTTCATAAGAACATGCTGATCTCCTAGCATTTAAATGGCACTTCCTTGGTCTGATACTTGGAGAGTTTCTGCTGTTTTGACAAGCATCTGCTCCAGGCAGTTTAATCCTGCTGCCTACTTTTCATTTCTATTGAGACAGAAAGAATTTTATAGTAATTGTTGGTTATTTGAAGGGCTATAATAAATAATCATATGAGCTCTTATTCAAATTGTGAGGCGCTTTTACTCTCTAATAAGTTCAGGCAAATTAGCCAGTAAAGAACAGTTTGCTTTAGATAAATAATATATTGAAAATACGGGTAACAATCCTGACATTTATATCAAATTTCAGTCTTTAGGACAAGAATGCGCTAACATACTATAAAAGCTGATTTATCTAGCATCTTTTTAGAATTTTCTCTACATAGTAATACTTTTGAAACCACTAATACTGAAGATTGTGATATATATGGAGCTGAAATGCAAGAATATGGTAATATACTATAAAAGCTGAATTATCTGGCATCTTTTGGGATTCTCTGTGCATGTCAATACTCTTGAAACCACTACTACTAAAAATGTTGATATATTAACATATGAAGCTGAAACACAATGGGAATCATTAAGGACTAAATTATTATCTCAAACTGTTTATTTTCCTGTTTCATATTTTACTCCCATTATGGGCAAGTTGGTGATTTATGCTTGATAGACCTGAGAAATCTGTCACTCAGAACTCTTTGTAACAGTATTACTATGTCCGGAATTGGTTCCTTCTGGTGGGTTCTTGGTCTTGCTGACTTCAAGAATGAAGCCACGGACCCTCGTGGTGAGTGTTACAGTTCTTAAGGATGGTGTGTCCGCAGTTTGTTCTTTCAGATGTTCAGATGTGTCCACAGTTTCTTCCTTCGGGTGGGTTCGTGGTCTCACTGACTTCAGGAGTGAAGCTGCAGACCTTTGTGGTGAGTGTTACAGCTCATAAAGGTAGTGCGGACCCTTTATGAGTGAGCAGCCCATAAAGAGTGAGCAGCAGCAAGATTTATTGTGAAGAGTGAAAGAACAAAGCTTCCACAGCGTGGAAGGTGACCCGAGTGGGTTGCTGCTGCTGGCTCAGGTGGCCAGCTTTTATTCCCTTATTTGGCCCTGCCCATATCCTGCTGATTGGTCCGTTTTACAGAGTGCTGATTGGTCTGCTTTTACAGAGTGCTGATTCGTGCGTTTACAAACCTTTAGCTAGACACAGAGCACTGATTGGTGCATTTACAGTCCTTTACCTAGTCAGAAAAGTTCTCCAGGTCCCCACCCGATTAGCTAGACACAGAGTGCTGATTGGTGCATTTTTACAGAGTGCTGATTGGTGTGTTTACAAACTTTTAGCTAGATACAGTGCTGACTTGTGCATTTACAATCATTTAGCTAGACAGAAAAGTTCTCCAAGTTCCCACCCGACCCAGAAGCCGGCCAGCTTCACCTCTCATTACTACTAAATAAATAGTGTAAAAACTTGAAAAACACAGAAAAGCACAAAGAAGAAAGTAAAAAATACAATACTATCCTCAAGGTGTATAAATAATGAGAGTGATTTCACTCCACAGGGAAGTTTAACCTGTAATAGGATAGCAGGAAATTTAAGTTTTCAGTCATCTGTCATGTTTGTTTATGCTTTCTTCTTTTCATTTCAACAGGTTCTTCCTTTTACTCACTATATTCTTCCTCCCCCTACTCTGTATGGACTACTTTTGTAGTGTTTATATGGTATATAACATTTTTTAAAATTTTATAGTCAGTCCAACATAGTGGTTAGAAGCTTGGGCTTCTGAATCTGGCTGTGTCAATTCCAAACCATTTTCATTCTGTGTGAAATTGGACAGGTTGCATTTCCTCTTTGTCTCAACTTTATCACCTATAAAATATGGATGGTTATCATACTAAGGTCCTAGGGAGGAACTATTGTGCTAATGAGGAGTACATGAATTAATACCTGTAAAGCTCTTAGTGCAGTATCTGGCATTTAATAAAGATTAGCTGTTATATCAGCTATTACTGGGAATTTTGGTTGTGCTTTTGAATAAAAATAATTTTCTTTTTTTCTGATCATAAGTTTTATAATGCTTATGATAAACAACACTATAGAAAGTGGAAAAACACAATACCTTCCCTCAAAGAGTAGCATCCTCTCATTCTCTATCTGCCACCAATGGTTTAGTGTTAAGAGTTTTGCTATAGCTGCAACTACATATACACTTATCTATGTGTGTATATATGTGTGTACATATCATATACACACATATATGTATGTACATATCACACACACATATATGTATGTACATATCACACACACACATATATGTATGTACATATACACACATATATGTATGTACATACCATATACACACACATATGTATGTACATATATACACACATATATGTATGTACATATCTACACACATATGTACGTACATATCATATACACACATATGTATGTACATATCATACACACATATGTATGTACATATCATATACACATACATATGTATGTACACACACAAACTCACACAATTTGTATAGGTAATTTTGAAAGGGCTAATACTAAATGCTCTATAAACTCCAGCTTTTTTCATTTGATAAATTCTAGAGACCTTTTGTTGTCAATAAGTAAATATTTACTTCATAAAACTTTGTAGATTTTTTCTCTATGGCTTATTCATATATATTTTTAATTGTATTGCTGATATAAAGGAAAGCTGTTAATGTTGGCTTTTTTGCCTTATACCCAGTTCCCTTACTGAATATTCCAACTAGTTTTTAAAGTTGTATTTAGTTTATTATTTAGATTTTCTAGTTAGGCATCATATCAACTGCAAAAACTTGTCTCATTCTTTCCAACATTTATAGTTGTCATTTGTTCTTTTTTTTAAATTATACTTTAAGTTCTGTGTTACATGTACAGAATGTGCAGTTTCGTTACATAGGTATACACGTGCCATGAGTGTTTGCTGCACCCAAAAACCTGTCACCTACATTAGGCATTTCTCCTCATGATATCTCTCCCCTAGCCCAACACCCCCCACAGGCCCTGGTATGTGATGTTCCCCTCCCTGTGTCCATGTATTCTCATTGTTCAACTCCCACTTATGAGTGAGAACACATGGTGTTTGGTTTTCTGATCTTGTGATAGTTTGCTGAGACACATGATTTCCAGCTTCATCCATGTCCCTGCAAAGGACGTGAACTCATCCTTTTTTATGGCTGCATAGTATTCCATGGTATATATGTGCCACATTTCCTTAATCCAGTCTATCATTGATGGACATTTGGGTTGGTTCCAAGTCTTTGCTATCGTGACTAATGCTGCAATAAACATACGTGTGCATGTGTCTTTATTGTAGAATCTTTGGGTATATGCCCAGTAATGGGATTACTGGGTCAAATGGTAATTCTAGTTCTAAATCCTTGAGGAATTGCTGCACTCTCTACCACAATGGTTGAACTAATTTACACTCCTACCACGTTCCTATTTTTCCATATCCTCTCCAGCATCTATTGTTTCCTGACTTTTTAATGATTGCCATTCTAACTGGCATGAGATGGTACCTCACTGAGGTTTTGATGTGCATTTCTCTAATGACCAGTGATGATGAGCATTTTTTCATGTCTGTTGGCTGCACAGATGTTTTCTTTTGAGAAGTGTCTGTTCATATCCTTTGCCCATTTTTGGATGGGGTTGTTTTTTTCTTGTAAATTTGTTTTAGTTCTTTGTAGATTCTGGATATTAGTCCTTTGTCAGATGGATAGATTGCAAAAATTTTCTCCCATTCTGTAGGTTGCCTGTTCACTCTGGTGATAGTTTATTTTGCTGTGCAGAAGCTCTTTAGATTAATTAGATCCCATTTGTCAATTTTGGCTTTTGTTGCCATTGCTTTTGGTGTTTTAGACATGAAGTCTTTGCCCATGCCTATGTCCTGAATGGTATTGCCCAGGTTTTCTTCCAGGATTTTAGAACTTATGTTTAAGTCTTTAATCCATCTTGAGTTAATTTTTGTATAAGGTGTAAGGAAGGGGTCCAGTTTCAGTTTTCTGCATATGGCTAGCCAGTTTTCTCAACACCATTTATTAAATAGGGAATCATTCCCCCATTGCTTGTGTGTGTTAGGTTTGTCAAAGATCAGATGGTGGTAGATGTGTGCTATTATTTTGAAGGCCTGCGTTCTGTTCCATTGGTCTATATATCTGTTTTGGTACCAGTACCATGCTGTTTTGGTTACTGTAGCCTTGTATAGTTTGAAGTCAGGTAGCATGATGCCTCCAGCTTTGTTCTTCTTGCCCAGGATTGTGTTGGCTATGTGGACTCTTTCTGGCTTCATATGAAGTTTAAAGTAGTTTTTTCCAATTTTGTGAGTAAAGTCAGTGGTAGCTTGATGGGGATAGCATTGAATCTATAAATTACTTTGGGCAGTAAGGCCATTTTCATGATATTGATTTTTCCTATCCATGAGCATGGAATGTTTTTCGATTTGTTTGTGTCCTCCTTTATTTTGTTGGGCAGTGGTTTGTAGTTCTCTTTGAAGAGGTCCTTCACATCCCTTTAAGTTGTATTCCTAGGTATTTTATTCTCTTCGTAGCAATTGTGAATGGGAGTTCACTCCTGATTTGGCTCTCTGTTTGTCTGTTATTGGTATATAGGAGTGCTTGTGATTTTTGCACATTGATTTTGTATCCTGAGACTTTGCTGACTTTGCGTATCAGATTAAGGAGATTTTGGGATGAGACGATGGAGTTTTCTAAATATACTATCATGTCATCTGCAAACAGAGACAATTTGACTTCCTCTCTTCCTATTTGAATACCCTTTATTGCTTTCTCTTGCCTGATTGCCCTGGCCAGAACTTCCAACACTATGTTGAATAGGAGTGGTGAGAGAGGGCATCCTTGTCATATGCCGGTTTTCAAAGGGAATGCTTCCAGTTTTTGCCAATTCAGTGATATTGGCTGTTGGTTTGTCATAAATAGCTCTTATTATTTTGAGATGTGTTCCACTGATACCTAGTTTATTGTGAGTTTTTAGCATGAAAGGCTGTTGAATTTTGTCAAAGGCCTTATCTCCATCTATTGAGATAATTATGTGGTTTTTGTCATTCGATCTGTTTATGTGATGGATTACATTTATTAATTTGCATATGTTGAACCAGCCTTGCATCCCAGGGATGAAGCTGACTTGATCGTGGTGGATAAGCTTTTTGATGTGCTGCTGGATCCAGTTTGCCCGTATTTTATTGAGGATTTTTACGTCGATGTTCATCAGGGATATTGGCCTAAAATTCTCTTTTTTTGTTGTGTCTCTGCCAGGCTTTGGTGTCAGGATGATGCTAGCCTCATGAAATGAATTAGGGAGGATTCCCTCTTTTTCTATTGATTGGAATAGTTTCAGAAGGAATGGTGTCCATTCCTCTTTGTACCTCTGGTAGAATTCGGCTGTGAATCTGTCTGGTCCTGGACTCTTTTTGGTTGGTAGGCTATTAATTATTGCCTCAATTTCAGAACCTGTTATTTGTCTATTCAGAGATTCAACTTCTTCCTGGTTTAGTCTTGGGGGGTGTATGTGTCCAGGAATTTATCCATTTCTTCCAGATTTTCTAGTTTATTTGCGTAGAGGTACTTATAGTATTCTCTGATGGTAGTTTGTATTTTTGTGGGATCGGTGGTGATATCCCCTTTATTATTTTTTATTGCATTTATTTGAGTCTTCTCTTTTTCTTCTTTATTAGTCTTCCTAGCGATCTATTTTGTTGATCTTTTCAAAAAACCAGCTCCTGGATTCATTGATTTTTTGAAGGGTTTTTTGTGTCTCTATCTCTTTCAGTTCTGCTCTGATCTCATTCTTTTCCTGTCTTCTGCTAGCTTTTGAATTTGTTTGCTCTTGCTTCTCTAGGTCTTTTAATTGTGAGGTTAGGGTGTCGATTTTTGATCTCTCCTGCTTTCTCTTGTGGGCATTTAGTGCTATAAATTTTCCTCTACATAATGCTTTAAATGTGTCCCAGAGATTCTGGTACATTGTGTCTTTGTTCTCATTGGTTTCAAAGAACATCTTTATTTCTGCCTTCATTTCGTTATGTATCCAGTAGTCACTCAGGAGCAGGTTGTTCAGTTTCCATGTAGTTGTGCAGTTTTGAGTGAGTTTCTTAATTCTGAGTTCTAGTTTGATTGCACAGTGGTCTGAGAGACAGTTTATTGTGATTTCTGTTCTTTTACATTTGCTGAGGTGTGTTTTACTTCCAAATATGTGGTCAATTTTAGAATAAGTGCGATGTGGTGCTGAGAAGAATGTATATTCTGTTGATTTGGGGTGGAGAGTTCTGTATATGTCTATTAGGTCTGCTTGGTCCAGAGCTGAGTTCAAGTATTGGATATCCTTGTTAAGTTTCTGTCCCATTGGTGTGTCTAATATTGACAGTGGGGTGTTAAAGTCTCCCATTATTATTGTTTGGGAGTCTGGGTCTCTTTTTAGGTCTCTAAGAATTTGCTTTATGAATCTGGGTGCTCCTGTATTGGGTGCATATATATTTAGGATAGTTAGCTCTTTTTGTTGAATTGATCCCTTTACCATTATGTAATGACCCTCTTTGTCTCTTTCGATCTTTGTTGGTTTAAAGTCTGTTTTATCAGAGACCAGTATTGCAACCCCTGCATTTTTTTTTTTTTTGCTTTCCATTTGCTTGGTAGATCTTCCTCCATCCCTTTATTTTGAGCCTATGTGTGTCTTGCACATGAGATGGGTCTCCTGAATACAGCACACTGATGGGTCTTGACTCTTTATCCAATTTGCTTGTCAGTGTCTTTTGATTGGGACATTTAGTCCATTTACATTTAAGTTTAATATTGTTATATGTGAATTTGATCCTGTCATTATGGTGCTAGCTGGTTATTTCACCGATTAATTGATGCAAACAGTTTCTTCATAGTGTCGATGGTCTTTACAGTTTGGCATGTTTTTGCAGTGGCTACCGGTTGTTCCTTTCCATGTTTAGTGCTTCCTTCAGGAGCTCTTGTAGGGCAGGCCTGGTGGTGACAAAATCTCTCAGCATTTTCTTGTCTGTAAGGGATTTTATATCTTCTTCACTTATGAAGCTTATTTTGGCTGGATATGAAATTCTGGGTTGAAAATTCTTTTCTATGAGATTGTTGAATATTTGCCCCCAATCTCTTCTGGCTTGTAGGGTTTCTGCAGAGAGATCAGCTGTTAGTCTGATGGGCTTTCCTTTGTGGGTAACCCAGCCTTTCTCTCTGACTGCCCTTAACATTTTTTCCTTCATTTCAACCTTGGTGAATCTGACAATTATGTGTCTTGGGGTTTCTCTTCTTGAGAATTATCTTTGTGGTGTTCTCTGTGTTTCCTGAATTTGGATGTTGGCCTGCCTTGCTAGGTTGGGGAAGTTCTCTTGGATAATATCCTGAAGAGCGTTTTCTAAGTTGGGTCCATTCTCCCCGTCACTTTTAGGTACACCAATCAAACATAGATTTGGTCTTTTCACATAGTCCCATATTTCCTGGAGGCTTTGTTATTTGTTTTCACTGTGTTGTCTCTAATCTTGTCTTCTTGCTTTATTTCATTAATTTGATTTTCAATCACTGATATCCTTTCTTTTGCTTGATCAAATCAGCTACTGAAGCTTGTGCATGCTTCACAAAGTTCTCGTACTGTGGTTTTCAGCTCCATCAGGTAATTTAAGGTCTTCTCTACACTGTTTATTCTAGTTAGCCATTTGTCTAACCTTTTTTCAAGGTTTTTAGCTGCCTTGTGATGGGTTAGAACATGCTCCTTTAGCTTGGAGAAGTTTGTTATTACCGACCTTCTGAAGTCCAATTCTGTCAACATGTCAAACTCATTCTCCATCCAGTTTTGTTCCCTTGCTGTCGAGGAGTCGTTTTCCTTTGGAGGAGAAAAGGCATTCTGGTTTTTGGAATTTTCAGCCTTTTTGCTCTGGTTTCTTCCCATCTTTGTAGTTTTATCTACCTTTGGTCTTTGGTGTTGGTGACCTATGGATGGGCTTTTGGTGTGGATGTCCTTTTTGTTGATGTTGATGATATTACTTTCTGTTTGTTAGGTTTCTGTTTGTTAGGACAGACTGTCCCCTCAGCTGCATGTCTGTTGGAGTTTGCTGCAGGTCCACTCCAGACCCTGTTTTCCTGGGTATCACCAGTGGAGGCTGCAGAACAGCAAATATTGCTGCCTGATCCTTCCTCTAGAAGCTTCATCCCAGAGGGACACCTGCCTGTATGAGGTATCTGTTGGCCCCTACTGGTAGGTGTCTCCCAGTCAGGCTACATGGGGGTCAGGGACCCACTTGAGGAAGCAGTCTGTCCATTATCAGAGCTCGAATGCCATGCTGGGAGAACCACTGCTCTCTTCAGAGCTGACAGGCAGGGACATTTAAGTCTGGAGAAGCTGTCTGCTGTCTTTTGTTCAGATATGCCCTGCCGCCAGAGGTTGAAAATAGAGAGGCAATACGCCTTGCTGAGCTGCAGTGGGCTCCGCCCAGTTCAAGCTTCCCTGCTGCTTTGTTTACATTGTGAACATAGAACCACCTACTTAAGCCTCAGCAATGGCAGACGCCCCTTCCCCACCTTGCTCCAGCATCCCAGGTCCATCTCAGACTTCTGCACTAGCAGTGAGCAAGGCTCTGTGGGCATGGGACCTGCCAAGCCAGGCACAGGAGGGAATCTCCTGGTCTGCCGGTTGCGAAGACCATGGGGAAAGTGCAGTATTTGGGCAGGAGTGTACCGCTCCTCCAGGTACAGTCACTCACAGCTTCCTTTGACTAGGAAAGGGAAATCCTCTGATCCCTTGTGCTTCCCGGGTGAGGCAATGCCCCGCCCTACTTCAGCTCACCCTCTGTGGGCTACACCCACTGTCCAACCAGACTCAATGAGATGAACCAGGTAACTCAGTTGGAAATGCAGAAATCACCGATCTTCTGCATCAATCTCCCTGGGAGCTGCAGATCGGAGCTGTTCCTGTTTGGCCTTCTTGGAAGCAACCCCCTAGTTCTCATTTTTTTTTGTTTTATTGCATTGGCCCAAACTTTCATTATAATGTGGAATAATTATAAATTATTAATTTTATAATTAGTTTATAATTTTCTTAGTGACTGTAATAATAATGCCCTTGCCATTTGTTTGCTAATACCTTAGAGTCATCCTTTCTTCTCTTTCTCTTTATAATTCACATTCAGTCTATCAGCAAACCCAATTAGAAATACCTTCAAAATATATGCTGGCTCCAGTTACTTTGCAATGTCTTTATCACTACTCCTTAATCAAGTCACTGTAATTTCTTTTTTTTTTATTATACTTTAAGTTTTAGGGTACATGTGCACAGTGTGCAGGTTTGTTACATATGTATACATGTGCATTTTGGTGTGTTGCATCTGTTAACTCGTGATTTACATTAGGTATATCTCCTAATGCTATCCCTCCCTGCTCCCCCCACCCCACAACAGGCCCCAGTGTGTGGTGTTCCCCACCGTGTTTCCAAGTGTTCTTATTGTTCAGTTCCCACCTATGAGTGAGAACATGTGGTGTTTGGTTTTCTGTCCTTGCGATAGTTTGCTCAGAATGATGGTTTCTAGCTTCATCCATGTCCCTGCAAAGGACATGAACTCATCCTTTTTATGGCTGCATAGTATTGCATCGTATATATGTGCCACATTTTCTTAATCCAGTCTATCATTGATGGACATGTGGGTTGGTTCCAAGTCTTTGCTATTGTGAATAGTGCCGCAATAAACATATGTGTGCGTGTGTCTTTATAGCAGCATGATTTATAATCCTTTGGGTATATACCCAGTAATGGGATGGCTGGGCCAAATGGTATTTCTAGTTCTAGATCCTCGAGGAATTGCCATACTGTCTTCCACAATAGTTGAACTAGTTTACAGTCCCACCAACAGTGTAAAAGTGTTCCTATTTCTCCACATCCTCTCCAGCACCTGTTGTTTCCTGACTTTTTAATGATCACCATTCTAACTGGTGTAAGATGGTATCTCACTGTGGTTTTGATTTGCATTTCTCTGATGGCCAGTGATGATGAGCATTTTTTCATGTGTCTTTTGGCTGCATAAATGTCTTCTTTTGAGAAGTGTCTGTTCATATCCTTTGCCCACTTTTTGATGGGGGTGTTTGAATTATTCTTGTAAATTTGTTTGAGTTCATTGTAGATTCTGGATATTAGCCCTTTGTCAGATGGGTAGATTGTAAAAATTTTCTCCTATTCTGTAGGTTGCCTGTTCACTCTGATAGTAGTTCCTTTTGCTGTGCAGAAGCTCTTTAGCTTAATTAGACCCCATTTGTCAATTTTGGCTTTTGTTGCCATTGCATTTGGTGTTTTAGTCAAGAAGTCCTTGCCCATGCCTATGGCCTGAATGGTATTGCCTAGGTTTTCTTCTAGGATTTTTATGGTTTTAGGTCTAATATTTAAGTCTTTAATCCATCTTGAATTAATTTTTGTATAAGGTGTAAGGAAGGGATCCAGTTTCAGCTTTCTACATATGGCTAGCCAGTTTTCCCATCACCATTAATTAAATAGGTAATTCTTTCCCCATTTCTTGTTTTTGTCTGGTTTGTCAAAGATCAGATAGTTGTAGATGTGTGGTATCATTTCTGAGGGCTCTATTCTGTTCCATTAAGTCACCGTAATTTCTTACCTGACACTGCAGTAGCCTGGTAATGGTCTATCTACATTTACCCTTTCTTCTATACAATCTGTTGCCCCTAAACACTCAGAGTGACCCTTTTAAATGTTAAGTCAGATCTTATTAATTCCATGGTTCAAGCTTTCCAGGGGGTTATAATCACTTTTAAAATAAAATCTAAATTCTGTGAGGTTCTGTATGATCTGACTCTCCAGCCTTGTTTCCTAAAACTCTTGCCTGTCCTTGTTCTGTTCTCATTCTTGCCAACCTGACCTTTTTCTTTTTCCTTGAGCACACTAACCCTTCTTTTGCCGTTATATTTGATATTTTCCTCTTTAGAGAATACCCTACACCCCATATAGTCCTATGCCTCCTTCCTTATTTCATTCAGGTCAGTGCTCAAATACCTCCTTAGAGAAGTATTTTCTGACCACTTGTGTACCTCATCCATTGCTCTTTGTCCTTCTACTCAGGTTTTGCCTTCCTAACAAGGAAATATGCTTAACATTATATTGTATAATGCATTTATTTGTTTGCTGTGTGTTTCTGCCATTAAAATGTGAGCTCTTTGAGTGTTTGTTTGTATTTTGCAGGTTTCTTTATCCCTGATGAATATGTCAGCATCTAAAACATGGGATATTCAATATATACTATTTTTAGGATGAATAAATAAATGGCTATAGTACTTGCCAAATGTCCCTCATGGAAAGTTACACTTAAATTGGCATTTTAAAGACTGAGAAATCTGGCAATTATATTAAATTTTGTTGAAGGCCTTTGTGTTTCACATGATTATTTGAGTGTGGCAAACTTTTTTCCAAGACATTTATATTAAGACCTTGTAGAATCTTGTTATGGTTCTGTTTAACTGTTGAACCTAGGCTTGGTAGGAACTGCTTCCATTTTCTCCTTTCTCTCTTGTCAATCTCTGTCTCTCTCTCTCTCTCTCCCCGCCCCTCCATCTCTGTGTGTGTGTGTGTGTGTGTGTTTATGTGTGCATTTGTGTGTATGATATCCTAGTCAGATTTTGCAGCAAAGGTACTTCTAGCTTTAAGATTAAATAATTTTTAAGCATATACTATGACCTGAAGCAGGTAAAATTTTAAAATAAGATAATAAATTATGTCCTTGAAGGCTTGAGTCAAATTTAAAGTAACTGGATCTGGTGTCTATGGTCAAGGTTGTAATTCTGATAATTTTCTGTGTTTTTTTTCTAGGGTCTATTAATATTTCATATTTCTTTGTAAATACTTAAATTTAAATATTTTTCTGGAAAGTCACCCATTACTTTGGATTATCTAGTTAGGGTGCTATAGTTTTTATATAATTTTCATTCTCATTTTAAAACACTTGTATGTAAATGCTTTTGTGATGCCATTCTCATGACTAATATTTATGTATTTGTGTCTTCTTGTATATATCCATATTTTGGCCCTTTGGCAGACTTACCAGAGTTTTAGTACTGTATCAGTCTCTATCACTAGGTTTCATTTTTTATTTATTAATTCAACTATTTATTTCTTTTGGGGATAGATTTGTTTCTAATTTCTTTCTTTCTCGTTTCACATAATCTAATCATTCCTTTGTATGGGGAATTCATTTTTACTTTGGTTGAATTATAGCAAAAAACAAAGGAATCTAGGCATCTATGTTTTAGAATGTATTGAAATTTCCATGTGATGGAACATGACCTATTTTGTAAATATTGATTTTATAGATGTTGCAGAGAACTTAAAGATCACATTTTATTTCTATTTATAATCAAGCTAGACATTATGAATGTCTTTTTAAGTTTTTGCTATTACTTTAAATTAGTAATACAATCATATTTATTGTCTTTTATTTATAACAATTTTTTACTTATATATTTTTATGCAATGTGAACTAAAATGTAAAGATTTATGGCTGTTGCATCAACTTCGTGAGATTTATGTGCATCTGTGATCATGATTGAGGCTGGCCTACATTTGTGTCCTTTTTATACTGCTTTTGTTGGTTTTTGGTAACAAGGTTATGTTGGTATCATAAAATAAGGAAAGATCAGAGAGAGCTCTGTCTTCTTTTTCCTGTTCTCTAGAAGGCTTTGTGTAACATTGGATTTTTAAAAATATCTTTGATAGAACCTTCTGGAGAAGCTGTATGAAGTCATAGTTTTCTTTGTGGGAAAGGTTTTATTGCATTCAATTAATGAATTCAATTCCATTTCTAACTGTACTTTCTTAAATAAATGTTTATACTTGCTCTGGCTTCCAAAATCACTGTCAAGGTATCAGTTATAGTCTGTGCTACTCCTATGAATTTAATCTGCTCCTCTGCTGCATTTAAGATTTTGTTATTGTCTTTTCTTTTCTGCAGCTCCACTATCATGTGAATTTGTTTTTATTCATTCTGCAAGTGCTTTTTTAGAACTGTTGAATAGGTACTGGTTTCTTTCATCAATCTGAGTTCAAATATCAGTTCTCTTAAACATTGCTTCTGCCTCATTTTTCTTTCCTTTCCTTTCCTTCTGAAACTCAAATTTAATGTACATTGGGCTGTGTCTTTTGATGTCTGTTATCCTCTCCCATGTGTGTCCCATATTTTTGTTTCATCATGCTTCATTCCACATGGGTTCTTCTGATAAATCATCTAGTTTATTAATTTTCTCTTGACCGGTGTTAAACCCATCTATTGAGTGTTAAATTTTTATTATTCTATTTTTCAGTTCTATTATTTCTAGTTCATTAGTTTTTGAATCTTCAGTATCACATTTTACTTTTTCCACATTTGCTATAATCTTAAATTCAGCTTATATTTCATTGGTTGTAATAACTATAACTGCAGTAGTTTCTACATTTGATGGTTTGCAAATATAGATTTTCTGTGTTTCTGTTTCTATTGACAATTGTTGGTACTGATTTTGACTATTGTCATCTTTGTATGTCTCTTATTGTCCTTATAGTCTTTCGTTGTTGCCTAAACATTTTGAGAAATTATTTGTAGGAAATAATTTGGGACTTGGAATATACCTTCTTCCAGATATTTGGAAGAAGCTTGAATGACAGGTTAGATCATTTGAAAAAGAAATTTTATTTTTTGTATTCCAGGTACCTGGGAGTGAAAGCAGTCTCAAATTAAGGCTTGAGGACTTTCTGAGCTACCTAGATGATCTGCCAAAATACCTCAGTTTAAGAGTACAACTCCTGAGCGTCCCTACCACATTAGAGTATACATTACCTTAGGTTTTTACCTTTGTCACGCATTACATTCTGACTTGTCCTTCCAGCTCCTGAAATTTACCCAAGAGGTCAGCTTGCCTTCAAGCCATTTCCACAAGAATAGGCACTTTGGCCAGAGTAAGAATGACATCCAGGAAGAGGGGATATTCTTCAGGTTCTCTGTTTCTGGTGACTTCAGGACCTTGAACCTCACACCTTTTCACTTTAAAGAACTCCACCCCTCTCAGGTGCTTTTTCTACAAAGGCAATTATTCCCTGAACAGGAGGGCTCTAGTTCATCTCTTTTTGTTCTATTCTCTTAGCAAGAAATTCCCTAATATCTTAGGTCTTGGATGTTAAGTAAATCTTTTCTGACTTTTAATCGAGTTTTTTAGTCATCTTCAGCAAAAGGGTTAGTGCAAATCACCTAGTATGCCATTATCAGAGTGAAAGCCTGTGTGTATGAATATGCATGTTTGTGTGAATAATAATTGGATTTTTAAAAAATTTCTGTTTTAGTAGGAGCTGTTTCTTTGGTTATGCAACTTGCTATTCTCTTTCTAAATTGTGAGTTTTCATCTTATGTCTGTAATTTTTCATTGGCTACTCACATAACAAACTAATCCAGATAGTTGAGTACAGGTAAAAGATCATCTCCATTTTTTCTTTTTTTGTTTTTGAGATGGAGTCTTGCTCTGTTGCCAGGCTGGAGTGCAGTGGCACAGTCTTGGCTCACTGCAATCTTTGACTCCGTGGTTCAAGTGATTCTCCTGCCTCAGCCTCCCCAGTAGCTGGAATTAAAGGAATGCGCCACCATACCCAGCTAATTTTTGTCCTTTTTTAGTAGAGACGGGGTTTCACCATGTTGGCCAGGATGGTCTTGATCTCCTGACCTGGTGATCCACCCGCCTTAGCCTCCCAAAGTGCTAGGATTACAGGCGTCAGCCACCGCGCCTAGCCGATCATCTCCATTTCTGATCTTGTTGACCTTCACCACTGTACGGGTGAAATCTTCCTGTGTGTACCAGATGAAAACAGACAAACTTTCCAGCCTCTAGAGCTGTGAAAAAAATAAATTTCTGTTGTTTAAGCTACCCAGTCTGTAGGATTTTGTTATGGTACCTTGGGCAGAGTAAGTTGGCAGGCTGGGCGCGGTGGCTCATGCCTGTAATCCCAGGACTTTGGGAGGCTGAGGCGGGCGGATCACGAGGTCAGGAGATCGAGACCATCTTGGCTAACACAGTGAAACCCCGTCTCTACTAAAAAATGTAAAAAAATTAGCCGGGTGTGGTGGCGGGTGCCTGTAGTCCCAGCTACTGGGGAGGCTGAGGCAGGAAAATGGTGTGAACCCAGGAGACAGAGCTTGCAGTGAGCTGAGATCATGCCACTGCACTCCAGCCTGGTGACACAGCGAGACTCCATCTCCAAAAAAAAAAAAAAAAAAAAAAAGAGAGACAGTTGGCAAAAATATATCGGTAATTCCAAGTAGGGGAGAAAAATATGAAGAAACACATGGAGGAAAGAATGAGTGCAGTCTGTGAGGGTGTGTGCAAGTGGTTTAATAATGTTAGAACATAAAATCAAGACTGTGATAAATGAGGAAGAATGGCAGAAATGGGAAATAAGGATAAGTAAATCAAGCCATTTCTTGGAAATCCTTAAGTGCCATACCAAGGAACCTGGATTGTCTCCTAAAATTATAGATCAGAATTAAGTAGCAAATTCGCAAGGTGGTATTTGTAGAGCTTTTAAAATTTTATTTTTATTCAATAATTGCAGATTATATGAATAATTAATTTGATGTGAATATACATTGAGTGTGGGCAGATCAGTAGGAAGCTGTTTCAGTCCTCCAGGTAACAGATGATGATGCTTTAAACTGCTACTGTAGAGTTGAAGATGGAAAATGCTGAAATGGATCTAAAAATTCTTGTGTATGTAAAATAACTCAATATTCTCCTTGAGGTGAAATTGCAGATAAAGAGAGATATAAAGAATTAGCTGCAGACAGAAATGGATCCAGATTTTTAAGGTTCTGAGGCACCTACAATTTGGGAAGCTTTTTTTTTTTTTTTTTCTCTGACGGAGTTTCACCCTTGTTGCCCAGGCTGGAGTGCAATGGCATGATCTCGACTCACAGCAACCTCCTCGTCCTGGGTTCAAGCGATTATCCTGTCTCAGCCTCCTGAGTAGCTGGGATTACAGGCATGTGCCACCATGCCTGGCTAATTTTGTATTTTTAGTAGAGACAGGGTTTCTCCACATACAAAAGTATAAAATAAAAACGTCCTAGTCTCCTTCCTAATTTAGCTTCAGGAAGGAGAAGCCACCTCCACTGGCTGGATTTAAGTTTGAATGACAGGGTAGATCAGGAGCCACCAATGCAGCTAAAAATTATATGGGAAGGGCAGGATTAGAGAAGAAGGTGATGGGTTTAGTTTTGAACATGCCCTTGGTATCAGAGAAGCAGTTAGAGATGTTTGAAAGGATGCTCAACATGTTAGTCTGAAGCTTTTGAAATCTGAATTTCAAGAATAAATATGTTCATTTACGAGTCATCAAAGAAAAAGTAGAAGTTGAAACCAAGAAAAATAATTCGATCATCCAGAGAAGTTAAGAAGAATGTTAAAAAAAAGAGGGGCAAGTATGAAAATCTGAGGAAAACTAATGTTTTAGTGTAGGCTGGGACCAGTGCAAGAACAGTTAACCTTATAGTTCCACATTTTATGTATATCATAAAGGCCTAAACCACAGCAGTGGCAAAGAGAAGGGAGAAGAGGGGAGTTGTTTCTGAGATTTTAGTTGACTAACAAGACTAGGAGAACAATTTTCTATGAAGGGATGAATGAAAAGAGTGAAATAAAGATGACAATGAGTTTCTAGTACAGAGAGAAAAATGAGTGTTTAGATAAAATTGCTTGGACAAAATAGTGAATAGATAAAATTTCCATTTACTGATATAGAAAGTCAGACAGAAGAAGAGATTTAGGAAGAAATGGTTAATTTGAACTGCCTTTAGACTATCATGACGGAAGTGTCTATTAAGCAGTTAGAAATAGATCCAGCAATTATAGATTTTGAAGTAGATATTATCTTTCTCTTTATATTCCAATGTAAAGAAAAACATGAGTAGAAAAAATGTTATATCACTTGTCTAGAATTATACAGTAACTGATGCTCCTACAGTTAGTAAGCTCAGAATCGTCAGCCAGTCAGTATTATATGCAGAAGACGCCCATGGACAGAACCCTGGAGAATACCAAGGACCAAAAGAGTAGAGGGTGAAAAGCTAGTTTAAAAGCAATTGTTCCAACCATTGTGGAAGACAGTGTGGTAATTCCTCAAGGATCTAGAAACAGAAATACCATTTGACCCAGCAATCCCATTACTGGGTGAATACCCAAAGGATTGTAAATCATTCTACTATAAAGACACATGCACACATGTTTATTATAGCACTATTTACAATAGCAAAGACTTGGAACCAACCCAAATGCCCATCAATGATAGACTGGGTAAAGAAAATGTGGCACATATACACCAAGGAATACTATGCAGCCATAGAAAAGGATGAGTTCATGTCCTTTGCAGGGACATGGATGAAGCTGGAAACCGTCATCCTCAGCAAACTAACACAGGAACAGAAAACCAAACATCACATGTTCTCACTGGTAAGTGGGAGTTGAACAAGGAGAACACATGGACACATGGAGGGGAACAACACACATTGGGGCCTGTCGGGGGATGGGGGGCAAGGGGAGGGATAGCATTAGGACAAATACCTAATGCATGTGGGGCTTAAAACCTAGATGACGGGTTGATGGGTGCAGTAAACCGCCATGGCACATGTATACCTATGTAACCTGCACTTTCTGCACGTGTGTCTCAGAACTTAAATAAAAAAAAAAAAGAAGAAGAATACTCAGAGAGTAGGATGCTTTCTAACTAGATAGGGTTGATGGTAAACTACAAAACTTTTAGACATCATCAACAAGTTTTCCTATGCTGTGTTTTATTGTGTTTTAGTTTTTCTCATTTGATGTAGATGATTATTTTATTTCTAAATTGAAGTTTTCTTTTTCTCTAAGTAATGGTGCACAGAGATTAAAGGTAAAATCATACTATCAATACATAAATAAATAAATGCAATTGTTCTTCACTATCCTCTTCCACTACTCGCTGGCACCCAGTAACCTGCTTTCTGTCATTCTGGATATTTCATACAAATGATGTTATACAACGTGTGCTCTTTTGTGTCTGGCTTCCATTACTTAGCATAAGGTTTTCAAGGTTCATCCAAGTGAGAGCATATATCAGTACTTCATTCCTTTTTATGGAGTGAATAACATTTCCTTCTGTGTATATACCACAATTTGTTTAACATTTGGGTTGTTTCTACATTTTTGCTATTGCAGATAGTCCTGTTGTAAACAAGTGTTTACATGTAATTGTTTGAATACCACTTTTCAATTATTTTTAAGTATATACTCAGTAGTGGAATTGCTAGGTCATGTGGAAATTCTGTGTTAAACTTTTTGGGATTCACCAAACTGTTTTCCACAGACCAATTTTACATTCCCATCAGTAACATATGAGGGTTTCAATGTCTTGACATCTTTGCCATTACTTTATATATATATATACACACACACACACACACACACACACACACATACACATAGATAATATTTTTTGATAGCCACACTTGTTGGTGTAAGGTGGTATGTCATTGTGGTTTTGATTTGCATTTCTCTAGTGACTAATAATATTATGCATATTTTCATGTGCTTGTTGTCAATCGTATATTTTCTTTGGAGAAATGTCTACTCAAGCCCTTAGTTCATTTTTTAATTGCATTGTCTTTTTGTTATTGAGTTGTAAGTATCTTTATATTCTAGAGAATAAACCCTTGTTAGATATATGATTTGCAAATATTTTCACGCATCCTGTAGGTTGTCTTTTCACCTTCTTAATAATGTCCATTGACACACAAGACTTTTTAAATTTGATGAAGTTCAGCTTATTTTTTTTTCATTGCTTATGCTTTTGGTGTCCTATCTAAGAATGTATTGCCAAAACCCAGATTTAACCCTATATTTTTTTCTAAGAGTTTTATGCTTTTTGCCCCTTGCTTTGCTCATTGACCCATCTTGCGTTAATTTGTGCAGATGGCGTAGAGGCACAACTTCATTCCCTTGAACGTGGATATACAGTTTTACCAGCACCATTTGTTGGGAAGATTAATCTTTTCCCCCATCAAATGGTCTTAGCGCCCTTGTTGAAAATGTATTAGTAATAGAAGTATGGGTTTATTTCTGAACTCTTAGTTCTGTTTCACTGGTCTGTATGTTTATCCTTATGCCAGTACCACGCTGTTTGGATTGCCATAACTTTATGTTTTGAAATCACAAGTACAGGTCCTCCAATTTTGTTCTTTTTCAAGATCATTTTGGCTGTTTGACCAGTTTCAAGATTGTTTAGCTTGCAGTTCCATATGAATTTTAGAATCAACTTTTTTTTTTTTTTTTTTGAGACAGAGTCTCACTCACTTTGTGGCCCAAGCATGGAGTACAGTGGGGCAATCTCTCTGCTCACTGTTACCTCCACCTCGCAGATTCAAGTGATTCTCCTACCTTAGCCTCCCAAGTATCTGGGATTACAGGCGTGCACCACCATGCCTGGGTAACTTTTGTATTTTTAGTCTAAATGGGGTTTCACCATGTTGGCCAGGGTGGTCTCAAACTCCTGACCTCAAGTGATCTGCCCGCCTTGGCCTTTCAAAGTGCTGGGATTGCAGGAGTAAGCCACCGCACCTGGCCTGAATCAACTTTTCTATTTCTGAGAAAAGGACTGATGAAATTTTGATAGAATTGCATTGAATCTTTAAACTGCTTTGGCTAGTATTGCCATCTTAACAGAATTAATAGTAAATCATTAACATGGGAAGTTTTCCATTTATTTAGGTCTTTTAAAATTTCCTTCAGCAATGTCCTACAATTTTCAGTGTACAAGTCTTTCATTTTCTTGGTTAAATTCATTTCTAGGCATTTTATTCTTTTGGGTACTATTGTAAATAGAATTATTTTTCAGACTTCCTTTTTTGGATTATTTATTGCTGGCATAAAAAACACAACTGTACTGTGTTTTGCTCTTGTACCCTGCAACTTTGCTGAATTAGTTTATTATTCTTAAAGGATATTGGCCTGTAGTCTTCTCTTCTTGTGGTGTCTTTATCTGGCCTTGGTATTGGTGTGGCCTCATAGAATGAGTTAGAATATGTTCCCTCTTATTCTGTTAATTTGGAATAGTTTGAGAAAGATTGATGTTAAATCTTTTTTATATGTTTGGTGGAATTCACGTGAAATCTGGTGCTGGACTTTTCTTTATGAGGATGTTGGTTACTGATTAAATATCTAGTTGTTATAGGTGTTTTCAGATTCTCTATTTATTCTCAAATCAGTTTTAGTAATTTGTATATTTCCATGAATTTATATTCATATAGGTTAGTATATAGAATTTGTTGGCATATAATTACTTATAGTATTATAATCCTTTTTATTCCTATAAGGTCAGTAGTTATGTCCCCAGCTTTCATTTCTGAATTTAGTTATTTGCATCTTCCCTCTTTTTTTCTTAGTCTAGCTAAAGCTTTATCAATTTCATTGATTTTTTTAAAGGAACAACTTTTGTTTCATTTATTTTCTTCATTATTTTTCTTGTCACTATTCTCTAATTTTTATTATTACTTTCTTCCTGTTAGCTTTGTCTTCAGTCTGCTCTTCATTTTCTAGTTCCTTAAGGTGGTAAGTTAGATTATTGATTTGTGATGTTGAACCAGCCTTGCATAGAAATAGAGGCATTTATGAGCTATAAATTTACCTCTGAACACCGCTTTTACTGTATTCCCTAAGTTTCTTTAATGCTATGTTTTTGTTTACTTTTATCTCTAAATATCTTCTAATCCTCCTTGTGGTTTCTTTTCTAGCATATTGATTGTTTCAGAGTGTGTAGTTTAATTTCTACATATTTGTGAACTTTTCTATTTTCCTTGTTACTGATTTCTAGCTTCATGAAGCTAGAACCATGTTTTATATGGTTGCAATCCTTTTAACCTTAATAAAACTTGTTTGGCGGCCTGACATATGGTCTATCCAGGAGAATGTTTCATGTACACTTGTGTATGTATTCTGCTAGAATTGTGTTTTTGTGCATGAAATAATGTACATGGGATTATAAAGGAAGCTATAATAATAGAATAGGAAATCTATATGAAATATAGTTATTAAAATATTTTAAAATGTGTAATATAGTAATATATGAGCTTTTTTATTTTATTTTATTATTATTATACTTTAAGTTTTAGGGTACATGTGCACAATGTGCAGGTTTGTTAAATATATATACATGTGCCATGTTGGTGTGCTGCACCCATTAACTCATCATTTAGCATTAGGTTTATCTCCTAATGCTATCCCTCCCCCCTCTCCTCACCCCACAACAGTCCCTGGAGTGCGATGTTCCCCTTCCTATGTCCATGTGTTCTCATCGTTCAATTTCCACCTATGAGTGAGAACAGGCAGTGTTCGGTTTTTTGTCCTTGCAATAGTTTGCTGAGAATGATGGTTTCCAATTTCATCCATGTCCCTACAAAGGACATGAACTTGTCATTTTTTATGGCTGCATAGTATGCCATGGTGTATATGTGCCACATTTTCCTAATCCAGTCTATCATTGTTGGACATTTGGGTTGGTTCCAAGTCTTTTGCTATTGTGAATAGTGCTGCAATAAACATACATGTGCATGTGTCTTTATAGCAGCATGATTTATAATCCTTTGGGTATATACCCAGTAATGGGATGGCTAGGTCAAATGGTATTTCTAGTTCTAGATCCCTGAGGAATCACCACACCGACTTCCATAATGGTTGAACTAGTTTAGTGTCCCACCAACAGTGTAAAAGTGTTCCTATTTCTCCACATCCTCTCCAGCACCTATTGTTTCCTGACTTTTTAATGATTGCCATTCTAACTGGTGTGAGATGGTATCTCATTGTGGTTTTGATTTGCATTTGTCTGATGGCCAGTGATGATGAGCATTTTTTCATGTGTTTTTTGGCTGCATAAATGTCTTCTTTTGAGAAGTGTCTGTTCATATCCTTCACCCACTTTTTGATGGGGTTGTTTGTTTGTTTCTTGTAAATTTGTTGGAGTTCATTGTAGATTCTGGATATTAGCCCTTTGTCAGATGAGTAGATTGCAAAAATTTTCTCCCATTCTGTAGGTTGCCTGTTCACTCTGATGGCAGTTTCTTTTGCTGTGCAGAAGCTCTTTAGTTTAATTAGATCCCATTTGTCAATTTTGGCTTTCGTTGCCTTTGCTTTTCGTGTTTTAGACATGAAGTCCTTGTCCATGCCTATGGCCTGAATGGCATTGCCTAGGTTTTCTTCTAGGGTTTTTATGGGTTTAGGTCTAGCATGTAAGTCTTTAATCCATCTTGAATTAATTTTTGTATAAGGTGTAAGGAAGGGATCCAGTTTCAGCTTTCTACATATGGCTAGCCAGTTTTCCCAGCACCATTTGTTAAATAGGGAATCCTTTCCCCATTGCTTGTTTTTGCCAGGTTTGTCAAAGATCAGATAGTTGTAGATATGTGGCATTATTTCTGAGGGCTCTGTTCTGTTCCATTGGTCTATATCTCTGTTTTGGTACCAGTACCATGCTATTTTGGTTACTGTAGCCTTGTAGTATAGTTTGAAGTCAGGTAGCGTGATGCTTCCAGCTTTGTTCTTTTGGCTTAGGATTGACTTGGTGACGCGGGCTCTTTTTTGGTTCCATATGAAGTTTAAAGTAGTTTTTTCCAATTCTGGGAAGAAAGTCATTGATAGCTTGATGGGGATGGCATTGAATCTATAAATTACCTTGGCAGTATGGCCATTTTCACGATATTGATTCTTCCTACCCATGAGCATGGAATATTCTTACATTTGTTTGTATCCTCTTTTAATTCATTGAGCAGTGGTTTGTAGTTCTCCTTGAAGAGGTCCTTCACATCCCTTGTAAGTTGGATTCCTAGGTATTTTATTTTCTTTGAAGCAATTGTGAATGGGAGTTTACTCATGATTTGGCTCTCTGTTTGTCTGTTATTGGTGCATAAGAATGCTTGTAATTTTTGCACATTGATTTTGTATCCTGAGACTTTGCTGAAGTTGCTTATCAGCTTATGGAGATTTTGGGCTGAGACAATGGGGTTTTCTAGATATACAATCATGTCATCTGCAAACAGGGACAATTTGACTTCCTCTTTTCCTAATTGTATACCCTTTATTTCCTTCTCCTGCCTGACTGCCCTGGCCAGCACTTTCAACACTATGTTGAATAGGAGTGGTGAGAGAGGGCATCCCTGTCTTGTGCCAGTTTTCAAAGGGAATGCTTCCAGTTTTTGCCCATTCAGTATGATATTGGCTGTGGGTTTGTCATAGATAGCTCTTATTATTTTGAGATACGTCCCATCAGTACCTAATTTATTGAGAGTTTTTAGCATGAAGGGTTGTTGAATTTTGTCAAAGGCCATTTCTGCATCTATTGAGATAATCATGTGGTTTTTGTCTTTGGTTCTGTTTATATGCTGGATTACATTTATTGATTTTCATATGTTGAACCAGCCTTGCATCCCAGGGATGACGCCCACTTGATCATGGTGGATAAGGTTTTTGATGTGCTGCTGGATTCAGTTTGCCAGTATTTTATTGAGGATTTTTGCATCAATGTTCTTCAAGGATATCGGTCTAAAATTCTCTTTTTTTGTTGTGTCTCTGCGAGGCTTTGGTATCAGGATGATGCTGGCCTCATAAAATGCGTTAGGGAGGATTCCCTCTTTTTCTATTGATTGGGAGAGTTTCAGAAGGAATGGTACCAGTTCCTCCTTTTACCTCTGGTAGAATTCGGCTGTGAATCCATCTGGTCCTGGACTCTTTTTGGTTGGTAAGCTATTGATTATTGCCACAATTTCAGAGCCTGTTATTGGTCTATTCAGAGATTCAACTTCTTCCTGGTTCAGTCTTGGGAGGGTGTATGTGTGGAGGAATTTATCCATTTCTTCTAGATTTTCTAGTTTATTTGCGTAGAGTTGTTTGTAGTATTCTCCGATGGTAGTTTGTATTTCTGTGGGATCGGTGGTGATATCCCCTTTATCATTTTTCATTGCGTCTATTTGATTCTTCTCTCTTTTTTTCTTTATTAGTCTTGCTAGCGGTCTATCAATTTTGTTGATCTTTTCAAAAAAACAGCTCCTGGATGCATTAATTTTTTGAAGGGTTTTTTGTGTCTCTATTTCCTTCAGTTCTGCTCCGATTTTAGTTATTTCTTGCCTTCTGCTAGTTTTTGAATGTGTTTGCTCTTGCTTTTCTAGTTCTTTTAATTGTGATGTTAGGGTGTCAATTTTGGATCTTTCCTGCTTTCTCTTGTGGGCATTTAGTGCTAGAAATTTCCCTCTACACACTGCTTTGAATGTGTCCCAGAGATTCTGGTATGTTGTGTCTTTGTTCTCGTTGGTTTCAAAGAACATCTTTATTTCTGCCTTCATTTCCTTATGTACCCAGTAGTCATTCAGGAGCAGGTTGTTCAGTTTCCATGTAGTTGAGCGGTTTTGAGTGAGTTTCTTAATTCTGAGTTCTAGTTTGATTGCACTGTGGTCTGAGAGACAGTTTGTTATAATTTCTGTTCTTTTACATATGCTGAGGAGTGCTTTACTTCCAACTATGTGGTCAGTTTTGGAATAGGTGTGGTGTGGTGCTGAAAAGAATGTATATTCTATTGATTTGGGGTGGAGAGTTCTGTAGATGTCTATTAGGTCCGCTTGGTGCAGAGCCGAGTTCAATTCCTGGGTATCCTTGTTAAATTTCTGTGTCATTGATCTGTCTAATGTTGACAGTGGGGTGTTAAAGTCTCCCATTATTGTTGTGTGGGACTCTAAGGACTTGCTTTATGAATCTGGGTGCTCCTGTATTGGGTGCATATATATTTAGGATAGTTAGCTCTTCTTGTTGAATTGATCCCTTTACCATTATGTAATGGCCTTCTTTGTCTCTTTTGATCTTTGTTGATTTAAAGTCTGTTTTATCAGAGACTAGGATTGCAACCCCTGCCTTTTTTTGTTTTCCATTTGCTTGGTAGATCTTCCTCCATCCCTATGATTGTTCCTTTGGAAGTTTTGTCTCAGAGGAGTACCTGGCCGTGTGAGGTGTCAGTGTGCCCCTACTGAGGGGTGCCTCCCAGTTAGGCTGCTCAGGGCTCAGAGACCCACTTGAGGAGGCAGTCTGCCCATTCTCAGATCTCCAGCTGCGTGCTGGGAGAACCGCTACTCTCTTCAAAGCTGTCAGACAGGGACATTTAAGTCTGCAGAGGTTACTGCTGTCTTTTTGTTTGTCTGTGCCCTGCCCCCAGAGGTGGAGCCTACAGAGGCAGGAAGGCCTCCTTGAGCTGTGTTGGGCTCCACCCAGTTCGAGCTTCCAGGCTGCTTTGTTTACCTCATCGAGCCTGGGCAATGGCAGGCACCCCTCCCCCAGCCTCGCTGCCACCTTGCAGTTTGATCTCAGACTGCTGTGCTAGCAATCAGCAAAACTCCATGGGCATGGGACCCTCCGAGCCATGTGCGGGATATAATCTCCTGGTGTGCCATTTTTTAAGCCTATTGGAAAAGCGCAGTATTAGGGTGGGAGTGACCAGATTTTCCAGGTGCCATCTGTCACCCCTTTCTTTGACTAGGAAAGGGAACTCCCTGACCCCTTGCACTTCCCAAGTGAGGCAATGCCTCACCCTGCTTCAGCTCACGCACGATGCACTAAACCCACTTTCCTGCACCCACTGTCTGGCACTCCCTAGTGAGATGAACCCGGTACCTTAGATGGAAATGCAGAAATCACCCATCTTCTGTGTCGCTCACACTGGGAGCTGTAGACTGGAGCTGTTCCTATTTGGCCATCTTGGCTCCACCACAATATATGAGCATTTAAATTAAAATTTGAAATAAGCTACCATAATCCTAAAGTAGTAATATGGATAAATAATATTTCAAGATTCCTGCATAACCTAAGGTGCCATGAAAATATCTATAATTTCCGCTGGTAATAGTCATAAGTACTACTAATACTACTGTGGTATTATTGGTATTAACAAAAATAAAGATGTGATTGTTTTACCCACCTAAGCTCATAGATATACTGTACTCTATCCTCAGATTATCTGGTGGTCTAAAGAACCTAGATTAAGAGCTCTTGTTTAATGATTTGTCCTTCAGTTTGAAAAACATTGTTCTAAGCCATCAGATAAATAAATAGTTTTTCTAAGTTAAAGGAGGGAGAATGAGTAACCTCTTATAGCCTATCAGAAGTCATCTCCACCCTGGAAAAGAGACTGATTGTCCCCTCCTGGTGGCATCTTGGGCCCAAACTGGTATCAAACAATGTGAGTTCATCCTCATGTCTGAAGACCATCCTGATGGAAGGAAGAAGCTGGAATCTTGCCTCGGCTGCTGATGTCATTGTTTATGCTAAGAATATTGCTTTAGGGATAAACCCTTAGGCATTTTGTAAGACTAGAAGAGAAAGTCTCATTGCTGAGGCTTAATTAGTATTTGTGAAACACCAAGAGGTCTCTGTAGAAATGGCCTTGGGTAACAGCAAATTAGTATTTTTAATTATTATCATTAAAAATGAATATTTACAAGAAATTGGGCTGAAGGCCATCTGGCCCAAACACGTTCCTAAGGGAGGCCATAAGCACTAAAGGAGGGAGGCAGGAGCATGGTGCAGAATGGATGGAACTATTTATAGCTTTTCAAGGCTTTTGTTTAGGTCATCAACTAGAAAGGGCATTTAAAAGTTAAGCTAAGCACCAAGAGACCCAATGGAAAGAATAAGTAAATATTGTTTGTTTTTAATTTTTGAGAAACATCTTCATATTTTGACATTAAAATGTGACAATATATATTTCTTCCTTTTCCTCATGTATATATTCTTCACTGTTTCTCTTAATTGAAAGAAACAAAGCAAACATTTAGTCATAATTCTATTTATATGCAGCCTTGGCAGGTCATTTTATTTCAGGGGCTCTGTGTGAGTATTTCCTCCTTAGCTACTTGCTTGGTATTGTATTGATGAAAGAATTAATATTTGAAAGGTTTTGTAGTATTTGAATTCTTTTAAAGTATAACTAATTTGTCATTTCTGTAATTCAATATAATGTATTAAATATAGGATTGAATATTCAGGTATTAATTTTACTATTCAGATCATTTATTTTATCAAAATTTTAAAACTGTGGCTGAATGTGGTGGCGCCTGTAATCCTAACTACTAGGAGGCAGAGGTGGGAGGATCACTTAAGTCCAGGAGTTGGAGGTTACAGTGAGCTGTGATTGCACCACTGCACTGCAGCCTGGGTGATAGGGCAAGTCTCTGTCTCTAAAATAGAGAAATAATCTTTAAAAATAATTTATTAATTATAAAATATAAAAGCAAATCAAAGTTTTGTTGATTCAATATATTAATGAAATGATATATTGAATATTGCTCTTTATTCAGAGAAAAGAATATGTGCTACTTGATGACAGTGACAGTTCAGTGAAAGAGGCATCTCTCCTACTTTACATTAGGTATGTAAATTGGTACATCATCTTTGAAAAGTAATTTGCAATATAACTCAAGGGCTTTAAAATAGTCATACCACTAAACTTCATAATACTGCTTCTGAGAATGTATCCCTCCAAAAACTCTAAATACAGAAAAATCCTTCTTTGCAAATATATTTACTACAGCATTATTTATTAAATAAAAGAGTGAAACAATCTAAGTATTTCATAATAGAGGTCTGGTTATATAAAGGATATAATATTGATTTAGACATTAAAATAATATGTTATCAGAGTTTTAATAACATGAAAAATATTCAAGAAATTATGTATTACATAACAAGTTTACAGTATATAACAAGGCTTGTAACACAGTGGTAAAAGCGTAAGTTTCTTAGCTGTGTCCTTGGTCAGATTATTTCCCCTGTGTCTCAGTTTCCTTATACGTGAAATGGAAATGATATTCCATTCCCTGAAAGAAAATGGAAAAATAAATAAATATAAAATGGAAATGATGGACTGTAAAATGACAGTACTTACTTTGTATAATTACCATGAAAATTAGGAGTTAGTGTATGTCAATTGCTTAAAAGGTACCTGATACTAAGTAAGTGCTCCGTAGATGCTAGATGCTGTTATTATCATCATCTACTGCAGGGTTGTCACAACAGGCTCAGGAAAAGAAACCAGCAGACACTGGCAAAGAATACACGTTCTTTAATGTAGACAAAAGATGCCACTTACTGCACAGAGATGGTTCTGCTAGGAAAGGGACACAGAAGTACTCTCAGTTGGAGGACCAAGCTTCTAGTGCCTTCTCCCTCCACAGGGGAACCCTGCTCCGTAGATGCCACAGATAGTGTGAAGAACCACCAGGTCATTCAGCAGCCTGGTGAACCCTCCTGGCACCTCCCGGCTCTTCTCCTCACTCAGCCAGGGCCTGCTGGCTCACCAGTTGCAACACTGGTGGCAATCCCAGCATACCCTAAGTGATCACCAGGAGATGAAAAACCAAATTTAGGTCAGTTTTCCAGACTTTAGGGTTTTGGAGTTTATCCCTACAATTGCTTGTTAGGTGAAAAAAACAGGATCCAAAATTAGGATATAAAATATCATCACAAATATTCTATAAGAAATAATCCTGAATAGAAACCAAGAATCAAATTAAGGAAGCCAAAATATACCCAGATGTTGCTTTGGGGTAGTAAAACCATGGGTGATTAATTTTGTTCTTTTTCAAATTTTCTGTTTTCCAAAATTCTATAATTCAAATTCACTATTTTATAAACAAAAATGTAAACTAACAAGTAATAATGGTGGTGAGGATTTTCTACATCATGTGTGATCGCTCTCTTTTTTTGGCTTCACTTCAGATATAGTGTTTTTCATGGGGAATCTCTGTAACAGGCTGGTAAGATACAGCCAAGGCAAATTTGATCACTATCAGTATAAATTAGGAAATGCAGTTGAAACTATCAGAAACACCTGATTAAACCTGAATAACAAATAGAATTTATTAGTAATTAACCCAGTATTGGGGCTGTTTTCAGGGTGAAGGTTAATTCAACAGTATAATAATGTCAGTAAGAAACCCTTTCTCCCCCACCCTCCCTCCCTCCTTTTCTTTCTTCCTTCCTCTTATTCTTTCTTTCTTTCTTTGGTTTTCTTGTTCTTTCCATCTCTGCATCTGTAAGGTTGGTTTTATCCTAAGGCTGCCTCCTCTATGTTTGTCAGCAGCACCAAGGCTACAGGTCTTCTCATTCACACATACACAAATATCCTGTTGGGAGCAACTTAGGTCCGATGGTCATTCCTGAATCAATTACTTTGGCTCAGAGAATGCCATACACTAATGGCTTAGGCTTGAATTTCAGGCTCATTTCTGAATCCATTACTGTACTAAAAGAGGTAGGATTTTCCTTATCAGTGCTGAGTGTAGCCCCATTTCTAAATGTTTAAAAACAATAAACAAATATAAAAGGTAAAGAGCTTAAACACAATTCTCAGAGTTCTCTTTTTCCCTTTTCCTCCTTCTGCTCTTCCTTGGGATTCAGTTTCTTTCTGGGGGGATAGGTACTAATGTATACTGCTATCCTCTGGAAAGGATGTAACATCTGTGTCATCTGTGCTCACTGACCTCCATACAGACACAGCCTATCCCATCTAGTCCCATCTCTGGGCACTGGCAACCACTGCTTATAGCTCTAGTCTCACCCAGTGCCTCCAGCCATGTGGTCCTTGTAATCTGTTGCAACTTCAGGTCCTTTGAGTCTTCCAGTTTATCCTCAGCCACTTCTGTGCTCCTTTGAGGAGGCCATGGCAACCCAGTTAGGTTCTGTGGGACTTTGTGAAGATATCTCCAGGTCTATCTACCCAGTCATCTACCACCCTCAGTCATTACTCCCTACACACAGGGTCATGTTGAAAATAACTTCCAGTATCAGATGCTGGTTACCTGTTTATTCAGAAGTCATCTCCAACCTGGAAAAGAGACTTTCTGGGGCTATGCCCCAGAAAGCCTGGTGGTGATTCTTCCAAAAATGGTGTTTTTTTTTCCACTCCTCCCAGATACTCAGCCCTCCTACCCTCTTCATAGTCAGACGCTCCTTTCCCTTCTTACAAAACCATGAATTCTCTAATATTTTATTTTTGGGAAAACTGTATGACCTCTTCCTTCAGGTTTTGGCTCTTGGTTTCCAAGCCAAGTTTTGAAAATTCCCCAAATTCTCACCTCTTTCATAAAAGTGACTTTCAAGATTATTGCCTCTACTATATGTTTTTAAAAGTCTGCTTTGGAGTTAAAAGCATGGAAATCAACTCTTTGTTCTCAGTGAGTGCTTTTCTGTTTTTTTCTTTCCAGGGACAACAGTCTCAGCCTCCAGACCTTGTTTTAATTACAGAACGGCTTTAGAGTGAAATCATAATTAAAGCAATTACATTGGAGAATATTTCAAAACATTGTCTTGCTACCATAATAAATGTCAAGAATGATGCAGACATTAAACACTATAGAGATCTAAGGAAAAGATAGATTAAGTTATAGCAATGGAAGATCAGATATGATTCATAAATGTAGTGAGACCAGATAATTCTTAAAGAATAAGTAGAAGTTTGATAAGAAGAAGAAAAGGAAAAGAGAAATGGAGTTGTTCTCAGTTATTTGCTTTTGTTGTAATGGATTATATTGTAGAATATTTTCTCTGATGAGCTGCTCCTTTAGCAAAGCTCTGACAGGAGTGTATCCACATATTTTTAAAGAATAAATGTTGATTACAAATATCATTTCCCTTAAGAGGGTACTTCATGTAATTCTCATCAACTTCAGAAAATACTTTAAAAGCACATATTTTCTGCTCTAAGGTCAATGAACTGTCCTGAATTTTAGCGCTATCCCACATGACTGTGTTGGACTGGATCAGTGCCTCTCAAAATGGGGGATCACAAGAGTTTTATTTAATTTTCCTTTAGATCATGGTGTAAAAATACAAGCGAAAGCTGAAATTTATTATTTTTAGTAATAACTTTTTTGGAAAATCTTTTCCGAAAAGTAAAGTTTCCTTTATTAAATATTTTTTTTTTAATTTTACTTTGTTTTCTAACTGGGACCTATAGACTGTTCTTGAGAGTCCTTACATTACTATGTAAATAACGTCTCCAATAGCACTGTTTTCTTCCAGGAGTGATTCTTGCTGATTCCTAAAGTTTGAATTGCAGATTTACTGTTTATTAGCTCTGTAACCTTGGACTTTTATTTAATCTTTGTCTTTGTATCCTTTTCTGTAAAAGGGGAATGAAAAACTTTATCTCACTATGTCTTGTGAGGATTAAATAAAGAAAATTAATTAAAACCTGATAGCTACCTTCATTCTGGTTAGAATTATTATTTGATAACATAAATGTCCATATTGTCATTTCTGTCATCGCATGCCTCCCGAGCGCATGTTTCTTGGGTCTTTTCTCTGTATACAAAAAGCTCTCTTGTAATCTATTTCTGCCCTAATGCTGGTGCCATGAAACACCCTTTTAGTGTCTGTATCTGGGCTTGCCATTCTCCCCTTCTCCCTGGTAGTCACCTTTCCAGGAGGTGGGAACTGTTTCCAGCTACCCACTCATATCTGCACTGAGGCTCGGGGAACAAGCCAGCGTGGGAGCCAAACTAATATAACTTGCCCCATTGGCTCCAGACAGCACTTCTGCCAGACAGGAGTCTGAGTCCTGGGTAGCCTTTTGGCTGAGGAGTTATTCAATAAAAACTTACAGAAGACTGTAGGATTAGTCTACTCAGCACTGGACAGATTTGAGCCCATAGAGTAAGACAGGTTTTATGCTGTGGCAAAACTACATTTGCTTATTTGACTAAAGCAGTGTAACAGCTGAGGTTTGTTAAGTGACCAGGAAATGTAAAACACTTTACTTATGTTATCTCTAATACCCCTTCAAAAAAAATCCTTGCGAGATATGAATTACTATCCTTATTTTAGATTTGAAAATGCTGATGCTTGGCATTCAATGGCACCAAACAAAACTACTGTCCGTATCTGTCAAACTTGAGGAATAGTCTATTTCTACCATTTTGTTCTACCTTCCTAAAAACTGGAAAGTATCTATTAGAACTACTTCAGATAGAGGGTAGGCTGCTGATCAAAAGTACTCTTAGCTGGGTTGCTGATCTCACCTACCTTATCCTTCTTTTTGTACTGTTGAACTTAGAATCATGCTTGACTTTGCATAGTTACTAACAGTACATTTGTAAATAATTTATGTTTCCACCTACAAGATAAATTCCTTGGGGATTGAGGTCTTGTGTATATTTCTACCGTGGCTAGCACAATACAATGAACATTTATTTGTTCATTCCAAAGACATTTATTTAGGACCTACTATATTCAAGGTATTGTATTAGATAGATGCTACTGCAGACAAAATATAAAGGCACAAGGTATCTAATCATAAGGAAATTCTCCATCTAGTAGGAGAGCTACCTGGAATAACAGTTATAATGGAAGAAACTGAAGAAAATGATAGGTATTAGGGTTTTGGAAGTAATTAGAAAAATGACAATGGGTGGTTGGCAAAAGAAAGAAAGGCAAAATAAAGAGCAAAATTTTATTTTATTTAACACTGCATCCCTCTTAGAGAAATAAAAATTAAAGGAGATTTTTCCTAGGTCTTGTGATTCTACCCTTGAATTTGAGAGTTCTGAGGCAGTTAGAAGTAGAGCATTCTGGAGGGTTTGGTGCCTTCTGGCATGAGATCATTGCAAACAGTTTACAACCAGGCCTGGGTTTAGAACAAGGTTTCTCTGAAGTGCCTCAATCATATAGCTGCCATAAGACGGCTGAATAAAGTACCCAAGCAGGTGTTACTCTGCATTTCAGGGCCATACTGGTTGTACTTAGGAGAGAGATAACACAAGCCTCTATGGAATTTCAAATGTGAGAGAGAAAACTTCTGGTTGGAAAGGACCAGAAGAGGCTCCATAGACAGGAATATGCAGGCAGATAGAACAATCTTAGCAAAGCCCAGAGGCAGTAAACTTCGATATACGTCGATGTACTGAAAACATTTTGCCAGGAAGACAATTCAATTTGGCATTCTGGCCATTGAGCAAGTTGACTTTGGAAAATTGGCCTGCTTCTGAAAGCAGGGATAAATATACGTCTTGGGACAAATATAAAAAGGGAGAAGAAATCAGTATACCATATTTATTGCTTTCCTACTTGGTATCAGACACTCTACTTCGCGTTTTATATGTATTATTTCACCTTTTCAGCAAGGCTTTATGATAGGTATTCATTATACTAATTTTTAGATGAGAAATGCTGAACATCACAGTCAGTGTGTAAAGGTGTTGCCCAAGATCTCAGTTACTTAGCTGAAGGGCTGTGATTGGAACACAGATTTACTTGGCTTTAACTCTCTGTAGTTTCTGCTTTAATACACAGCCCAAGTTTGTGTTGAAGTAGGAAGACTTTATGAAGGGAAATTGGTGAAAATTGGTTTATAAAGGCACGCAGAGGCCAGAGCTTGCACGCCAAACCAAAGAGCTTGAACCTGACAGCTCGGAACCACTGATTCACTGGAAGAAAGAGAATGACAGTACATTATTTGGGCTTTTTGAAAATAAATCTTATAATCTTGTGCATAGGGTTAAGGAGACTACATAAAAACTCATTGCAGTAGGTCCAGTAGCAATAAAAATATACTTAATAACTTAAGTTGCAATGCAAATAGTAGAATAAAACAGATTTGAGAGAGGTAGAATGGCAAGACAATAGAAATTAGGGATTGATAGGTGGTAGGGCACTAGAAAAAGGAATGAGATTGTAATGAAAGCATAACTACTGAGGAAGTTTGGAAGTTATTATAGAGTAGATTCAGAAGGAAGGATGATATATTTCTGACATATAGAATTTCTGGAATCAATTCTATACACAGCAGAGATGTCCTCTTGGCAGGTGGAAATTTGTGACTTGCCCTTGGAAAAAGTTTGGGCTGGGATATAATTTAGGAGTCATTTACATAAAAAGAAATTAACTGTTATATACTTTATTTTGAATAAAATTACTTAGAGAGGGAAAGTGTAGTTAGAAAATAGAGTTAGACTAAGCTCTGCCCACTGGAAGAATTTCCCTTCATTACTGTTCTTTAGGGCTACTCCTGGTGGGAGGGATATAGACAGTAGCAACCTATTTTCAGCTAGAGCCAACATAGCGGGCCAACCCATCTGGGAAACAGGTTTGAGGTTTTTTTCCTCCATCAGCTGGCTATAAGACAGTTTTTACGAGGCCATAGTTGTAAATTATTGGAGGAGAGTTGGTGCAAAAAAGGTAGGTGTCATGGGAGTCTGGGCCATCTTATCATGCAACTTCTTTAGGCCTTTTGGCCCCACTCAGACTAAATGTGAATGTACCATTTTTGCAGTGCAGTTGATTGCTACTGAGCCTACCCACCCTTATGATTTGGCGAATCTTATAATATCCAGCTCATGATGGGAACTTGGATCACACAGTCACTTGATGGTCCATCATCAAGTGCTTCATCTTGACCAGGGCAGACTAGCGTGCTGGAAGCTGTTTATCAAATGGCAAGTAGTTCTCTGCCTCAAAAGGTGTGGCCTTACTCCAGAATCCTAAGGGTCTGTGCTGCAATTCTCTTCTGGGGCTGAGACTCCACATAGCATCCTTAGCCCTAATAGTAGAACTCTTGCCAGAATGGCAGACAGCTTGTACCATAACCTGAACCTGAAGCAGAACCCCTTCTTCCATGGAACCCCCTCAAAATTGAGAACTTTTCAAGTCTTCAGAAAGATAGGTCAGAGAGATTTTCCCAAGTAGTGTACATGTTACCTTCAAAATCCAATGATATCTACCAAGTGCTGTGCTTGCTTTTGAGTGTTAAGGGTTTTGAGTTGCAACACTTTGTCTTCTGCCTTGGAGAGGATGACTCTGCCTGCCATTTGACCACTGGGCCTCTAAAGTATTTGCCAAAATAACAGATTGCTGATTTTTTTTAAGATTATATCAGTCAGCGTCTAATCGCAAGATGGAAACCACACAATAATTTGAACAGGGAAAGTTTAATATTAGAAATTCTTAACTATAATAGGAGACTATAAAGATTTAAACAGAACTCTAGAGGATAGCCTAACGTTGAAGGAAAATATGCAAGGGAAAAATAATCGTGTTTGGTAGGGGCAGGGGGTAGTCTCCTCAGCAAGGCTGGGATTCAAATTCTCAGAAAAGGTGCAGTTAGTTGCAGCTTCCTGGATGGTAAAGAAATTCACTGGTTTGCCTAGGCCAGAGATGGCCTACGATCTCTGAACAAACAGGAGATACCTCTCTGGAATGCAGGCAGGCCAAGGCAGGCTGGTGGGTGGGCTCACATAGAGTGTTAGGCTCAGGAGCCTGCTTAACATGGAGTGGGGGTTCCTTCCTTGGGATGTATGTTATCTCTGTGTTGGGGTACCAAGAGAAATAAACCTCCAGGCTGTGGATGGGTCAAGGGAGTCAGGGCATCAGGAGCTTGCTCACCTTCAGGGTAGCACAGAGCCTGAGGATCTGTATATACATCCAGAGGGCCTCAGCCAGATGGTCTCTGGGCCACGGCTAGGGCTGAGGCTGCAAGTTCCCAAAGGGATTGTGGGTACTGGGGGTGCTGCTATGGCAAGGCACTGCTGGATGTCCACACATACATACACACACACTCTCTTCTGCTAGTTGCACAGTAGGAACAAAAAGAAGCAAAACAGCAGCACAACTGGACCAGGAAGAGAAACCCCTTTCTCCTGAAATGTCCCTCCAGTGCCCTCTATTGACAAAGATTAACATGCTCACTGCAAAGGAGAGATTCTTAAATGTTTCCAGTCCACTACCAGAAAATAGGTTTATAGGTCTAAAAGGGCAGATAAAGCAATATACTTGTAAGTGACAGAGGGATTAAACACTACCCTGTGGCATGCATATTTTTTATTAGGGTAATTTTTGTTTTCTGATCATCAGGTCTAATAACATGATGTCATCAACTGTAGTGAAACAGCATAATATTCTTTGGTATGTCAAGGTGATCAAGGTTTCTATAGATTGCATTATGACAGAGAGAAGTAGAGTTGTCATAGCCCTGGAGCAACACTGTGAATTTGAACTGGTATCTTTACTGCATAAAAGCAAACTGCTTTTGATTTCCTTTACTGATGGTGATTAAGAAAGACACATTTGCCAGCTATATAGCATTCACCAGATCTGCCTGCCAAGTGCCACAGTCTATGTTGATCTCTCCAATAAGGATAGCACATTCAGCACAGCAGCTGTGACTGGGGCTACTACTTGGTTAACTTTATAGGTGCCCACTATCATGTATCATGCTGTATCTGGTTTTGCAGAGGCCAAACAGATAAATTGAATTAAAGTCCCTGGTAGTGATACTAATCTCTGCAATTCTGGAACATGACATTGTTTCTAATTTGCTATGTAATTGGAGGTGGGGTGGTTATAAGGCTCTCATTTGGCTCTTTCTACAAAAATGATTCATGCTTTACTGGTCAGAGAACAAAAGTAAGAGTTCTGCTAGATACTAATGATATGTAGCTCAATTATACTTTTAGGGACCAGGAAAATAACCACAGGATGGGTCTGAGGACCTGATGGAAATGTATTTAGGGCAGAAGTACCTTTACTACCCACCTTTCATCAGTTCACACTTAAATTTTTTTTTTTTCTTTTTTTTTTTTTTTTTTGAGACCAAGTCTCGCTCTGTCACCCAGGCTGGAGTGCAGTGGCACGATCTCAGCTCACTGCAACTTCCGCCTCCCAGATTCAAGTGACTCTTCTGCCTCAGCCTCCTGAGAAGCTGGAACTACAGGCACACACCATCATTCCCAGCTAAGTTTTTGTATTTTTTTAGTAGAGACGAGGTGTTGCCATGTTAGCCAGGCTGGTCTTGAACTCCTGACCTCAGGTGATCCACCCACCTTGGCCTCCCAAAGTGCTGGGATTACAGGTATGAGCCACTTTAATAAAGGGGCTTTAATAAAGGGGCTGTGATCATGTTTTGGTTCCCCTAGTATCAGTGTTAGACCCTGTGTTCCATAGTCCTTGCAAAGTCTATATATTATCTTTGACCCAGTGCAGTTATCTGTAAGTGGCTTTAGGTGTTTTCAAGAAAGGATAATAAGAATATTTATTTACACATTTATGGTGTCATTGGGTTATCTCAAGTTCTCCCAGCCTCCTCATCAGTCAGTGGGTTCTCAGTCTGTGAACTAACTTAGATCTGGAGACTGAATGAGGAATCCTGATTTATTGCATTGCAGCAACTGACATTATCATTCTGCTCACCAACTCCTGGTTTAAAAGAAATAAGCAACACACTAATTATGTATGTTTATATATGTATTGCTCCTAGTAATGCTAGGTCCTGTGGGTCTGATTGCTACGCCGGTCTGGCCTTCTTGCCTGTTCTGATAATTTTGTCAACCTTTCCTCTGATGCTTAAATGCCACCCACCTTACTTTTGCCATTCTAGAATCATAGCCTCATTGATACTGTAAAACCCAGTGCCATGGTCACATCTCTTATAGTAAACTGTGTCCTATAGGAGACAACTCTCACTGTGGTCTCAAAGATGTCAGTATTCTCTTACCAGTGTATTCCTGATTACCTTAATGAAAGGACAATTATCTAGACCTTTCTGGAAATAGTCAGGGGTGAGTTCTCTGATCGTATATAATAAATTCATTCTAACATTTCTACCTCCTCAAGCCATCTACCCTCAGTAATCTGCCAAGACAGTTTTAGCATCTCCACCTTATTTAATATTGGCCATCATTGAGGCCAAGCTTCAATGAACCATCCAGCAGCATATTAGGACTGGATCCATGGGTGCCTGCCAGGACTTTGAACATCAGCTTAATTCCTCCTTATACTTCCTATTCAGCTTGATTCCTCCCCATACCCCAATCAAAAATCCTCATGATCCACTCCTATACATAATCTACTCATTCCTCCTGATACACACACACATACACATATATATGTATATGTGCATATGTCAGCCAGTCCCTTTGTTGTATAAATTATTTACTCCCGAGAAGAAACTATGTTTTTCCTATCAGGCTTTGCTGAAGTTTCTCCTATCTAGCTCATGTCAATTTATCACAGCTGAGAACAATTGTGATGCCACCACATGCTGGGGATTACCACCACCCACTGACCATCAACAATGGGATCTGCATTGCTATTTGACTGGTAGGGGATCTAGCTCCAAAAGCCCATTGTCATATCTTTGTACAGCCAATCCTGATACCTGCTGTTTTATCCTTGGTCTCCCTTAAAGTCAGCTTGAGATGAAGCCTTGTATAAGAGCAGTTTAATTTGGAAGTGATTCTAAAGAGTGGGAATGAAGGAGTTGGGAAGTGAAGCAGAGAAGAAGAGAGACTATACAATATTGCATTATCAAGTTGGCCATGTTGCAGGTGACTGATGCTTGATCCTGTATTTGTCAAAAGTAGCCTCACGGTCATTTATTCTCTTGAACTTCTAGGTTACATATGTGTATCAAGCATGTTACCACACCTCAGTATCAGAGAACCACTAGAACAGGAAGCAATAGCACACAGTTCAGGTTGAGATACTGTCATAGCATGTGTGAAGCTGGCCAAAGCCAGTATGGAATGGGTGGTAATGGTAATGAGTATAGTGAGAGTTGGAGCTGAAAGATGCTAAGTGTTGCATAATAGTTGTGCAACTCACCAAGAGAGCCCGCAGCTAATGGCTCACACCAGGATGGATGGACAGATGGATGGATTAGGACTAAATGAAAAATTTAAAAATCCCTATTTCTCTGTTTCAAGTCTTGATTTATAAAACCAAAATATTATGCTACATTATTCCTTTCTGAAGAGAAGAGTGAAATTTTGCTAATAATTATAATGTATAGAAAACTTATTTTCGTGTTCTAACAACTCTCTGTCAAAGGAATTGGTTATTGTACAGCTTTATTTACTCCGTGACTCAAAATTATTAAAGAAATTGGAATGTTTAATTCTAACACTTGATTTTGGCCTGAAGGAGCTGAAAATTAAATTAATCTTACTGTCTGATTTATATTCTTATCACTAGTGAACTAGCTGCAGATCTATTTAATTTGAAGACTGTTAGCAATTATATTTATTCACTTATGTCTATTTGAAAGCTTGCATATTACCTTTTAAATGCTTCATATGGGCCAACAGTTTTACCCAAGGCAGACAAAATTGGGACAGTATTTTTCAGAGGTAAATAGCGATTCAAAATTAGATTCAAGGTCCGTAACATAACTAGGCTCAATTATCAAGGCCAATTCCAGCATTCAGCTTTATTGCTCACGGGAAGCAGGCTCACACAACAGCAGGTTTTTTAGACTGGATTTTCCTCACAAATTATATATTACCCTGTAAGAAACCAGCATGTAAATTACAAAGCTCATGCCCTGAGTCCAAATTGCTTTGTGTATATGGTGAGTTTAATGTATTTTCCTCAAATATTAGGAGACATGAGGCAACAATTGTTTAGATCATTCCTCTATAGGAAAGGCAGGCAAGTGACACTACAGGCCTGTGGATGTAATGAAGACAAAGGCAGATAAAGTCATTAATTCATTTGTCAGAGAGACCCACTGGGGACCTATCATTCATGCCAGGCTAGGTGCTAACAGGGATATGGAAAGTGGGGAAGAACTAGCTATCTAGGAGAGTCAACCATAAAACACACAGACAGGTGTAATATGAGTATGATGAATGCCATAGTGGAGTGCAAAGTGACTCCTGGCTCAAAGAGTGAAAAGAAAATATGAACAGGTACAGGTGTGACATTGGGAATGGGTTTACAGATAGTCTAGAGTCCAAACTGAACCCTGAAGGGATAGGTTGGATTTTGAAAGACGAAAATAGAGGTGGAATGGCAACAGGTGGAGAGAACAACTCTGCTGTCCTTCAGGTTTCAACCCAAATGCAGTTTATTTCACAAAAGACTTTCCTTACTCCTCTCAAGTTGCAGGACCTAACCCTTCTTAAAACTTTTTGTGCCTCTTCTCTAGCACATACAATTTACTGTCATAGGTTATTGTTCCATGCATATCATAGTGCAAATTTTACAAATTCATATTCTCTTCACCTTGTGAGATTCTTTTTCACCAGTGAAATCCTTCTTTCCACCTCTTGCCAAAGTGCCCTTCTGTGTTTGCATACCAACACAAGAGAGAAAGAAGAGAGAGAGGGAGAGACCACGAGAGAGATGGAGCCACCATGATGCACAGAAACCACAGTGCTCCCGCCCCAGTACTCCACATGGTTAATGGAGTGACCAACACAAACACAAGGCTGCCTTTCAGAGATGCCTTTGTGAAAGAGCAGGTTAGCAGTGCAGAAGTAATACATTTAATTTCCTTTTCTCTATTGAAAAAAATTAAACACATTAAAGTGAGGACCAGATAAACTAAAAGTATCTGATACTTGAATAATAAACACAGGATAGCTCAATATTTGTAGAATGTGTCATTTTCTTAGAAACACAGTTCTGGGGGACTGTGCAGGATCCCCACTGAAGTACTCCAAAGGTTAATTTTTTTTCAAATGACCATTTTTAAAATATGTTCAGAGAAAACTGGGAACTTATGAACAGAGAGATAGGACATAGGAACTGTGACTGTATTAGACAGGAATATTTCGTAATTTATAAGTTCTTAGGAAGGTGACACTTGGTATGAAAATGGCCAGATAAAATTGCACTTTCCTGTGTATTAAGCACAGTTGGAAGCTGAGGGCAAAGTGGGCCATATGAAATGGGAGTCTGTTCAATTCTGTTCCATGTGTCTAGTAAAATGTTCTGTTTTTAAAAAGCAAAACTCATTTCCCTTTCTCTGGGAGCGAGTGTGTACCAGGAAATGAGGTACAGCACTATCTAAGGTACAATATATCATGATGATTTGAGTTTATTCATCAAAGTCTACCCTCTTTTGCTGCCTCTTGACAGTTTCCTGCCTCATACAAGCCTAGAAATGGACAATTTCTGGTGGGAGAATCTAGTTTTCTGCAAATTTGGGCAGTGACTTGGTGAGATAAGCTTATATTAACATGAAACCTAAGTGAACTTTGTTTAAGCTGACCTTGCGTCTCTTTGCATCAAGCATGTATATATATATTTTTAATATTAGGTGTTGGTAAATTTCCTCCTAAAAAGATAATGGCACTGGCTCAAAGTGACTTAGTCCAGACATATTTCTCATATTTGAAGAAAGAGGTAAAAATGTAAATAAAATAGTCTTTCATTTACTGTCTCATTTGTGTTGATGAAGCTACTCTTTAGATTCTGGAAATTAAAGTGATTCTACTAGCAATGACTACTTTATAAAATAAGAAGCTCAATAGTTTAGTAGCCACAACCATGGATGTGGAACCTATTCAGCAAACGGCTGCATTTGGCGACTTCCCCTTGGCAGAGTCTTTTTCCTTTATAGTTGGATGAAATTATAATTCTCCTTTTAAAAAATGTATTTTCACTGTTTTTGGCAGGCTCCCTCTCTCTCAGAAAATTATTCTCATGTCATCTCTTTCTACTTTGTGCCTTGCATTGATCTGAAGATTTCTCTTTTCAGTTGCTTTGGTTTTATCAAGCTTTTTGTGCAGGCTACCTAGCACAGAGCTAGGTGCCATTTACCTAGCCATTTACTAGATGCTCAGTTTATTACTGTTGTAACTAATAAGGTCTTTCTGCATAGATTAGAGATGAATCTTTGGTTTCAATTTCAGTACATTCAATTTGGGTTTTCAAGTTCTTGCTTTGCCACCTTCTGTATTTGAAAGATTGGACCAGTTACAATTTCTCTGAGCCTCAGTTCCTCATCTATAAATGAGAAAACTCATGCTATCTCATGTGGCGCCATGAGGCCTAATAAAATGAGGAATGCAATAATGCTTTGGATTCTGAAAGTGCAGTACACACAGTAGCTATTAATATGGAAAGAAAATCCAAACCTCACTATGAATTATTTACCTGTTATCCACTTCTTTTCATATCAGTGAATCAGGGATCTACCTCTAGTGAGTGGATAGAATGAATGGAAAGAAAGCTCTTAGAAGACATGGTAAGAGAAATCTCTCTGGCTTTCAGAGCCTCCTGGTGAGTAGGGCCATTGTAATGCTAATTCACAAGAGGGGTGCTGCCCCAGCTCTCTTCTTGCTTCTTGGCGTGAGTTTTTGGAACAATCTCTTTTCTTCCTGCTGCTGGCTTTTTGAACAGGCTGTCCAGGCATTTTCAATTTGGCAACCAATGCAATAAATTACTTCTTAAAATAACTCAAATCACTTGATTTGGCTTGCCCCTAAGACATTTCTCCTTTGATTCATCCTGTGAAATAAAAAAGGAGATACACACACACACACACACACACACACACACACACACACACACACACACATATATATATATATATATATATATATATATATATATATATATGGATCCAGCCTAGTCCATCTTCTCTTGTACAAACCCCCATATGGTCAAGAACCCAAGTGTTGCCCTTTTCCAGAACAGTTTACTCTGCCCAAAATTCTTAGCAGTAATGTCTAAGCCCTTCTAAGTGTTGAATGCAACCCCTGGAAAATTTGTATTTGCAGAGGTATGTAAGCTATCCTTGTGTAAATTCCTCTAGGGGTTAAGCCCTAATGATTGTGGAAGAAATAAAATGGAAAAATCAGATATAACTGGAGAGGATTGCACTTGACATAATTTCCTAGCAACCTCCCAGTTTTCAAGGCAATGTTTATTTTATGTGCTGCCTTTCAAAGTGATGCCTTTAATGTTATTGCTATGTAACATGGCTAATTTTCTCAGTAACATATGTAGCCCAAGGAAGATCTGTGATAAGACTGGAAAACACAAGTTGTCAGTAATTGCACAGTGCCTAGTTAATTACATTTTAAGCTAGAAACACGTTTTTCTCATTTGCTGTATTGCTGTTATATTTATAAGCTACCCTGCCTCTCTGGAACCTTGTTTTGATCTCTGTAGAAAAAGGAATATTAGTCTGAGTCTCTGTTATGTTTTCCCTTTGTTTTTGTTCATTTGGCTCCCACTTACATGGCTCCTGTACTGTACATTTAGCTTCATCATTCAGACATTTATTCTGAAAGCCATAGATTTTTCATTTTCCTGTTTCCATCTGCTGGAACATTGAAGATTGTCACCTCCTTCAAATTAAAGTAGACCTTCTCATTCACAAGGGAATCTTCCCAAGGTCTTCAAGAATCCTCAGTTATTAACTTCAAGGAACATTTAATTCCCCCCTCCACACAACAGTTAACTATAGCTGAAAATTTTAATTGAACTCTTCAGACCCTTAATAATTCTAGATGTACAAGCTTAAGTCATTTGTATGTATATAGCTACAGAAACAAAGCCAGCAACTAAAATAAGCTCAATCCTGTATTACATTATATTCTTTTGCTAGTAACTTAAATCAGCAAAACTGCTACAGTGATGATAAAAAGGTGCTGACGTGTGGACAAAGATGAAGATGAAGATGAAATGTACTCACAGAAGCACGAAGTTTGGTCACAGCAGTTCACTCAGGAAGGTGACCCTGAGATCTGGGCCAATCTACAAGATATCCAAGGAGATGTTCTGCCTTCAGCCTCTTTAGACTATAAATCATCTTTTTCCTTCTTGGATAAGCACATTTGCAAAAGGCATCTTCCCTTTAATATATGTCTGTTTCCTCTCTTTAACTCTGAAGACAGGCTTTTGCAGCTAAGTGGTTCTCTCCTATTAATTTCATAGCATGGAATACTTCCTAAAGTTTACTCATGGAAAAGGTCAGTGTAATTCATAAGAATCAGTCTCAAAGTCTCACTGGTTGCTTCATGAAATGTTTTTACGGGCTTTTTGCTTCTTCTAAAATCACTTTTTAGTTAAACAGTGTTTTTTTGTTGTTATTGACAAAACCAAATAACTACTTAATCAACTTCGATGAACGTTTCTTTTTCGGTTTGATCAACAGCTTTGGCACAGGGAGTAGCACTCACTAAAATGATTTCGTGGATCACTTTTCTTGTTTCTACAGTTTTTGTGTAGCTGTTCATGTTGTATAGGACATGAACAAAATGAGGTGGGAGCCGCCTCCTAACAACTTTTCAATAAAATTAATAGACTTTATTTTTAGAGCAATTTTAGGTTACTAAAAAGTTGAGCAGAAAATACACACAGAGTTCCTATATATCACTTCCCCCCTGCATAGTTTCGCTATTAACACCTTGCACTGGTGTGGAACATTTGTTTCAATTGATGAACTGATATTGATGCACTTTTGTTAACTAAAGTCCATATTGTGTGTTAGGGTTCTCTCTTTGTGTTGCACTGTTCTATGGCTTTTAACAAATATGTAATGTCATATATTTACCATTGCAGTGTCATACAGTTTTTCTACCCTAAAAATGTCCCATGTTTTACCTATTCCTCTTTTCCCCACCCTTAAACCCTGGCAACCTCTGATCTTTTTAATCCTCTCTATATTTTTGCCATTTCTCATATAACTTTTCACTTTAAAAATTTTTTACTTTCTGGCTGAGAAGCATGCCTTTTACTTATGTTATTTTCCCTTCATTTTCCTCACTGAACTAGCAGAAGATTTTCTTTTCAGAAAGAATATAAATTTTACCACCAAAAAGTTATTGTACAGGCAGCCAAAGTGTAGAATAATAATAGCCAGCCTGAAGTGTAGTTGTTTAGAGATAACCCAGGCCCACTCACTTGCCAAGTGACTCCTTCTTGCACATTACACTTTGAAGCATAAGATTCAAACTAATTCATTTACAAAACAATAAATTGCTACATGGCATGGACCTTAAGGTGCTCTTGAGGACCCTCTAAACATGAGGGTTAAATCCACAAATGCCAAAATGAACTAAAACCAGTATATTTGAGCATGTCACTGAGGCTAGTTCCTCTAACAAGAACACAGAGGTTTGATTGCTGCCTCCTCATCCACAGCTGAGCTTGATTCATAGGCTACTAAATCAACAGGATCTGATGGTAATGGTGACTCCAACCTAGGTTTCTTATATTGGGAGCAAACAGGAACCAGAATCTGTGCTTCACTGCTCTCAACCATCCTTGTCCCAGGAAGACTTGAGCACCTTCCATTCTTCTGTTCTTCTGTGGCCTTGTATGTTGTGTTGTGGGTTATGTTTCTCATAAACTATTATACCTGGTGAATTCAATTAATTCAAGCAACATTCTCACCAGTTACAGGTACTTAATAGTTTGGGTTCTTTGGATATATCTGGGCAAATATAGGGCTCGTATTTATTTTATAGAGATACCAAAGAGACAAGTGTAATGCCTAGCATGGAACACACTAAAATAAGCAGGTTTAGAGTGTACCACCCATGGAAGGCAGAAACTGTGTGTGTGTGTGTGTGTGTGTGTGTGTGTGTGTGTGTGTGTGTATATATATATAAAACTTCTGTTTTAAAAGTGGACTATTCTTATTATTTGTGATTCATGTTCATATTTTATTACTTATTTTAGTGGTTTTAAAATAAATTTACTATATTTTCACATTTCACAAAATCACTAACATTGATTACATATAGGCATAGTTGTCATCTCCCATTACAGAAAATTCAGAGAACTATCCAGATTTCTTTATTTTGTTGGATTTGTTGGATTTGGGTTAGTCAAATATTTTGCTTATTGAAATGATGTGTTTATTGAAATAGAGTAACCCTGTTAACATACTTTTTAAAGGTTATATCAAGAAATATGTAATAGAAACAGATAAAAAGCACTTTGGAGTTCTCTGGGTCCTTGATAGAGAAGCCTTTCTGTGGAGTGACCTTATTGGAACATTCAAATCCTAGAAGCAGAGTTACCTAAGATATGCTGAGATATAGAGTAGGGAAGCTGTTAGGAATCAGATATTGTCCTGAGGATGGGAGTTGGAAGGAGGCAAAAAAAACCATTTGGTCTGGGCCTTGTATTTACCAAGGAACCTCAAATTGAGAGACTATCTTGAAATAAGTTTACTCATGCAGCAATAAGAAACACAGCACTGAAAGATATTCATCACACACGCATATAGTGTGTGTGTTGTAACCTGTTTTAGCATATCTTCCATCTATCAGGAGCCCCTAAATTAAATTGCCAGGAGCTCTTCTGACTTATAGGAGATGCAGCATGGTACCTTATAAAATTAATAGGTGTGGATTGTTATAAATTTATTTTTAGTAATAATTTTTCCCATGACATCCTGTACAGAGTCCCAAAATATAAGACAAATAGAAGCAAAACTATTCTCTTAGAATCAAAGGTCACTGGAGCCCCCTCCTGGCCCCTGAGCTTGTAGCTAAGATACATCTGAGGAAACTTAAGACTTCAGAAAACAAGATTTTGAAACCGCTAGACTAGCTTAACGCCCTTGATTTACAGATACCAACGTGTAGGCTCAAAGAAGTTAGGTATTGTACTCAACATTGCCCAGCTGGGGAGAAGCAGACCCGCAGATACACAATTGTTGGGTACTTTTCCAGCAGTAGGAATTGCTGAATAATAGTTTCACTTTGATCCTGTGTTATTCTGGATTCAGAAACCCAGAGTTCTCAGGAATAATGGTGTATGAAAAGCTGTTAACATGGTCCCCAAAATAAATGCATATGAAAAATGTAACCCAATCAGTCATATTACAAAACCATATCTCTAAATCATTAATACATATCGCTATCTAGTCCAGCCATGATTTAAAACACGCTCTAATGCAGTTATAATATTAAGGCATATATGTGTGTGTATGGACTCAGGTCTGGCCATCTGTACTCATCTGTGAATATAAGTATAGTCAGTCATACCTGAGTCCACATGCACAAGAAAAAGGCAAGGAAAGGAACAGTCCAGGGTGTTCTTTGAAAACTGCAGTCATTTGGTAAATGATTATGGAATAAATTCCAAACCTTGAGCTCATGCTAAGGCCCTTTGAGATCAGCAAGTGCTTTCCAGAAGGGGCTTTTCAGCAGAGTGACATCCTTGCAGCTTTTTCCCAGATTTTTTTTTCACTTCCTTCAATTCCTTCATCTCTCTTCCTAGTGAACTTCTACTGGCCCTATGCTATTACTATAACTTTCTGCTTTTGAGCCATGGCCCCTTGAGATCTTGGAAAAATAAAAAGAAAATAGAGCCTTGTCTGGACTATAGAGATTTGGAAGCTTATTGATCCAATTTTTTTTTTTTTCAGGAAGCCAGCTTTGTAATGTCTCAAGCCTATCTTAAGGAAATACACTTTTTTACAAAGCTTATATCGTCGGACCTGCAGTGTCTTGTTGGCTTGCCTTTTCTAATTCACTTTTAGTTTAGGCAACCCCTCACAAGGTAACTTTGACTTCAGAGATCCCAGCTTCTTAATCAAAATATCTGAAATCGCTCATGCCAATTATATTATTCATTGTTTAAAGTGTGCAATGATAGCAAAAATCATCCATTCTTTCTTAGACTATACTTGTTGATCTCAAATCTGTTTTATCTGGAAATTAACCTCTTTCTGACTTACATTTTTTGGGGGACTTTCTGATCCCATTCCCTCCTCTGTTTTTGGCTGTAGCTTTCTCATGGTGGTGTTGACCATTCTGAAGAGTCCTGCACCTCCATGAGTTATGTGCTACAGAAAGTCTTAGAGTGAGGAGGAATTTTGGAAGTAGATCCTATGTCACAGGAGAACTCAGGTGACAATTCAGAGCAAAGAGATGAAATACCAGTAGAAATAAAAGTAGCTTACACATTAGCCATTATGCTAAATTCTACAATACTCACATATTTAGCAAAATGGGCATGTTTCTTAGCGACTGCCTGCCGCAGGCAACGTGCCTGCCCATCTTCACGGCAGCACAAGTATGACTATGAAATGAGTTGTAAAGCACTGAAGAGATAAGAGATAAGGGACTGGGAGGGGGCAGGGATAATGAGCAAACGAAAGCAACAGATCAACAGTACACGTGGATGTTTATTATGGTGTACTAGAAGGATAAGTCCATTCACATTCCCTGTGTTTTTTTGTTCCATCTCTGCACTATACTGATTGTCTGCTCTTTACCTGACACTGTCCTACTCATCTCCTGTCTGCTCTTCAGTTGGACTCATTATATTTCTACTTTCTGGAGATGCTTATTAGTTTAGTTTCCTTTTTGCTTAGGCAGGATAATGCTGTGTTTTAAGGAAAAGGCAATACAGTTTAAAGACAGGTTCTCTAAGTGCCCTACCTTCAGATTTTACCCATACTTTATTTTGGAATATTATCAAATCCTTATTACCATTGTCAAATCCTTATTACCACTCATTGTTGTTTGTTTGATGTTCTCATCAAAAATATTTTTTTCCTAGTAAAATCTGAAGGATGGCCACTTACATACGTATTAATAGAGTATATATCTTGTTTAAGGTATGTATTTATAACCCCAGATCTGAAAAAGTTGAAACTTCTGATAATGTATGAACTGTAGCTATATTGTACTATATTATACCACTATATATAATCATACACTTATCATAACAATGATAATATCATAATGTAATTTTGTATTATATAAGAATACATAATTGTATATGATAATTCATATATAATTATTATGTATAATTTATTATACCATATTATTGTTCACAGGCTGGCAGGCACTGTAATTACATTCTTTCTGTAATCTAGATTTACTCAGGGTTCACTGACTAAATTTATACACTGTGGGTATAAATCATAGTTACAGTTTAGATTCTCTTCCTTCATAAATGTTCTTCCATAATCCTTGGATTATGCTTCTGGGAAATCTTGTTTCCTATATAAGCATGTATTATGTTCATATTTTGATTGTGTTCCTTTTAATTATTCTCACTGAACTATTTCAGTATTACAGCTGAAAAAGACATTGGAGAGTGGTGATTGAACTGTGGGTAAACTGAGGCTCAAAGATACTGAGTGAGACATCAGCCATGCCACTCTGCGATTTTATCATTCATTCTTCTTTCTTCTGTGCCCCCAACGTACACAGACCTCTGTATAAATCCTGAGGCTAAGGGGTATATTCAGGAATATACTCATTCCCACCCAGAGACTGAGTGATTACCAAGAATAGGGGAGACAAAATAGATTAAGGATGGCCTTCATATTCTGAGCGGGAAAGCAGCTAAGTCCACTGGCCCCTTCTTACAGTCAGTTTCCCACCACTGGTCTTATCTGCACACTGAGGTTCTTCCAGCCCTCTCCATTGCTGTGTCTACCCTGAATCTCCCTGCAGGGAGGCTTCTTAAGGGGATGAGCTGTTTCCCTGAAGAGCCCTATGAAGACAGAGAAAGCAGAAGCTACACAGGTATATCTCCGTGCAGTTCATACCCAGCCTTTGGTACTGCCTTTCTGTCATCAGTTGGCTGTTTGCCTCAGCACAGTGGAAATTCATCATAGAAATGAACTCTGTCATATATAGCAATTTAGAATACAGCCTGAAGCTCAGAGTGATAAAGGAGGATGGTTTTATGCCCATAAATATATTTAAAGCTGAGGTGAGTTGCTACTAGAAAATCATTGTTTTATATGTAAATCTCTACTCCTTTGCCATGGTTATTATAAATAAATCTTTATATATTCAGGCAAAAGTCTGACTTAAGTTGCACATCCAGGTTAATCTGAATGTAATATAACACAATTGCTCCTCGCTTCTAAATCAAACACTGTAAGATATAATGCTTGATAATGTTTCATTATTATGCCAAAATGTCAAATTTTTCTCTTTTATTAAGGTAAGTTCAAATCAAAGATGCTTTGTCCCATCACATGCTGTCTCATTCTATAATATTTTTATGTGCTAATTGTGACTCATATAATCTGCTTACAGAAACTCTCCATTTTCTTCCTGGTTGTTAGTCAAAGGAAGGAATCCAGTGTTTCCTTTGATACAGAGCTCTGAGAAAGACTTCTATTTTCAGTTGTCTGTTTCACTTCCTTGAAGCTCATGGGAATTGTGGACAAAATGTTTACCCATTGTTACTCCACCATCTTTTTTTAAAATGGAAATTTTAACACATAAATAGAAACAGATCCCCTTCTTCATATCCCCAAACATGAATGAGTAATCATAAAACAGGAAAAGATTCGAGTACAGTCATATAACTGATGTATTAAATGGGTGAATTTCATAGAGTAAAATCAACATACCCTGTCCTTCCTTGGGTCTGGATGTTATCACAGCCATGTCCCAGACCTTTTTTTGGTTCTACAGGGTATTAGATTAGTGAGGGTTAAAAAAAAATTTTAGTCCAATTTAAAGAAAACATTCATCCAGGCCGGGTGCTGTGCCTCACGCCTGTAATCCCAGCACTTTGGGAGGCTGAGGCGGGCGGATCATGAGGTCAGGAGATCAAGACCATCCTGGCTAACATGGTGAAACACCGTCTCTACTAAAAAATACAAAAAATTAGCCAGGCCTGATGGTGGGTACCTGTAGTCCTAGCTACTCGGGAGGCTGAGGCAGGAGAATGGCGTGAACCCGGGAGGTGGAGCTGGCAGTGAGCCGAGATCGCGCCACTGCACTCCAGCCTGGGTGACACAGCGAGACTCTGTCTCAAAAAAAAAAAAAAAATGTTCATCCAATCCCAAGCCCCTCCCTCTCCACCAGATCTGGCCCAACTAGTGATCCCACAAGCAGGTTTGGAGGGGTAGGGTGCATGGTTTGTTCCTCTCCATCCTTCATGTATCTTCTTCTCCATTCATTCCAGAGAAAGCATAAGGATAGAGATAGTGACAGGTAAAAGAATAGTGTTGTTTGTTTGTTTGTTTTTAGTTGATGCTATCTTTTTCAGTTCTTTTAACTGTCAAGTATCCTGTCATGGAAATCATTGAAATGTTAGCTTTTTCATGAGGTTCAAGAGGAAATACCCCATCCACAGATCTCTGATGTCCCCACATTGCACAGATCTCTGATGGAATGCGAAAGGCTCCAGCTGAGCCCTTAGAATCCTCCCATGCTCCTGCTGTCCCTGTGGGTAGAAAGAAAAGTAGCTTACACATTAGCCATTTCACTCAATTCTACAATTGTTTCCCACGTCTTTGCATAGAGAGGTCCTTTTAGGATGCCTTTGAACCCAGGTACCTTCTTAGCATTGAGTTGATTGCTGGGGAAGTCTTGCTTTTCCAAACCATAGAAGTACAATTTACCCCCATTGTTCTTCTCTCTCCTTACCTTATATTGAGGGTTTGTTCTACTCAATTTTTCACCTTAATCTTCTCTATATAAGGAGTCTTGTGTTCATGTGTGCCCCCAAACTCCAAGACTCCCAAGCTCTGCTAAGAACTCTTTAGTGCCCTTCATCTTCTGGTAGCAGCATGGGGCAGGTCTACATGTTTCTAAAAGCTCAGGAACTGTGGTGCAGGTTGGGGGTTGAAGGATATACAGATCTCCTCATCTGGAATACAACTCTTTTGTCTATAAGTAGCTCTCTTGGAGCCCCCTCACTTGACTTGGTGGCAGGAAATGAAAGCACAGGGAAGGAAGGGTAAATTCCAATGTTCTCAACCATGAAAAATCCTTCATTGTTTCCTCTTTGTAATGGACCTCTTGCCATCTCTTACATCAGTTCTCAGGTATAATGTTCACTGGATTTGTTTTTTTTTTTTGTTGTTGTTTGTTTGTTTGTTTTGAGAGGGGGTCTTTGTTCTGTCCCCCAGGCTGGAGTGCAATGGCATGATCTCAGCTCACTGCATCCTCTGCCTCCTGGGCTCAAGTGATTCTCCTGCCTCAGCCTCCTGAGTAGCTGGGATTACAGGCACGTGCCACCATGCCCGGCTAATTTTTATATTTTTAGTAGAGACGGGGTTTCACCATGTTGGTGACCTCAGGTGATCTGCCTGCCTCGGCCTCCCAAAGTGCTGGGATTATAAGTATGAGTCACCACACCTGGCCGTCACTGGATATTTCACAGAAGCTGTGAAGATGTATTTAGCTTCTGTCTTCAGAATGTGGTAGAATTTATTACCCAGTTTCCTCAGCTTAGAAGTTTTCAATAACATTCTAAGACAACTGGAAGTTCTCTCCAATATTCTGTTACAATAAAACTCACAATTAAGCTGCAAATAACATGAAGACACCAGTTTAAATTTTCCATTTCTTGGGTGTATTTCAAAATTAGTTTATTTGTAGAATCTACTGTAGTAAGTTCCTCAACCAGAAAATGACAGAATGTTGGGGCTTAAAGAGACATTAAAATTCTTCTAGACCAACCATTTCATTTATTGGAAGACAAATAATGTCTAGTAAGTAGAGAAAGAAAGGCTTGTAATTGTTTGTAATGATCTTTGACTAAAAACTAGGATTTTTCTTAATGTATTCTCTGAAGTCTACTTAGAAGGTAAATTTTCAGAACCTGATGGAGACCCAAATCTCATATAGTCATATCTGTTTATTTTATGTGAAAACACTAATTACAGTTCAAAGATTATAAATAAAATATGTTCATTCCAAGTACTCTTTTCATTGAACTTCAGGACACACTGCATGCATACATGTGCACATATGCATACACTCCCCCATACACACACACACACACACACACACACACATACACACTTGATTCCAGGACAGCTGAGTAACAGAGTATTTTAATTGATGCTGCAGCTAAGCATGTGAAAGGTTTGAAAGCGACAGAAACTGATCTCAATGAACCTTTGTGATCTTGTACAGTCTCTCCCTTGTTATTTATTTGAGATGCTAAGTATAACTTTACATTTTGATGGTAATATATTTTAAAACATAAAATGCTTCTTTTTTAACTTTTATTATAGGTTTGAGGGTACATGTAAAGGTGTGTTACATAGGTAAACTCATGTCACAGAAGGTATTGTACAGATTATTTCATCACCCAGGTATTAAGCCCAATACCCAATAGTTATCTTTTCTGCTCCTGTCCTCTTCCCACTCTCCCCGTCAAGTAGACTCCAGTGTCTTTTGTTTCCTTCTTTGTGTTCATAAGTGCTTATCATTTAGCTCCTGCTAATAAGTGAGAGCATGCAGTATTTGGTTTTCTGTTTCTGCATTAGTTTGCTAAAAATAAAATGCCTATGCTTCTTTTAAGTGAATCCATGCTCCTCCTGGAAAAAGAGGAACCCCGGTTTACATTACAGGTACCTAATTTCAAAGCTACCATAAACAGTAAAGCTCCTCAGTAGGAAACTGCAAAGCACAGTGGTTAAGAGCATCGTCTCTGGAGTCACATTTCCGGAGTTTAAACCTGTGTTAGTTACTACCCAGCTGTGAAACTTCAATAAAGTTGCTTGATGTCTCTGTGCCAGTGTTTTCTCATCTATAAATTAGAAATAATAAGAGTGTACTCATTTCATTTTGGTACCATCATAAGCACCAAATACTGCACTTATCATGAGTTGACATTTCAAGTTCAGCCACTTAAGCTCTTAAATCTTTAAAGATAATAAAACTAAAAAAGTAATGAGAAAAATGTTTATTTTTTCATGTACAGTATAAATTGCATTAATTTAATAAAAATTCACATCTGTAAGATATGGTATGATTTGTTCTTTTCTCTTTGGAAAACATGACAGAAACCATGTTTAGTATAGAGAATAAGTATCATGATATAAACATATCAATTTTTTTTTTTTTTTTTTGCTGGTCGGGATGGAATCTCTCTCTGTTGCCAGCCTGGAATGCACGGCCTGATCTCAGCTCACTGCAACCTCCGTCTGCCCGGTTCAAGAGATTCTTCAGCCTCCCGAGTAGCTGGGACTACAGGCATGTGCCACCATGCCCAGCTAATTTTTGTAGTTTTAGTAGAGATGGGGTTTCACCATGTTGGCCAGGATGGTCTTAATCTCTTGACCTCATGATATGCCCGCCTTGGCCTCCCAAAGTGCTGGGAGCCACTGCACCCAGCCTGTCAAATATTTTAATATGTGAAACAGTGATATCTGAAAGCACATTGTGTTCTATAAGGTCCTATAAAATATTAAATGTTATTACTATAATTATAAACCAAATCTTCCTAGAATCTAACAGACTAACAGGTATTCACAGAGTATGAGCTAAAAAGCAATACATCAAAATAATTGTTAATTTGACCATTTTTTTGTCATCTTCATTAAAGAATAACTTTTATTAGGATGTATTCTTCATACGTTGTACCAACACCTATGAAATATAAATTAAATAGTATTGTGGTAAGCAGAATAATGGGCTCCCCCTTGTCCTAATCACGAGAACATGTGAGTATGTTACTTTATATGAAATAAAGGTCTTTGCAGATATGATTAAAATTAAGAACCTTGAGATATGGGGCTTATCCTAAATTACATGGGTAGGCCTAATTTAATTACACACATCCTTAAAAATAGAGAACCTTATTGGCCATGGTCAGAGTCAAAAGCAGATGTGACTATGGAAGAAGGGAAAAAATGATGTCATCTTGCAGGCTTTGAAGATGAAAGAAGGGAATCAGAGCCAAGGAAAATAGATGGCCTCTAGAAGGGTGGAAAACAGCAAGGAAACAGATTCTCCCTGTCAGCCCTGCTGACATCTTGATTTTAGCCCAGTGAAACCCATTTTGGACTTCTAATCTACAGACTTTTACTATAAGAAAGTAACGTTGTTTTAAGCCACTAAGTTTGTGATAATTTGTTACAGCAGCAATAGACAGGAATCCAGATTTTGGTACCTGGAAGTAGGATGCTGCTATAACAAATCCTTGAAATGTGAAAGTGGCTCTAGAATTGGGCAGTAGGCAGAAGCTGGAAGAATTTTCATGAGTGTTACAGAAAAAGCCTAGATTGCCTTTCACAGGCTGTTAGCAGAAATATGGATGTTAATGGCTCTGCTAGTGAGGACTCAGAAGTAAGTGAAGTACAGGGTAAAGAAAACATAAATGGCCTTAGAGAATACATAAGTCATCATGAACAGACTGTTAGTAAAAATATGGATGTTAAAAGCACTGTTGGTGATAGCTCAAAAAGAAATAAGGAACTTGTTATTGCAAGCTGAAGGAAAGAGGATTGTTCATATATAGTGTCAGAAAACTAAGCAGGATTGTGTCCTACAGTTATGTGGAAGGCAGATTTTTTAAATGACGAGGAGATTTCCAAATAAAGTGTTGAAGGTACAGCTTTTTTTGTTACTTATGGTAAAATGCAAGAAGAAACAGATAAATGAAGAAAGGAAGAGGAATCAGGACGTGATGATTTGGGAAATTCTGTGTTGAATATATAGCCTGGGTTATTCTTGCTGCTTATAGTAAAATGCAAGAAAAGAGATATAAATTGAGGGAATAAAAAAGAACCAGGATGTGATGATTTGGAAAATTCTCAACCTATCCAGATTGCAAAAGATGCTAAAATTAAATTATTTACTGTCAGAAAAGCATCCATTAGAGAAAAAGCTGAGAGTGTGGCTGCATAGCCTTTTGCTAATAGTTGAGAAACTATTCAGACTAAGAGTATTCAATCACACAAAAGGCACTTGAAAGAGATTAAGAGTGTGACTTACAGATACCCTCAATTAAACCAGGAGTGTTTAGGAAACTTAAAAGCCTTAATCGTCAGCCATCTCAGCAAAAGCCAAAAACAGAGATGGAATTATCTTGGAAAGACCTGTGGACAAGCTTCTTATCTAATGGAGTAAACTCCTATGACATACACCAACATAGTCACCATCTGGTGACTCCACAGTGCTTCAAAGGAGAGAAACAGGAAGCAGAGTTCATGTGAGTCTGGATCTGTGCCCTGGTCTGGGGTGCACTGGAATTCCCCACTGGAACTGCATCTCATCTGGTTCTGTGAACTCAAGGGAGGGGGAATAGAGTAAATTTCCAGGAGTACTTCTGGTTCCTCGTGTCCACGTGGGTCTTAGGGCAGTACTATATACATCAAATGTTGTCTAATACTTCCAGTGGGGTCTGGGCCTGTGGTCAAACACTTCAGGTTTTTGGTTTTTGCAGTTAAATGCATGAATTCTCATATTGGTGACATAAATCAAAATTACAAAGTAACTTCAGTTTGGGGTTTTCTGCCAAATGAATTATGAAAAATATTAACACTTTCAGCTTTCAGAATTTGGAAGATTTTGAAATTTGGGGATTGCAGGCACGTGTGTGTGATATTTGTGTGAAGGAGTGGGAGTTTGATACAGACTGAGGAAGAGGGTGAGAATATTTTAGAGGGATGGATTAATTCTGCCTAGGTACATGTGAGGTTAGACCTCAAGTAGCGGGTACATTTTCACAGAGGCCACGGGGATAGGGAACATTCCAGGTTGAGGAAACATGGACAATGGGGCAGAAGGCTGAAAGTGGGAGGTGCGATCTGAGGGCAGTAAGAAGGATGAAGTGGCTGGATATTGGGTGCTCAGGTGTGAGTAGTAAGTGATGGAGCTTCTGCTGGATTGGGAAGGCAAAAGAGTGTGGCTTTTGTTCTATACCAACATGAGCCATCAGAGGCTTCCAGATAGGGAGTGCCATGGCCAGTTCTGCCTGTGGGTCCATGTTCAAAGGTGAGTGCCTCTAGAAAACTGCTTCTGCACAATTCCTCTGAAAGCCCGTGAAAGACCAAACCTTGCCACACCATGGTTAGAATTTCCTTTATGGACCCGAATTTCAGTTCAGCTTTCTCCATACATCTGGTTGCCTTCATAGACTTCTGGACACACTGAAGCATTCCAGTAAAGGATTTTTATGAAGGAAGTTCCATTTTAAAAGAAATTTTAGATTTTTTTCCATCTATTGTATATTCCAAATCCTTGGTCCTGTTTTTGCTTTTCCATTTACTATAAGGGAATATAGCTATAGCAGCCATTTTTCAGGGATACACCACATTCTGTTCTGTTGCTGCTAATAGTGTATTCTGACTTGGAATAGAGAAGATACTGTTTAAAGGCTAAAGGAAAACACGCCAAAATGAGGTACTTTTCTATCTCCACCTGGCTCCTCCTATCAAATATTGTTCAAAAAGCAGACAGATTAAAGGTGCTGTGAACAAATCACTGTCTCTCACACACAGACGTAAATGAGAGGTGAAGTGTGATGAAAACAGGAAACAAAAACAATGTTTTACATCAATAAAATGTCACATTTTCCCTGATCCCAAATGAAAATGATTCTTAGTTTTGATACAGTGAGAAGTAGAGAAATGATCCCAGGACTTACCCTGCAAGACAAATTGTGAACAGTCAATTGAAACAAAGTCTTAGTGTGTATTAGAGCATCACTGGTTTTAATTTTCTCATCTGCCTCACTCAAAATCAATATTTAGGAATTGGTCTTCCTCAGATCAACCTATGCGGGAGCAGAGTGCCACCCACAGATTCCCTGAACCAAGCTGCCTTTCTAGAATGTCCTTCACTAGACAATGGGATTTGGATAAACACTTTTGGTGCAGTGCTTTTTGATCTGTTAACACAGATGTCATAATTACATCACTTCAAAGCACAGACAAAAGTCACATGTCTTTTCTGAAAAGATAAAAAACGCTGAGTTAATTTTAACTATATCATAAGAGCTGAGAAATAACTGGCCAGAAAAAAATTGAGTAGGACGCAGAAGGTTAGAATTAGATAAATTATTTAAATCCATATCAAGCTACATTTGTAGAATGAAAGGAGTAATTTTCTGATATTGGCAGTGAGTGAGTCATCGTTGCCATTCTAAGTGTTTCAGTCTGTGCTTTCTCCTTCTGTGTTATGTCCTCTTTGGGACCAAAGATGAGACATAACTTGGGCAAAGGTATTTTTGATATTCACTTTTAAATAGAGTGTTCAGGTAGTCCAATTTAGTAAATCAAACAGATATATGTCAATATACAATGAGGACATGACAAGCAGTTAGTACTGTTTTAATCCTCTTCTAGAAATACTGCTATCTAAATCAGCTAGTCTATTAGTATGTGCTTGACATATTTATGCTCACTCTACTTTCACCAGAAAACCTGTGGTTATTACTAATTGAAGAGGCAAGTGGTCTTTTATATAGAGGTCGATCCTGAGGGCTTTGGGCACATTAGTAAATGTTATGTACTTTATTAAGGCTTATACTGATTTCTGTGGTAACTCTTAGAACCTTTTATTCTACATCACTGTCATGTAAAAGTCAATTTATGCGTGGGTGGCTTTTGTTTTTTTGGTGAGTCTGTGGTATAACCAGAGTCCTAATTGTGTGGAGCATTATGACTACAATTTATAACTCCAGGTGTGCTAGCTGCTGCTGAATCATTCTTAGGACTCTACCCTAGGTCATGCTAGGTGGGTTCCTTAATGGATCTGAGGCAGATCTACAGCAGCACACATACCATGGGTTAAGGAATAGATTTAACTGAGGACAGAAGAAACTGATAAAGCCACGAAGTAGCAAGAGAAGAGAAGGCATAGCCATTGCCCTACTGCCCACCCCCATCCCCACTCATCTTCCTACCTTCCTAGGATGCTTTGCTAAATGTGCAGGAAAGCTCATATTTCCATCTCTCCACTCTCATTCTCCCTTGTTACAGTACACATGTGAGTGCAACATTGTCAGTGGAGGGGATAAAGATCTTAGTACCAAGCAGTCTGTTTGAGTGACGGTTGTTTATAGGTATGATCCGGGAAACCAGCTGCCCAGTGCCTGGTCACCTTGAGGCCCATGGGAAACTGCCTCACCCTTCGGCAGGGAAGAAGCCACCTTTCCTGTGGGAAGCTGAACTTTGGGGCAGTCCTTCCTTAGGGAACACCTTCCTCACTCCCACAACTCATCCCAGCTAGATTATTGTTTAGGCAACCCTGAATGAGAACCAGGGGTCACTTTCAGATCCTTCTGATCATTGCTCTTCACACTGCTGGCCCTAGGATAGCAAATGCCAAAAGACAATTACGAAAGGCCCCTTTAGCTGGCCAAAAAAGTGTGTATAGTGTGTATTTCTGCTTTCTACAATCCTTAATTATGTTCCCACATCCCTGTTCTCTGTTCATGACTGTCCTCCTTACTTATTGCCCTCCTTATTCCTTACATTGAATGTTCCAACAGCCTTGTAACCAATCTTTGTGTGTCTCCTTCTTTATATTCCTAGATACATGTTCTTTCTATAGCCTGAATTTCCCTGATAACTCTGTTCTTCATGGATACAAATGGTATTTATCCTTGAATGGCCTTGGTACATTACACTCATCAGCTGATGATGCACAGCTCCCAGCCCCTTGCCAAGTCCAGCGTGATGGTTAATATTGAGTGTCAACTTGATTGGATTGAAGGATGCAAAGCATTGTTCCTGGGTGTGTCTGTGAGGGTGTTGCCAAAGAAGATTAACATTTGAGTCAGTGGACTGGGAGAGGCAGACCCACCCTCAATCTGTGTGGGCATCATCTAATCAGCTGCCAGTGCGGCTAGAATAAAGTAGGCAGGAGAAGGTGGAAGGATTTGACTTGCTGAGTCTTACAGCCTTCATCTTTCTCCCATGCTGGTTGCTTCCTGCCCTCAAACATCAGACTCCAAATTCTTCAGCTTTTGGACTGTTGGACTTACACCAGTGGTTGGTCAGGGGCTTTCGGGCCTTCGGTCACAGACTGAAAGGTGCACTGTTGGCTTCCTTAGTTTTGAGGTTTGGGGACTCAGACTGGCTTCTCCACTCCTCAGCTTGCAGATGGCCTATTGTGGGACTTTACCTTGTGACTGTGTGAGTCAATACTCCTTAATAAACTCTCCTTTATATATACATATATCCTTTTAGTTCCGTCCCTTTGGAGATCCCTGACTAATACACCCAGCTCCCTCAAGAACTTGGAATTCCCAGAAATTCTCTTCAATCTGTTCTTCTTCCTCAGCCCCTACTTACTACTGCTTCTTTGCTGGGCCTGGTGGCCCTGATGCTGCTGTGTCATGCTCTTAGGGTGACATTATTCCTCCTGCTGCTCCACTGGGCACAGTCTTTCTCTGCAGGCCACAACCCTGAGCCCCCAGGAGAGCACCACCCTCTAATCTAGGTTTGCAACAGTGAAGGGGAAACTCCCTCTCTCTCCCCTTTGAGCCTGGCTCTCTTAGACACCAAAGCCCCTGTGTGTTACAGAATGTGTTGAAATAGCCCAATCAGCTGCTTCATACTACTCATTCTCCTGTTACAACCTTGACCTTTTTCTAGTTGCCTGAAATGGAGGTGAGTTCCAGTATAAGATATAATGCTGATGCTGTACTCAGATTCCCCTCCAGCTAAGAAGTGGCCATTGTGTCAAGCTTACTGAGCTTAGTTCAGGAAGTTCCTGGGATGAGATCTGTCCTCAGGTACTTCCTACCAACAACCTCCATAATTCACATGTACACACTCATTCCTAACGGAGTACTCCACATGTTTTCCATTTATGCCCCAGACCATTTTTGAATCCCTAGCAATACGCAGACTTAATTTACATACTTATTACATTTCTGAAAGTTAGACTGTAACTTTTCATTTTAAAGACATTCAATTGTATACAACATATCATTCAGAGCTTTTAAAATGGCTTCTATGATCATACATCATTTTTTGGGGGGGCTTATTTCCTGCCACCTTTAAACACTCCACCCTCTAGATAAAAGTCTAATGTGTGCCTTTGTCAACATGTTATGCTTCTCATACCTCCAAGCCTCCTGTCCTCTTCCTGGAGCACACTGCTCTCAATCTGTCTGACAAATTCCCACTCAACCTTTGGAGTGTAGTTCAAAAGCCAATTTTTGCAAAGAATTCTTCCACAGCTGTAGTTCCTTTCTCCTCTGGCTCCTGTGGGCACATACCATGCTGAAGGACTTGCTACTCATGTGGTAATTGCCTGGGAGCAGAATCTTTCTCATTAAACCATAGCTCCCTGCCAGATGGGATGACCTTGACTTACTCAATTCTATATCTCAACTGAATGCAAAAAAAATTAGCAGGGGTTCAATGTTTATTAAGTAGATGGCAAAGTATAAAGATAACAACTATACATGCATCTTTATTTACAAAGCAGATCCACCTTATCACTGTGAATGAACTCCTTGCTACATTTTCAGATACTCTAGTGGATCATTTGTTCTCCATCACCGGTTGAAGTGCTACAGAGCCAAGAGGAAGTCTGACAGCTCTGTTGCGATGGTTGAGGGAAGAGTCAAGTTTCTGAGTATAAGCGGATCATAAACAAGGCAGAATTTTGAGTCATAGATAAGAACAAAAGGTAGGGTTGGGAGGAAGAAAATGAAAAATGAATGAAAGGGAAGTTTGAGAGGAAATAATAACCAATAGAGCTCACAGTGTGGAGACGTGAGAAGAGAGAGCTGAAAGTAGAAGATGCGGTGGCCACGGGAAGGGGTTGCTGCTCTATGAAAGTTCTGTTTTCCCCTCTCAGTGTGAAGAAGGCAATGTGGCTTGGGGTAAGCTTCACACAGCAGTGAATCAGCTACATGCAGGCCATGGGGACATGTTGGCATTTTCTTAATATTAACAAAGCATCGGGAAACAAAGAAGCCTCATTAATTTGGATTTTGCTAACATAGAATTTGTAGTGTTAAGGGGATGTGATAAAATGTAGCTTTACACTCTATGCAGAATGCACTATGCAAATTCATAGCATAAATAATCTACCTAAGAAAATCAACTGCTTTCAAGTACCCTCAAGTACTTTTGAAGCACTGATTACATAAAAACAGTGATTAATTTTCTTCATTAACAAGTGACCAAGTATGTTCTCTATAAACATATCATCAGTCTATTGTTGGTTAACTTATTTCAAATTATAAATATATCTGTAAGTAACAGGACCAATTTTCTTCAAAAATATTCTTTTTTTTCTTCAAATGCAACATGATCTTCTACTCAGATAATGCCTATTGATGGATTTACCCTGTTCATTTTTAAATATATATTGAGCACTGCACCTGTAAGACTTGTGCAACCAGCTGGGGCTGTAAGAGAACCAAGCTCAGACCTTCCCTTAAGATGTGGAGAGTTTAGTTGGAAATTTTAATGTATCCAAAATATCTATAATACAAAAGATAAAAACCAAAAGGTTCCATGAGGGAGACTTAGATGTGAATTATTTGAGACTTCAGAAAAGACAAAGATTACAGTAATTTATTCATTTCATTTGTTTATTCTTTTAAGTCTAGAATTTTTAATTTCAAATGCCATGGAGATTAAAAGTATAGAATATTCTCTTCCCTCAGGGAATTTACAGTTAATATCAGGGTTGAGTAGAAAAGGATGTGTGACAGACACAGACTGATAATTAATTAGTGCAGAAAGCGGATGGCCCACTGCCTGCATGGGATGTGCCAATCCCCACACTAGCAACAAGCTGTGTCTTGAGAGACAGTTAGGAGTTTATTAGACAAAAGAGAACTCCCCTCCAATAACCCCAACCCTTGCAAGGTACTAGAACCAAGTGAAAGGAAGTAGCATAAAAGATTCTGGGAAAATTTAGTAATTGGTAAGGTTAAATGATAGGGAAATGTATAGAGTGGTGATTTGGTCAACAAAGCTGGGAATAGATTATGAACTGGCTTAACTATCACAGTAAAGCTTTGGTAGTTCAGTTGGGGTTGATATTTAACCAAATCTGAAAAAATTAAGATCTTGATGTGGTCCTGGGCTTCTGTCTGGCCACCCTGCAGTTACAGAACTGTCTGTATATGTACTCAGCAAGCCATGAGCACAAGTTGTTTATTACCACACTTGCTGAAGTAACTACTCAAACACTTTTTATTGGTTACAGGGTGAGGACATCAGCTGAAAGCCAGGGAGGGGAGCTAATACTTGTTTTAACTGCTTTAATACATTGAATTAAACATTCCCAGAGTTCAAAGAACCATTCTTTCCTAACTTTCCACCTGCTTATTCAAATGCTACTCATTTTTGCTTACTTTTGCTGGTGTTTAACCCAAAATATAACCTGGGAAGGAGTCCTCTCAATGTCAGATTCACCTAATTCCTCCTTGGAGAAATTCCATTTCTTCCTGCCTGGATTTATACAATACCTGGTCTCGCCTCACAATAATCTAGGCCTTGTTAACCTTAGTAGATGCATTTTTACCCATAAAAATCATGTTTATTTGGCAACATACAGTGATTCACACCCTCTAAAAGTTTACAGTCAGAAAGAATAAATGTTGATATAGAGCACATGAAAGAAGTGAAATAATTGTTTATTTTAAACTGAGTAACGAAAAAGGAAGAATGGAATGTGAAGATAAAACACGGGAGCCGGGAGGGCGGAAACATGGCAAACCTGCCACCAAATGAAAATTGGACAGGCAAAAACCTTACAAGACAATAAGGTTGATGTGAACACAAATGAGTTTTCTTTATCCTTTTGCTTGTTTATATCTGACTTATGTTCTGCATTTCATTCTGCCGTGTTCTCTCTTATTGTTTATATTGAAGGTTATTTTAAAAATAATGTTTATTGTAAAAGTTACAAACAGACATCCTTTGCTGTTTTGAGGAATTTATTATGTACAAGCAAAGTCTATTTGATTTATCTGCGGTGTCATAGGGACTGGCTTCCAATATTTTCTATGTAGGTGACTTTATGAAAAGTCACCAGCTAATGTAGTTCTACATTTCTGTAGATGGCAGTTACTGTTGTTGAGATGTTAGTAAAAAAAAAAAAATTGAATTTACCAAAAATCATTCAAAGAATTTCTTGAAGTGTTCTTATTTTAAATGGTTTTCTAGATTTAGAAATAAAATAAGAAATAAAATATTTATAAATTAAAGGGGTTAAGGAAAACTATATTTTAAAAGTTCTAAGTCAATAAATTCAACAAATTCAAGGAACTAAAATGTTTTTAATAGACAAAAGTTCCCCTTACACATAAAAATGCCATTGTGCTTAACTTTAGTTGTCTACTCGTAGCTGTCAACTATGTTCAACTGAAACTGAGCCCATTGTTTTTTTCTTCAACTTCTTTAAATTACCTTAATTTTATCCCAGTCATTTAGGGTGGATAACTTGGATTCCTAATTGATATCACTCTTCCTATCCAGTAATGCAGCAATCAAGATTTCTTCACATGTTTTGTGGGTTCAATTCTTTCTATTTCCAAAACTTCTGCCATATTTAAAGCACTTATTATTTCACACCTTAATTAAGAAATAATCTGCTGATTCTGGGCCAGTCTTTTTACCAACCCATAATGGATTAGTTATTATTTTATTATTTCCCTTCTCAAATTAAGAAAGCTAACCTCCTAGAGACCTCCCCAGAGAACTCTGACCCACGATGTGGAATCTACTCCATATGCCTGATGTGTGTGTGTGTGTGTGTGTGTGTGTGTGTGTGTGTGTGTGTGTGTGTATAAGGCTCTGGCTGTTGCCAACTGTGTAACTCTTGGTAGGTTACTTAACTTCTCTGAGCCTCAGGCTCTTTGTCTAAAAAATGGGGATAAGTCCAGTAGAAAGTGGGCAAAGAACGTGGATAGACAATTCATAGAATACAAATGAAAAGTGTATATATAGATATATATACACACATATATATACGCACATACATACACACATGCATATATATAATGCCCTTTATTACATGTTCATAATTTTAATAAACTTAATCATTTTATCATGACTTTCAACTTAAAGTCAGAAGTCTAAAATCACTTTTACATTTTAGACTCTATGGCTAAACTTAAATTTTCTAACATTACTAAAGTTTCTCATACATTCCAAACACTTAAAAAAATCAAATATAAAAATTTATTTTCCTGAACACTAAAGTACTAATACTATGTATTTAATTGTTTTCATTTCTGTATTTCTAAACTATCCCATGAGTAAAAACTACCTACCCATTAAGAGACAAAATTGACCCATGTTAATTATGTAAGATTGATTATTAACCAGTGATATTTGAAGGGACAAATGCCCTGAAATTCATGTGTTTCAAGGGTGATTCCACTTGTGCCACTTAAGGGCACATTGCAGTTTTTTTTTTAGACTGAGTCTCGCTCTGTCGCCCAGGCTGGAGTGCAGTGTCGCGATCTTGGCTCACTGCAAGCTCTGCCTTCTGGGTTCACGCCATTCTCCTGCCTCAGCCTCCCGAGTAGCTGGGACTACAGGCGCCCGCCTCCACGCCCGGCTAATTTTTTGTATTTTTAGTAGAGACGGGGTTTCACCGTGTTAGCCAGGATGGTGTTTATCTCCTGACCTCGTGATCCGCCAGTCTCAGCCTCCCAGAGTGCTGGGATTACAGGCACATTGCATATTTTTTAGGCCCAATATGACCACTGGGGACTCAGATTTCCTCCCCTTCAGCTGTCTGGTTTCTCCCAGATTCCAGTTCCCCTTATGTGCAGCTGTATTCCTACAAAAGTTGTAACAAACAACCTTTACTACTAGATAGGATTCTGCCTCTCTTTAGCTTTCAGGACACTTAAAGGACGTAAAATAATACTTACTCCTTTGCAGAGGGAAGCCTGCATTTCTTGCATGATGACAGCTAACTGCCTCACAAAACTCTTAAATGCTTTCTGAATTCCCTATTTTTATCTTACTTTCTTGCATCGTTTCTGTTGTGTTAGGCCCTAATTCTGAGAATATTAATGTCATCCATTGGGTGGTACATACTCCACATACCATCATCTGACTCAGCAATCTAAAAATACAGACCTACTACTGACAAATTTAGAGAGAGATTTGGGCTGGTTTTCATTAAATGTGGAGTTTTCATCTGTTAGAATGAATGCATGTGTAAATAAGCAGAACAAACAGTAGAGTCATGAGTGTTGCCAAAGTTTAGGGCTCAAGAAAAAGAAAGAAAAAAAGATATAGTAAGAGTGGTTAGAAATATGGGAAGAGGTTCAGAATCACACGGAGCCCTAAGAAGCAAGAATGAAAAGAGCTTCAAGAAATGGAGGATGGTGGATAGTTTCAGAAACTACGAGGTCATGTGAGATTAAGAATGAGAAAAAGTCTTTAGAATTGACTGGAAGAAACCTAGTTGAGCTCAGGTTTTGATTCAAGTTATATTCCTAATATTACTGTCAAGCTACTCCCTGAAAAACTAAATGATGAAAGTGATTGAAAATTGATCCCTTGAAGACATTCTAAAGCAACTAATTGATGTGGTTCAAAGCTAAAAGATGGTCATAACTGCCTTTAAGTACACGAATAAGGAGGATTAGTTGTTTACCTTGTTTTGCAAAGTGCTTAATGGAAACAAACATGTTTTAAACACAGGACTACAAGAAATAATCATTAAACAAAAAGAAGAACATGTTGGGATCTGATAGAGTATCTGGACTTGGACATCTTCAAGAAGAACATAGGAAATTATTATAAACATATGTATGTATGATTTGTTCAGGAAAGCAGAAAAGTGAAATGATATCTAGGTTTTTGAAAAAGCTTTGTTATGAATTCTCTTGTAAAGGAATTGAGTATTGTATTTGAAATGCCTACTAGAATAGCTAGAACATGAAGAGTGCTCAAATAATAGTCATCTTGTGACATGCTCTAGTTATTCATTCATTCATTTCTAAGTTCATGTGCATCACTGTACTAGAGATGCATCATTGGACGAGACACTATACCAACACTCACAAGCCTTGCATTCTAGTGGAAGAGGCAGGTGGAAAAGATAAACACATATGAATACAATAATTAAAACTTGTTTATCTTTATGAAGAATCCAAATAAGGGACAGCAGTGCAGAACACCTGAATGGGGTGCTGGGGATGGCTATTGAAGAAACAAATGCCTCTTTGAGAATGTAATATTAATCTGAGGGCTGAATCATGAGGATGTGGCAGCCATTCAGAGTGACAGAAAGCGCTTTCCATGAAAAGGAAATAGCTTGTCCAGTGATTCTGCTACTAGAATGAAGTTGGAGTTTTTAAGGGGCTCGCATAGTGAAGGTACACAGAGCAAGGGGAAGAGAGGCACAAGAAGAGACTCAGAGCCCAGACCATGGAGAACTTTCTGGGCCATGGTAAGAACTTTTGGATTTATTCTAAGTTTGATAGGAAGCCATGGAAAGATTTTAAACAATGTAGTAATATGATCTGATTTTTGATATTTTTTTAAAAACACCTCATCTTCTGTGTAGTGAATATATTAGAGGTTGGCAGGAGTGGAAGCAAGAAAACTAAGAAGTTGTTGCAGTCATCAAAGAAAAAGGGGATGATCACTGGAACAAAGATAGAGATATCTCAGATAGATTTTGTAGACAGTGTTGATAGGACCTATTGAAATATTGGATATGATGGGTGAGGAAATGAAATTTATCCCATAGGTAAGTGGGGGTTATAAATAGACATAGAAAATTTAGGAGGTGGGTCAGGTCTAAGAGGGGTATGGATGAGCAGCTGAGACAGTATTTGAACTCACTGAGGTTGAGGTTCCTAGAAGACATTCAAGTGGTGATACCAACATAGAAGAAAGATGTCCCATGTAGCTAGTGAAAAGAACATTTACATGCAACTTGCAGTTATTTACAGTACAACATTTTGACATATGAAAAACTGAATCCAACCTATTTAAATATCAAGAGTACAAAGTTTCTTTACTGGGCTTAATCAGGAAAGGTTTCTCATCTTGCATTCTCTATGGCAGTATAGCTAATGGTCACTTTGAATGAATATTCAAAGTTCAAGAATGTAGCCAAAGTTCTTCTTCTTTGTCTTGCCACAAGCTGGCTGATTTGTGATAATATCAAGTTGGTCTTGGTGAATGACCACAGACAATAGTGTTTTCATCCAAGAAAAAATTCCCACTCTTGGCTCATATTGAATTTTACCCTGAATTTTACCCTTATATTGAATTTTACCCTGTAGAGCTCAGCATGAACTCGTAACTTCGGTCCAACTAGTTTTGTCTTTCTGGGACAAATAATCTCACATATTAAAAGTTTTTAACGTTTTTGCCTTCTGTTAGTCATTAGGCAAAAAACCATAATGCTATATGTCTGGATTGTACCTTTAATAAAGCTAGTCATTGGGAATAAAATATTAAATACACTGAATTTGTCCCTGCTAGAGAGGCTGGTTATATTTTCATTTTTTGTCAAAAGCTTTAAAGTCATTTCCTTGAGCAAAATCAACCAGCTATGCACTTTGAGTACGTTTTGCAGGACATTTTATGAATAGCGTTTTTTAAGGTGCATTAAGCCAACATTGTGCTTTAACATCTATATTTTAAGTCATGCTTTCCTTTTTATTTTTCAAGCCCAATTTGGTAGGTGAATACAAATTATTCAAATGCTATTTCTATCTTAAATCTTAATACTGAAAACTGTTTGGAGCTAAGAGGACTTGAATTAGTAATAAGCACAGGGAGGTGATGATAAAGATCTAAGCTGCCACTGATTTCTTCTAAATATGTACACGTATGTAGGGACAAATAAATAGAATATTCTTATTGCACATGTAAAAGTTTTTGAATATTTGGGGGCAAGCTTGTGTTCCAAAGGTCCTTTCAATGTCCTTTAGTAAGTACCAAATATAGGTCATTCTCGTGACACTCCAGAGAAGCTATGCACCATCCTCACTTTATAGATAAAAATGTTGAAACTTAGAAAAAGTAAGTAATATATCAAGAAAATGGATAGATCAATATATAAATTCAGGTCTTCCTTCCTACGTAGCTCTTCCTATTATTCTACATCACCATATGGGGAGGTTAGATACCAGAATCAGCCCACAGAAATGGATATAATCCATGAGCAGGGTAAAGAATAGCACTGCAATGATAGCTTTGGAAAACTCAGCATTATTCGTGGGTTTAGGGTTTCCCTATGGGAATGGAAGCCTGTATTGTCCTGTCCCCATGCCCTGCAGCCTGAACTCAGCAGCCTGGGACAGCACCTATACTAAGGCTGAAGATGGGGTGGCTAATGAGGTAAGAGGTAGATATCTGTTGATTTTCAGTGCACCCTGTCTTAGAAGTTACTGAAGGATGTGTTCCAGCAAAATGAGAGAGAAAACCCAGAAAAAGAAAAATGTGAATTTCAGGAATCAAGGAGGGTCTCTTTGACCTTGGGCCATTAAAGAACTCTGAGAATTATGCGGTCAGTCATTGGTGGCAGCCTTCGCTGTTGCTCTGTGCTTAAGACCATTGGCCTACTAAGAGGTAGACAACTCCTTTGGTGGTTTTTCTCTTTCTTTGCCAAACGTACATAAGAGGAATCATCACAAAGGTTCCCTAAGAAACAATACTTGATAGGGTTTCTCAGGGTCACCTCAACAGCCAGCTCAAGCTGAGGAGTTGTGGCCCTCTACTACCATGTTCGTGAAGGCTGAGGTCTTGTCCACACAGAAAACCCCGGCCCCCTTTCCAGGCTTCATTTCTGGTTACTGTCAACCTTTACACCCTTGCTAGATAATGCAGTTTCAGTTTCTCATGGTTCTGGCCAGAAGATGCAAACTGGTATTATTAGATGAGCTCTGAGCAGCAGACATGGCCTACTCACACTTCCTTGTATTACAAAGGAAAAAACTACAAATATTTAACAACTGGCAGAGTTTAACATAAAATGTTGGATTTTTTCATGATTCTCTTTAAAATGCAGGAGATGGGCTGGGTGATGTGGCTCATGTTTGTAATCCCAGCACTTTGGGAGGCTGAGGTGGGCGGATTGCTTTAGCTCACAAGTTCGAGACCACCTTGGGCAACATGGAGAAACCCCATCTCTACAAAAAATACAAAAATTAGCCAGGCATGGTGGTGTATGCCTATAGTCCCAGCTACTTGAAAGGCTGAGGTGGGAGGATTGCTTGAGCCCAGGAGGTGGAAGTTGCTGTGAGCCAAGACCATGCTACTGCACTTCAGCCTGGGCAATAGAGCCAGACCTTATCACAAACAAACAAACAAATAAATAAATAAATAAATAAATAAATAAATAAAAATGCATGATATATGGCAATATTGGGCCCACAGACCTCCATGACAACAGAAGGATGGTGCTGAATTGGGCCAGTTTCTTTTAGGAAGAGTAAAAACAACAGGCAAGTTAATTTCTCACTCATCCTGCCACATATAGCAGAACTTTAGCTTGGAAAAATGAAAAACTTGCCTATGGATATATGACTCAAGTCAGGATTTGAATTCAGGACTTTCTATCTCTAAAGTCTGAATGCTTTCTATTACACAATGAAAGACTGTTTAAAAATAAAGTAGGAGTCAATTTTTTTTGCCAAAAAGATTAAAAATTTTAATTGAGTCTATCAATTTTGTTGATTGAATCTCCCAACATTTTTCACCTACGAAGAGAGAAATCCAAATGGTCACTTGCGTAAACATGAAGCAGATTGTCATTGTTTAATTGTGTTCTATTTAAGTTGCCCCAATCTTCCACTTGACAACCAAATTACAATGTATTGTACAAATATTTTCATAATTTTTAGCCCACTGATTATGTGCCAAATGGCTGTGATCTAAAAATTGTTTAAAGTATATGTGTATATATATTATAGTTTATATATATACATTCACACACACATAGACACACACATTTCCTTTGGTTAATTTACTTTTTCAAGTAGCCATCTTCCATTAAAATTATCAACAGCCAGAATATAATCTACATTTCTAGAAATAAAAATGGTATATATTTAAGGTATAGAACATGATATTTTGACATATGTATACATTGTGAAATAGTTACAACAGTAAAGCTAATTAACATATCCATCACCTCACACCATTATGGTGTGTGTGTGTGCATGTGTGTGTGTGTGTGTGTGTGTGATGGGAGCACTTAATATCTACTCTCTTAGCAAACTTCAAGTACACTATACAGTATTAATCACTATATCAGTAGTCACTGTACTATAGTCTCCAGAAATTATTCATCCTGCAAACTGAACCTTTGCACCCTTTGACCAATATCTCCCCATTTTCCCTTGCCTCAGCCCCTGGCAACTACCATTCTACTCTTCTGTTTATGAGTTTGACATTTTTATATTCCACATATAAGTAAGGTCATGCATTGTTTGTTTTTCTATGTCTGGATTATTTAACTTGGCATAATGTTTCCCAGATTCATCCTTGTCAAAAAGGGCAATATTTCCTTCTTTTTAAAGGGTGAATATAATATTTCATCGTCTATATGTATATACCACATTTTCTTTATCCGGTCATCCATTGGCAGACACTTAGGTTGTTTCTGTATTGTGGCTGTTATGAATAATGCCTTCATAAAGCTGGAAAAATATTTACAATTAAAAAGACTGACTCTATATGTTAGTTTAATCAAAGATAGCTAAATGTAAATCTCCAGCATTTGAATTGCTGTCCATATGAATGTAAAAGTTGTTCAGTGTGCTGTAAAGAAGGGAAATTGGTACATAGATACTAAATTCATGGAAGAAGGATGTGGATCAGGAGTTCAGTTCTGGAAGTAAAGGTGCATCTGTAAAAAGGATAGCATAGAAAGTTTGTAGGAGCTAGAAATGAAATGAAGATAAAAGGAGATGAATGCTAGAAATGAAATTATAAATTCATTTAGGAGAAGGGGAAAATTAGGGGTTTTCAGATCCTGGACAACTTGCTTAGCATATCACAACCAGATTATCACTAACTCCTGTTTGATGTCATTATAATTTATGTTGATGTCTGCTATGATTGAGAAAGACACTCCCTCAAAATAAAAAAAAAGTCAGGATATGGTTCCTTTATCTTCGAAGCCAGAGATAGTAAAAGAAAATATTTCTGATTATAAAATACTATGAAAAATAAAAAAGACATTTCTATAAAAATATTTCATTAGTCAAAAACATTTTACCCATAACATACTAATGATGAAGGTTTCTGGACTTTTCTATCCTTAGGTTTTGGTTTTATGGCCAAATTATGAAGTGTAAAGAACTTTTGGTCTTTCCAGTTTTACTTGATAATGACACAGCCTACTGTTGGTTAAAATAGAGCATAAAACAGACACTAGAAAGTTTTCATAATGTGTTTTTTTTTTTTTTTGAGACGGAATCTCGCTCTGTCACCCAGGCTGTAGTGCAGTGGCATGATCTCGGCTCACTGCAAGCTCAGCCTCCTGGGTTCACGCCATTCTCCTGCCTCAGCCTCCCAAGTAGCTGGGACTACAGGCACCCGCCACCATGCCTGGCTAATTTTTTGTATTTTTAGTAGAGACGGGGTTTCGCCGTGTTAGCCAGGATGGTCTCGATCTCCTGACCTCGTGATCCACCCGCCTTGGCCTCCCAAAGTGCTGGGATTACAGGCGTGAACCACTGTGCCCGGCCCATAATTTTTTTTTTAAATTATATCTCCAGAATTGTATTTTGCCAATTCTCTTATGCACTTACTCAAATAGCATATTAAAATACCTCCTTAGGCAAGGAGCTGTGAGGATAATCATGAAAAGCAAATTAAACTGACATATTCCCTGAGAGCTTACATTTTATAGGCATCAGTGAATTGATGCAGATACACAGAATGACAAGAATTATAAAAATTCTCTAATGTCATGCAAGCCATATGGTGTGTGCGTATTGGAGGTAGGGTTGATGATTATTTGTGGAATGTACAGGAAAGATTCCCTCCAGAAAGATTTCATAGACTTTAGATCACCAACATTTGTGATCTGAAAGTAGGCTTTCCAGAGTAAAGCCTTAACAAAATAAATTCTTAGAAATCTAGAATTGTTCATAGAAAACCAACATTCTAAGATAAAGGTTATGGCCCAAGAATTTTTTAAAAATAATTTTGAAGGTAATTCTTCTTAAATGTCATATTATAAGTATATTCTTTCTTAACAGACTGTGGTATACATAATTTAGTTTTCTTGATCACTTAGGATCACCATCAAAACACATATTAGCCTCATCTTGAATTCAAGGATGGCACTGGGGCTTCTTCAAGTATAAATGACCACTTGCCCTGATGTGTTTTTGTCCCCTAACTTTTAAGTTTAGGGGTACATGTGCAGGATGTGTAGGCTTGTTACATAGGTAAACGCATGCCATGGTGGTTTGCCGTACAGATCACCCCGTCAGCCAGGTCTTAAGCCCAGCATCCATTAGCTATTCTTCCTGATCCTCTCCTGATATGTTTTTTTGAGCTCTTATGCTGTGTTAAGTTCTGTTTATAAATACACTGTTAGTTTCTCAAGGAATCAGTTGTCACATCTTCATTTCTTGCTACATTTAATTTATCAAATTCAATAAGCCTTTATTCTTAGTCTTAAACTTTTGATATGTAGTGGGTCAGGAAATCAATCAGGATTACTGAAAGTCTGAAGGCTTGCTAATGAATAGCCAACAGAGGCTTCTTGACATTGATTTTGTCTCCAAAGGGCTGTGGTTTGTTCTGTCTTTGGTTAAATTATGGAAAGATGGGATGCTTGGTGAGAGAGTGCTATATAACTGAGTTCTTGTCTATATCTCATTATTGAGATATACTATTTTCCAAGTTCTAATAAATATTAAAGCATAAATGAGCATAGGTAGAAATGAATGAAAGGTAGCTTGTGGCCTGAATACATCTTTCAACTGTGACTTAACTAAAATAAGAGGTAGGATTTAGAGGGAATTTTAGGTGCAGGTAAGATCCTCAAATTTTCCATAAAAAATAATACATACAGTATTTTAGGGTCTGCTTTACTAGGGGTTAGATGCAGAAAGGAGAGAGGGGCAAAAGAATGAAGTCAGAGTGGCAGAAAGAATGCTCATCTCTCCAAGTGGGCTTTGGACAAAGACTTGAATACCATGGCTACTTGGAGGACAAAGATGCATGGTGTGGGGGGAACAACATGGTGTGGGGGGAACAGCAGGGTGTGGTGAGGGAATGAGTGGTACAATCCTAAAGACAACAGTGAATCCCTATGGTGGATAGAGTATTTATACCCATCTGCTTTTTGTATAAAGTGCTTTGAGAAGCTGTCTAATCCCTCTGATGTCTGATGGGCAGGGATGCCTGATAGTCTGAGTTTCTCCTATTTATGTGGTCCTAGGGGATTTTCTCTTCCTCGCCTATACCTGGAGACATCTGAGAACAGAGCACCTTTCTCTTCACACTTTGGTAAAGGATTCTAGTTTATATTTAATTCTTTAAACATGCACTGGAACTGAAACTAACATTGTCTTCCAGTTTTCTCTTGGTTAACCCAGAGATCTCGAGTTTAGCCTGCAGAAGTGCTGAACCACCCAGAGTTGTTAGCCAAAATGTGAGGTTGAGGGCATGGTCTTCAAGACTGCCAGGTTGGCCCAAACTTCTGACACCAACTGCAAGGAGTTTGGGTCTTACTACAAAGTAAGGAGCCCAGTCACCAAGACTTCCCTCACTTCTGACATCAACTGCAAATATGAGGGGTTCCCAAAACCATCCTTAGGTTCAATAATTTGCTAGAAGGACTGACAGAACTCCCTGAAGACTGTATACTCACAGCAAAGAATGCAGATGGAAAGGAAGAGTGTAGGGTAAGGTCTGGGAGGGCTGCAAGTGTAAAGCTTCTATGTCCTCTGGATGTGTTACCCTTTAAAGCATCCATGTGTGACAATATGCATGGAGTATTAACAACCTGGGAAGCTCTTTCAAGCTTCAGTGTCCAGAGTTGTATTGGGGCATCATTACATAGACATGATTGATGGATTTATTTTCCATGTGACTGAACTCAGTCTCTGCTGCCCCCTTCCCAGGAGTCAGCTGATATGTGACCCAAGGGACTGACCATGAGTCACCTCTTTAGCCCAAACTATAAGGTATGGTCTGAGGAGTCCATCATGAATAACAAAAACACTCCTATCACTTGGGAGAGTCTAAGCGTTTAGAGGTTACCTCCCTGGAGCCAAGGACAAAGGCCAGACCTTTCTTGGCCAAGGCTAAATTCTTTACAACACATGAAGAAACTCAGATTATAAACTGCCACGGAAAAATTACAGCCCATTTAATTTTGATTAATTGAAAAGGAAAGTCAAGATAATCTATTAGACTAGGTGCTGCTTATTTAGGCAGAACTTAATCAAGAGACAATACATATGCACTTATATTTTGACCTAGAAATACCCCTGCTAGGATTTTGCCCTGAAGATACACCTTCATCAATTTGAAAATACATATGCACAAGGTTACTCATTTCAGCATTTTTTGTTCTGCAAAACACTGGAAACAACTTGAATGTCCCAAAATAAGAGAGTGTTTGAATGAACAATGCTACATCCACACAGTGAAATACTGTGTAACTGTAAGAGTGAGAAAGATCTCTATGGATTCATATAGATACATTTCCAAAATATCTTGTTAAGTGAAAAAAGTAAAGGGTAAAAGAATACACTACTCTTTGTGGAAAAAAAAATATACATGTGTCAACTTCCTGGTACAAAAGAAATACAAGCAGGACAAAGCAGAATCTAATAAAATTGGTTTTCTACAAGGCATGGATGGGAAAAGGGCAAAAAGGATAACAGAATGGCAATGGAGTAGGGACCTTCCTGAATTCAGATTTCTCTGAGTATACCTGTTGCATAGCTCTGACACTTAGAATCATTGCACTATTTCACAAACCCCAAAAGACAAATGAATGCTAATTAAAATCAACCAGGATGTAGGTGAAATAAAAATCGAAATCAAATAGCAGTGAAAGAAGCTAGCTGCATTACAGATAAGAACAACACTGAAAGAGTTGGGGGGCAGAAAGAACCGATCTAACTAACTTTGGAAAACATTAATTATGATGTGTGTTAGTCTGTTCTTGCATTGTTATAAAGAAATAACTGAGACTGTGTAATTTCTAAAGAAAAGAGGTTTAATTGGCTCACAGTTCTGCAGGCTATACAAGCATGGCAGTAGCATCTGCTTGGCTTCTGGGGAGGCCTCTGGGAGCTTTTATTTTTTATTTTTTTTGAGATGGAGTTTCGCTCTGTCACCCAGGCTGGACTGCAGTGGCACAAGCTTGGCTCACTGCAACCTCCGCCTCCCAGGTTCAAGTGATTCTTCTGCCTCGGCATCCCGAGTAGCTGAGACTACAGGCATGCGCTGCTGTGCCTGGCTAATTTTTGTATTTTTTTAGTAGAGACAGGGTCTCACCATGTTGGCTGGGCTTGTCTCCAACTCCCGACCTTAAGTGATCCCCTGCCACAGCCTCCCAAAATGTTGGGATTACAGGCATGAGCCACAGTGCTCAGCCCTCAGGGAGCTTTTAATCATTGCAGAAGGCAAAGACAAGAGCAGGCACATCACATGGCCAAAGCAGGAATTGGGGTTGGGGAGCATAAACTTAAATAATCACAGATCTTATTAACACTCACTCACTATTGTGAAGACAGAATCAAGCCATGCGACGACAACACCAAGCCATGAGAAATTTGCCTTCATGACGCAAACACCTCCCACCAGGCCCCACCTCCAACATCTCAGCATAAGATTTGGCAGGGACATAGATACAAACTCTGTCAACATGTACTATAAGGTTAAGGACAAACAGAACTGGACACAAACATCATTTGCTAGTGAGTAAATTTGTTTTCTGTCTGGGAATTACTAGCTATTCTGTAACTAAGATTGAGCAAATAAATAAATATATTGTGAGTAATGAGGGCCAGATGTTTCGTTGTTAAAGGAAAGAGTAACAAGGAAAATAATACAGCAAAACTGAACTCTGGTATTGCATTAGAATTGGGTGTATGAATATGAATTTACTTCTAAATATATATACACAGAGATAGACATAGATATTAAATATAGTTCTGTGTGTATGGGTTCATATACATGGATATATTTGTATCTCTGATAGCTGAAAGGGCCTGTAAAAAATGACATGGCAGTAACAATGAGTTACCTTTGTATGCATATGTTGGTTTTTAAATTCATTCTCCAAAAAAAAAAAAAAAAGAACCAGGCATACCTGGAAAAATAGTTCACTCCAGGGGCTGGGACAGAAAAATACCAAGTTAAGCCTCGAACATCTTGTGATGCCAGAGGATGATGAACTGTTCAAAAAATAATGGGGGAATGCCAAAAGGACACAGGGGCCAACCTGAAGGAGCTTTTAATGGCCAAGGCTGGAATCATTTGAGAACAAAATAAATAATGATAATGGATTATCACTCATAGAATAAAACACCCATTACCTTTATATGGTTACAATAATATTTCATTGAATAAATAAGTACATTAGGAAGTAGGGACATGTCTTTCTTAAAATATAATTTAGCTAATCAATATAGAAGGTATTATTAAAGGAGGATATCACCATTAGGTAAACACCACATTTATAATTGCTACAGAAAATAATCCTTGATTGGTGCTAAAATTACTGGGTGAAATTATGATAATTAATGCTATGTTTGCATAGTCTCAAAGAATCTTATAAGATACTTACTAACTGTGGAGGGAGAAACAGTAACTTTACAGTGGAGAAATCTGGAAGACACCATTGTCACCAAGTGATCAAAGTTAACATCACCAGTATTAAGAAAACCCTAGAATGGTACTCATCAATTACATCAGATTCCACCACTTATGGGTAAAGCCCACTTACTAGGCTGCGTGCTTTATGTGTTCTCCAAAGTCCTGATCTTGGGATAATCAAAATACTGAAATGTTTACAAGGAAATATGAGTTCTTCATCACAGAACTACGTTTAATAACCTAGACAAAACTTTCTGATCAATCTTATTTCAGTGGTTTGGTATATTTCACATAATTTATCTTTGGGAACAAAGTGTTTTGTTTTCTACACCTTTTTCCATTGTCTATGTGACCACTAAAAACAGTTTTCTTTTGACTCTTGATAAAATATGTAATATATTTAAATAAAAACATGACCTTTACCTTGGCTAAAAACACAAACCAAAAGAAAAACCCCATGAGTAAATTAGTTTTTCGTAATAATGGGAAATAGTCAGGGATTATATGTACTGCTTCAAAGCTATCCTCACCTCTAAGTGACCCTAGGTAACCATCCATGAGACAATGTTGAACTATTGGCTCAGCTTTCCCAAGAGAGCCTCTCACTCCCTTAGTCTCTCTTTTGAAGTGAGCACTCAGGTAAGTCTGATCCTAGTATTACAGCCACCTGTTAATATCAAGTGAGACCCTTGCTAACTACACAGTGCCTGCCCATGTATGTCTTCTTGACCACTGAGTCCTTTAAGATGTGTGCTTCAAACAGCCAAACCACATGCAGCAGGCTGCATGTTGAGTGCACTTTTGCTGCCAACTCTCAAAACTGAGAACATATATTTTCTAAATTGCCACCAAAAACCTCTACAAAAGGCTCGGTCTCATGATGCTGTATGTATATGTTTGAGATACCAAAGGGTGATAGGAGAGCTAAAAGGTTACAAAGAAAATTAATTAATGGCCACAAGAAGCCATTACGAGGGGGAGGGGGGAGGGAGAGCATTAGGAGATATACCTAATGCTAAATGACGAGTTAATGGGTGCAGCACACCAGCATGGCACATGTATACATATGTAACTAACCTGCACATTGTGCACATGTACCCTAAAACTTAAAGTATAATAATAATAATAATAAAAAGAAGCCATTACCAGTCATCTTCAGAGAATGCTTTAGTCCCACTTTTTTCTTGCTGTTAGGATCATTTCATGACAGTGATTTTTAACTGTAGAATTCAGTACAAAATATACTTGATCTGGTACTTACATATCATTAAGAGAAATCTAATTTCCACAATTAAAATAAAATGCCACACCTTATTTATATACTAAAATTCCTATTAGGACATTCACTGAGCCATGATACTATTTGGATTTACAAACTCTGTGGATAGAGACTGACAAGAAAAAATCTTGAATCCTCAATTATCTTAAAATGCATAGATGATAGTCACTTATGCCACCTCGGAAAACTGTTTCTTGTTCTTCCTAATCTTATAGATCAAAGGTTGCCTAACCAATATTCATTTTAAATTGATACTTTCATTTTAGCATTCAGTTTTATTTGGGAATTGCTCTCATCACTTTTTAACAATTTTCTTAAGATAGAATTTACATACACCATACAATCTACCCATTTAAAGTGTATAAATCAATAGTTTTTAGTATATTCCCAGAGTTACATAACCATCACCACACTCCAGTTTAAAAATGTTTTTGATCATACCAAGAAGAAACACTGTACCTATTATCACTTACTCTAATTTGCTGCTCTCCTTCCCCCCAGCCCAAGACAACCAATTTTGTAACATTTTATCTTTAGCTTTGCCTATTCTGGACATTTCCTATATATGGAATCATGTAACGTGTTCTGCGACTGGCTTTCCTTTATGTCTTTTCAAGGTTCATCCGTGTTGTATCATGTATCAAGACTTCATTGGTTTTTACTGGTGAATAATATTCTATTGTAAGGATATACAGGTTGAGAATCCCTAATCTGAAAATATAAACTTTGGAATGCTCCACAGTTTGAAAATTTTTGAGCACCAACATGACACCATAAGGAAAATTCCACACCTGATACCTTTGTTTTCTGATGGATCAAGGTACACAAACTTTGTTCCATGCACAAAATTACTTATTGTATAAAATTACCTTCAGGCTATGTGTATAAGGTGTATATGAAACAAAAATGAATTATGTGTTTAGACTTGGGTCTCATCCCCAAGATCTCTCATTAGGTATATGAAAATATTCCAAAATTCAAAAAAATAAAAAATCAGAAACACTCTGATCCCAAGCATTCTGGATAAGGGATACTCAACCTGTACCACATTTTATTTATATACTTATCAGTTGATGGGCTTTTGAATTGTTTCTACTTTTTGGTTATTATGGATTATGCTGCAGGGAACATTCATGTAAAAGTTTTTGTATGGATGTACATTTTCATTTCTCTTGAGTACATACCTAGAAGTGAAATGTTGAGTAAAATGGTATGTTTACATTTAATATTTTGAGGAATTGCTAAACTTTTCCAAAGCACCTGTCCCATTTTACATTCCCACGAGCAGTGTGTGAAGGTTCAAATTTCATCACATCCTTGACAACACTTGCTATTATCTGTCTTTTTAAATATAGGCATCCTAGTGGGTGTGAAGTATCAAATTGTGGTTTCGATTTGCATTTCTTTAGTGGCCAATGATGTAGTGCCTATGCTTTTCATGTGCCCATTGACCATTTTTATGTCTTCTTTGGATAAATGTCTATTCAGAGATTTTGCCTTTGGCTTATTTATTCTTTTAAATTTTTTTAAATTATTTTTATTTGCAATTGACACAGAATTGTACATATTTATAGGATACAGTATGATGTTTCGATGCATGTATACACTATATAATGATCACATCAGGATAATTACCATATCTATCACTTTAACATTTATTATTTGTTTGTGGTGATAACATTCAAAATCTTACCTTTTAGTTATCTTGAAATACACATTACATATTTATTATTTTTATAATTGAGTTATAAGAGTTCTTTATATACTATGGATTCAAGTCCCTTTTCACATCTATGATTTGTAAATATTTTCTCCCATTCTGTAGGTAGTCTTTTCACTTTCCTGATGGTATCCTTTGAAGCACAAGTTTTTTATTTTGATTAAGCCCAATTTGTCTATGTTTTTCCTTTGTAGCTTATGCTTTTAGTATTATATCTAAAATACCACTGCTGAGGTCACAAGCTCACAATGATTCACTCAAATGCTTTGAGTTTTACAGTTTATTCCATACATTTAGGTCTTTGATCTATTTTGAGTTAATTTGTTTGCATTGTGTAAAGAAAGGGTCCAGGTTCATGTTTTTGCATGTGAATATCCAGTTTTCCTAGCACTTTTTGTGGAAAAGATTGTTCTATCCCCCAATGAATTATCTAGGCACCCTTATTAAAGGTCAATCAGTCATAAATGTAAAGGTTTATTTCTGGACTCTCAATTCTGTTTCATTGGTCCTACATATCTATGTTATGCCATTACCACACTATCTTGATTACTATACCTTTGCAGTAAGTTTCCACTCAACAAGTGTGCATCCTCCAACTTTATTCTATTTAAAGATTGCTTTGTCTATTCTTGGCTATTTGCATTTCTATATGAATGTTAGGGTCAGTTTGCCAATTTCTCCCAAACCCTATCAGCTAGGATTTTGATAGGGATTTGATTGTATCTGTGGGTCAGTTTAGAGACTCTTGCCATTTTAACAATATTAAGTATTTTGCCTTGGGAGCATAGATTGTATCTTCATTAATTTGTGCATTCTTTAATTTATTTAAATATTTTTTACTTTCAGAGTATCAGTTTTGTACTTTTGTTGTTACATTTCTAATTATTGTATTCTTTTTGATGACTTTACAAATGCAATCATTTTGAAATTTCATTTTTAGGTTGTTCATTACTAGTGTATTGTAGTACAATTGATTTGTATTGATGTTGACCTTGTATGTAGAAACCTGCTGATCCTGTTTATTAGTTCTAAGAGCATTTTAGTGAATTCCTTAAGATTTTCTAGATCCACAGTCATGTCCTGTATAAAGAGATAGGTTGATTACTTCTTATCTATCTGAATACCTTTTGTTTCTTTTTATTACCTAACTGTACTGGCTAGAATTTCTAATACAATGTTTAATAAAAGTGGGAAGAACAAATATTGTTCTCTCATATCGATCTTAAGGGAAAAGCCATTTAGTCTCTCACCAGTAAGTATGATATTAGTAGTAGATTTTTTTCATGGATGTCGTCTATCAAGCTGAGGAAGTCCTGTTCAACCTCTTCCTGGTATTCCTACTTTGTTGAGTGTGTTTATCATGAAAGAGTTTTGGATTTTGTCAAATATTTTTTCTGTGTCCATTGAGATGATTATATGGTTATTTTGCTTTATTGTATTGATAGTTTGTATTACACTAATTAATTTTATAACACTAAACTATGTATTCTTATGATAATTCCAACTTGGTCATGTATATAACTTTGTATGTTGCTGTATTTGGATTGGTTGTATTCTGTTGAAGATTTTTGCATCTATATACATAAATGTAGTTTTCTTATGATGTCTTTCATTTTGATATCAGGGTAATACTGGCCTTTTAAAATGGGTTCGGAAGTGTTTTTCCTCCTCTATTTTTTGGGAAAGGTTTGTGAAAAATTGCTATTAATTGTGTTAAGTATACTACAGATTCACCAGCGAAGCCAACAGGGCCTGGCCATTTCTTCATAGAAAGTTAAAAAATTTCTAATACAATTACTTTACTTTGTACAGGCCCATTCAAATTTTCTACTTAATCACGGTCAGTTTTTGTATTTTCTAGCAATTTTCTCATTTTATTTAAGTCATCAATTTGTTGGCATATACTTGTTTATCTCATTCTCTTATAA